>NC_000002.12:48978231-49281261 GCF_000001405.40 Homo sapiens
CAGTGCCACAAATTTGATTTGAACAATTTCTATTTTTCCCAGCAAAGATGTTATTACAGGTCAATCATTTCCATAAGTGAGAGCACATTTCTGGTGTATACTACACTGACAGATGGCTAGAAGACCTCTCTTTCATGATCCCAGGCTGGATAAAAAGGCAATTTACTATCTATAGGACTGTGGGTACACTGGTAATGGAAGAGAACCATTCTTATACAAATAACTCAGTGTTTGAATCTGAACTATCAAATGAATCTGAGCTATAGCCAAATCAATTTGATAAACCATCAGAATATGATTGTACTGGCTCCAGCCTGCAAAGGCAATGCATTAAATTTTCCCCACAGGAAACTGTTTCCCAAAGAAACAGCAATTGTTCGATTGCTTAAAAAAAAACAACCTTGAGTGAGTTCAGAATATCAGGTAAAAACTCAGATGGCTGCTGATGTTCAAGGTCAAGACTCACAAGGGGGAAATGAGGATGCTGAGCTGCTCCTCTGAAACTCGATGAAACTTGTTTGTATGCCCCTGGCTTTCTCTGCATCTATCTTTCTTTGTGTGGAACAGTGCACCCTTGCACCCTCAGGTGTTCAGAGGCTCCCTATTCTTCCCTCAACTACAAATTTTGCCTTCAGGAAAGCAGCTATCATCAGTTTGAGTGTGTGCCCCTTAATTTTCTTAGAATTCCTTGCATATATCCACTGGAGAAAAAGGACTGAGCCAGTGAGGGAGGAAGATTCACCACATTTGGCTTGTGGAGGAGATATTTTGGAGACTGAGCAAGGCTTCCCAATTCCCAATATTGGTCCTAGGGCAGTAATTCTCAGAGAGCACTCTGGACAAGCAGCATCAGTTTCACTAGGAAGATGTTAGAGATACAAGTTATCAGGCCTCAACCCTGACCTACTGAATCAAAAATTCTAAAGGTGGGAGCTGGGTGTTATGACTCACGCCTGTAATTCCAGTGCTTTGGGAGTCCAAGGCAGGAGAATAACTTGAGGCCAGGAGTTTGAGATCAGCCTTGGCAACATAGTGAGACCCTGTCTCTGCAACAAAAAAAATGGCCAGGTGTGGTGGTGCACGCTTGTAGTCCCAGCTACTCAGAAGGCTGAGGCAGGAGGATCACTAGAGCTCGGGAGTTTAACGCTGCTGTCAGCTATGATGGCACCACTGCACTCCAGCATGGGTGATTAAAAAAAACCACAAAAACACCCCCCCAAAACCTACTCAACTCTGAACATGCTGCTCTAGGACAACTGAGAACCACTCACAGCTGAGGTGGCTCATAGCCGAGTCTACTCTGGGAATTGCCCTCAGCTGACTTTCTCCTCCCCAGGAGTTTGGTTCCTCCCCAGGGACAGCCTGCACCCAATAATTCTTGATATGGAGGACTTGCCCCTTACCTTAATTCAGTACAACTTTGAAGGACCATCTTAACTCCAGATCTCCCCATGGGATCAGCTGAGCCTTTTGTTGCAAATGCATTACCCTGATTCTGCTTCCATCAAGGGTTCCCTGTACATTCTGAGAGCACCCTCCGGTAAACCTCCCGCATGCAGATATATCACAGTCTTTGTGTGTGTGTGTGTGTGTGTGTGTGGGAGCGGGGACTGCAATCTGACCCAAGGCACAGTCAAGATCAGCATGATTTGCACCTACTGTGGTCTGAATAGCCTACGCATACTCCTACTCTTACCTCTTAACTCATCACCTGAGGTGGGCTGGTCTACTGCACACCTACACAAGCACCTCTCAGGCCAGGGTTTAGATGGTTTAGTGTATCTGGATGCAGAAGTGAGATGTGGAATAAGCTATTAGTCTTCTTGCATCTCAGGTCAGCAGGGGGAGAGGCTTGAAGAACATCTATGGACTGATCTGAAAGCCCCAGAAAGGGGGGCTTGATGTTAAGGTGAACAATTCTTTTGGCCCCAGGGGGAAAAGAGGAAATTCGCAATTATAGGCTGGGCTTCCAGCCAGGATCCTGCACTGAGATGGAAATATGTGGGAATGTATTATCACTCTCTACCTTTTTAAGTCATGGGGAGTGCTTCCTAATTCCATGGATTTTCTGTAAATTGTATTCCCTTAATTCTAGACAGATGTGTTCCTGTGGTAAGAAGGACAAAACAATGGGCCTATAACTTGAGGACCTTGTAGAATTGCTTCCGATGCTTTCACAGAGGCTCTCTTCCTGCCTGCGTTCACAGTGGGGCTAGATGGGGGATTCAAGTTTTGTGTTCTCTGTTAAACATTCTTATGAGATACATTGTGCAGTATCTTCGCCTGGAATCTGCTTGTGCAACCTCAGGAGATGTTCTTCTGTGCCACGTTTATCTAACATTGACTGGTGTTCTTAGGCTGGGAGGCTGGTGTTAATAGTTATTTTCCTCTCTATTTTAGCTCACAACCAGTTTCAGGGGGCCTCACCGAATAACTTTTAGATGTTCAATTAAACGTATTTATGGCAACATGGTATGGTGGGAATACATGGAATGTGAGGCAGAAGACCTAGTTTCTGGTCCAGACTCTGCCCCTTCTAGTTGCAGTGTGATCTTTAACAGATCACTCTCCTCTGGGTTCTGATTTCTTCAGTTGGATAATGAAGGAGTTGGGGGATCTCATCCAACTTCATTATTCTCGGGAGCAGATAGGTTAAGATGCTATAGATTCAATATTGTACCTGGTACAGGTCACATATATAAACACACCCATCACTGACATATTCTGCCATGAACAGATAGAGATGCCTTCTTAGGAACATTCAAAACTTTCAGGGCTTTTTGCTAAGTGAAACTGACATGCTGCTATTGTGGGGATCAAAGACATCAAAAGTACTTGTCAAAATTCATTTGTCTCCCGAGTACTCTAAGAACAGGGTACATGAACTAAGCAGTACAAGTTTTGAGTACTTTGTATTCTTGAGTACATGGACTATATGCCCAACACTCTCCATTTGTTAGCCCTGGGTCCTTCCTTGTACTTCATAGATAGATCATGACTTGATATATTAAGTTGTATATTTAATGTATTGCCTGACTCCTCTCTATTCCCACCCCCAATGAGAATATAAGCTTTCTATGAGGAGGAACTTTCCTTTGTTTCCTGCATGGCACAAGACTGATGCTTAAAAATTTATCTGATGAGTGAAAAAATATTTATGTGTGTGTGTGTGTTTTATGCTTCAAATAATATTAGGAAATAGGTATTGTTTTGGCCATTTTTTTTAGGTGAGGAAACCAAGGCTTAGAGAGGTAAAAGAATTGGTCTAAACCAAGGCAGTCTGCTCTGTATCTCCGCTTTAATCACACGGATACTCCATTTGTATAGGTTGCCTATCTCAAGCCAGGCATTCTCGAATAATCTTTGAACATGGTCAGGATGATAAATCTACCTTGAAGTGTATATTTCTTCTTCAAAGCAGCAGAATCTCATATATAGATCACAACACACCCTTTATCATTAATAATAAATATTTAAAATTCTGACTCTCCATACCAAGTCTAATTCTAGAGGTACACAGGTTCCAGCCTGAAGGAGAATATTAGCTATTTGGTGTAGACAAAAGTGATGCAGATAGATGGTTGGTCGGTAGGTGGGTAGATAACCACACATGGTAGCCTATGCTAACTGCCAAATAAGAGGTTCAGGCAGGTGGCTTCTAAACGCCTGACTTGACTTAAGGCAGGCTACATAAGGATCATTCAGTAAAACTGTAGATTTATTAACATGTTTATCTATTGCTCTGCTCACCATTCCTTCTTGTACCTCATTCTCTCCTTTTGGGTTCCTTTCTTCATCTTGAAGTACTTTTTTCAGTCAGTAAGTGTAGTAGGTCTTGCTTAGAGCCCAGGAACACATTTTTAAAAAGCCTTTTTGTGATTGTGATGCAGATTGTCCCCCCACCAAAGAAGCCTTAAAGGCCATGAGAGCCACGGGAAGAAGTCACTGATGGCGAGGTTGTCAGAGAGACTTGAGGAGGTAGAGGACTTTGGAATGATGCTTGATGGAAGGGGCAGTGTAGGTAAGAAGAGAAGATGGGAAAGTCACTTTTGGAGGGAAAGATGGAAGTAAGGAAATGACAAGAGGGAGGGGTGCTGATGCAGGGCTGTGAGGCACGGAATGCATCCCAAGGGATTTGGAAAGAGGATCCAAAAATAATGTGTATATAGGTCTCATTGGGTTGAAGGAACCTCCTGAGTGTTGAGGATGATGGAGAATTGTGCTTTCCTTTCCAGGGAAGAGACACATGATCGAGTGGTTGTGGGTCTGTACCATGAGTTAGATCAGTTTAAATCCCTGCTGTAACTCTTGTATAACCTTGAGTGGGTGAATTAACCTCTCCAGGGAAGCCAGTTTTTCCTTCTGTAAAACGGGAATAATAGCTCCTACCACAGGGGGTGATTATAAGGATTAAACAAGAAAATGCATCTTAACTTCTGAGAACGCCATCTGACACTCTGTACGTGCTCATTACATGTTATTATTAGTGTTGCTTTTTAATGGAGAGTTAGACCGTGGATAAGCCTTAAATTGTCTCTATAAATTTTTGCAGATGACACGAATAAAAATTGAACTTGATGGCCAGCCCTGTGTTGGAAGCTTCTCCCCTAGCTGCAGAGAGTTGACTTCTAACTTACACAAACTGAGCTCTTACACACAGAAATGGGGAAAGCTACTCACAGAATGACTGGTCCAGAGGCTCCGTGGAAAACATCATTAGGCAATTCTTCTAAATTATTATTATCGCTTAGATTCCTGGGGATGGGGTTGAGGAAAGAAGAAGGAAAACACAAAGCCACATAAATATTGCTGTTGTAAGAGCCATTTCCCTTTAAATGGCCTTGAAGAATAGTCAGGGCTACTTACAGCTCATCTAGTTGGGTTCCATTGAATGCACAGTTGTGTATTTCTTGAATCCCATTCTTATTCAGCCATCTGAAATAAAAGGCCTATTAAAAAACCAATAATGTCAGATGCAAACAATACACGGGTTTCATAATTGGAAGCACTGAGCAAGGGCAGACAGCACAGGTTAGTGGCATAAAGAAAATGCCACTTTTAAAGCTTGGGGACACGGGTGGGAGGAAGACTGATTTATTGCTGTATAATCTTTTGTAACTTTTGAAGTTTGTATTACTTGCATGTATTACCTATTCAAAGGATTAAATGAAATTTAAGTTTGAAAGGCATACTTAGGCAGAGCAGCCTGGATTCTATAACTGTAAGGTCTTTACACACATCATTTGTGTGTAGAGAAGCAATGCGGGGAGCGACAGATCTTTCTCATCCTGAAGGACAGGAATCGTACAATTATTGAACAAGTGTTTATAAGACAGAGAAAGAACATTTTGTGTCACCTTTCTCTAAGGCCTTAAGCCTTTCACCCATGATCACCCACAGCAGCAGGCCTGGCTGTCATCAAAAGTGATCTAATTAAGTTGTCAGACAACCTGAACATCTCCTGTGACCCATAGGGACCTGGTTATTGGAGGTTTGTGGAGGTGGCTCTGGGTTAAGCCAGAAAGGAAGAGAAATCAATTACAGAGAATGTGGGCTGTGGCAGGGTGAGGTGATCTGAATGAGCAGGGGAGGAGGTTCTGGGGGAGGTGGAGATGGGTGTAGAACAGCCATCCTGATTGCGCTAAGAAGGTCAGTGAGCAGGGTTCCCTGGACAGGGGAGCCCAAGGACACCTTGGGCTACAGCTCTGCCTTGCTCTGCTCCTGAGTGGATCTGAAAACAAAAACAGATACCAAGGTCAGGAGAGCTTAGCCCGAAGAACCTCTGACTACCTGCTCTTGTTTTGCTGTCAGGTTCTTTTCCCTGTCCAGCTTAGTGGGCTTGCAAATAACACTGTACAGAAAGCTGACCCAGAGAAGCTCCTGTGCATCCAGGACTCTCTTTCCTGGGCTGCCATGGGTAGCCAGAAAACACTTAAAATCACAGGAGAACAACTGTATGTCTTTTTCCTCCTCTTGAAAACCAATTACCTAAAAAAATCCAGAAAGGGGCGAGGCAAATCTTTTAAAACATTCACAATCAATTGGTGGGTTCTGATGGCAAAGAAGTGGCTATGCACCCCCAATGCCATTTGAGAAAGCCTCTCCCAGGCACATCTGGACTCCTGACTGTTGCAGGATAGTGGGAGTTGCTGAGGTAGCTGTGGCATGTGGATCCCTGGGGATTTGAATCAAATACAGGATTCAGCAAACTTTTTCTGTAAAGGGCCTGATAGTAAAGTTTAGGTTTTATGGGCCAAAAGGCAAAAATAAAAAATATTATATAAGTACTTTATGTACTTATAAAACAATTACCACAATTTTTTATTGACCAAATTCAAAGTGTAATAATTGGGTATTTTTTTTTTTTGTAATATAGGCCTAATATTGAGAAGAGAATTTTTAGTGGGGGATAACATTTTGCTTAACTTAGATCTAATGTTAGTGTTTCCTGTCTTAGCTCATGAGCTGGATTTGGCCTCTGGGTTATATGTAGTTGGCTGACCCTTAATCCATACAGGTTCCACCTATTTGCCTATTGACTAGATAATTAATATTTCTTGCATATTACTGTCCTGTAAATCGATGTTGCTATAATCAAATAAAACATAAACTAATTTTAAATAATTATTGTATTCAAATATCCCTTTGTCTTTATGGATTATCTCAATCAACAGATACCATTATATGGGGAGGAGGATGGTATTTCTTGATATCAGCAGTGGATCATCACACAAAAAAAACAAATTATGTTCAGAACTGCTGCCCTTGGATTTACGTTATCTGTGGGAATCTCAAGCTAGTAACAAAGGGAAACCCACATTTATTACACGCACCCCTGGTCTCTTAAGAGAGGAAGTACCTATTTGAAAACCAGATGATGACGATGATGACGATGATGACGATGACTACAACAACCTGGGCAGAACATCAACTAAGGAGTTACTGCATCACAGGCTTACCTTAACCCTTTTGTGTCCTTGGGGATGAGGCCAGTGTGCTCACTCAGCAGAGGCTCAGGAAGCTACAGAAGTGAACTTTGCTCTCATCCTAAAGAGTGGAGGTGCTGGGGACTTGGCCCTTTAAAACTCATTGAGGGGCAGGCAAGGGAGACGGGCAGACTGAGGAACAGAGGAAACACGCACGAAGCAGGTCTCTCCTGAGGCCCGAGTGTGCTGGGCACTGTAACGCATATCACTCATTTTATTTCTTCTGAATTAGGACATTATTCTCCTGGCTGGCCATAGCTAGGTGCTTTCCCCATTCAGGCACTCTGCTTACCAGGGCACAGTGCGGGTGCAGAAGGGCTCAGAAGCCTCTACACAGTGGGTTTTTATTGCTCACTTCTCTGATTCACTAGGCTAGTGTCTGATAATCTTTCATTGCTGGTTGCTTTAAAAATACATTTACTTTTAGAACAGGGCCTCAGAATTTTTTTCAACTTTCAGTTTCAGGGGAGCAAGTACAGGTTTTTTTTTTTTTTTTTTTTTTTTTTTGAGACGGAGTCTCGCTCTGTCGCCCAGGCCGGACTGCGGACTGCAGTGGCGCAATCTCGGCTCACTGCAAGTTCCGCTTCCCGGGTTCACGCCATTCTCCTGCCTCAGCCTCCCGAGTAGCTGGGACTACAGGCGCCCGCCACTGCGCCCGGCTAATTTTTTGTATTTTTAGTAGAGACGGGGTTTCACCTTGTTAGCCAGGATGGTCTCGATTTCCTGACCTCATGATCCACCCGCCTCGGCCTCCCAAAGTGCTGGGATTACAGGCGTGAGCCACCGCGCCCGGCCGCATGTACACGTTTTTTACATTAGGTAGTCTGCACGTCATGGGGTTTGGTGGACAAATAATTCCATCACCTGGGTAATAACCATAGTACCCAATAGATATTTTTTGTGATCCTCTCTCTCCTCCCTCAGGTAGGCCCCATTGTCTGTTGTTCCTTTCCTAGAATCCATGTGTTCTCATTGTTTAGCTCTTACAAGAGTGAACATATGGTATTTGGTTTTCTGTCCCTGTGTTAGTTTGCTTAGAATATTGGCCTCCAGCTCTATCCATGTTGCTGCAAAGGGCATGATCTTGTTCTTTTTTATAGCTGTGTAGTATTCCCAGAATTTTGAAAATTGCTATCCATAGAATACTTCAACAGTCATCAGCGCCATTTGCCATGCTTTTTTTTTTTTTTTTTTCTGAGTGTGCTCAAATGTCCCCATGGGAAGAAAACACCCCTGCATCGAAGCTGCCAAACTAGAAACGATTGGAGACTTAAGTTGTGTTAAGTATGAATTACATGATTTTATTGTCTATGGATTAAGGGACAGCCAAAATAAGAACAATAGAAATTGTTTCCACAAAAGTGAGTTTATCCTTTAGAGACATGTCTGAGAAACATTCACTCTTAAAAGAAAACTCCTTTCCTGAAAAGTGTGTTCCTAAATTCTGAGAGATCAGTGTCCATGAACAGGAGTTAGGAAAGAGCAGACAGGATCTATATGTTTCCCTTGTAGCTTTGGGTTTGCAAAGCTATGTCAGAAGTTCTTATTTCCTCAGGTTCTTTGCCTCTAGTTGGGGAGAGTTGAGACCAGGTCACTTAAAGTGCTTTGCCTTCTGTCTTACGGTCTGGACAAAAAAGTCAGATCAATGATACTGTGAGAACAATATAAGCACACTATGCAAAACTACAAGAATGATATGAGCACACTCCCACTTAATTATATATTTTCTATAAAAAAATTGAATAAGTTTGCCATATTATAACATTCATTTAAGTCTATTTAAAATGAACATATATTTCAAGAAAGATCCAAATAAACATAAACATCTAGGTATAAATGTTTACATTTATCACCAATCTCCCTCTGTGAAGTAACCCAGGAATCCTTTTACTGTTGTGTTTGTTTCACAATCCAGCAGGCCAATATGACTCATGTATTCACTATTTTCCACAAGCTCTTTGTATTATTATTTTTATTTATTTTATTTTATTATTATTACTTTTTGAGATGGAGTCTCACTCTGTTGCCCAGGCTGGAGTGCAGTGGTGCAATCTTGGCTCACTGCAAACTCTGCCTCCCGGGTTCAAGCGATTCCCCTGCCTCACCCTCCTGAGTAGAGGGGATTACAGATGCCTGCCACCATGCCCAGCTAATTTTTTTTTTTTATATATTTTTAGTAGAGACGGGTTTCACTGTATTAGACAGGATTGCCTCAATCTCCTGACCTCGTGATCTGCCTGCCTCTGTCTCCCAAAGTGCTTGGATTACAGGCATGAGCCACCACGCCCACCTGATTATTTTTATTTTTATAAAAGGCAGGTGCTCTTCCTGGTCTTGATTATTCTGTTCCCTCTGCACGCCCTTTGCCAATTCCCTAGCTAACTACTGCTCATCTTTAAAAGCCCATTTTAAAAACAACCTCTTTTTCTTAGCTTCCTTTCCCTTGTTTAACTCTTCCTTTAACCCTCGCATCACAGACTAGTGAGATTAAATCATTCCTTCTTTCCTCTTAGAATGATTGCTCTTTTTTTCTTTGTATATCATTCATTCTGCTCGCGTTTTAGTTTATTCCTTTTGCTTTCTCTTTCTTACCCTTTCTGCACCCCATCACCTCATCTCAACACACACACACACACACACACACACACACACACCCCTTCACTTCAAATATCATGAGCTTATGTGAAATGATTCAGTATCACTCACCTATAGCTTTTGTCCTAATATCTATGTATTTTGAATACATTCCTTTGATTTAATTTTATTGTTCCCTCCATACATTCAATTTCTATGCTAATCTGTTTTCAAACTTTTTCCATTGTTATCTGTGATTAATTTACATCAAATACAGTGCTTAGCTTTACTCATCAAAGTGTTATAATCTGTCTACTATTTCTTTTTTCTTTCAACAGCCTGGTCTCTGAATCATACAACTGAAGGGGGCTAAAATTCTTTATGGACTGGAACTTATGTTTTGTACATATAGGCATATTTTAAAAACTCATACTGGTATATTTTTTTAAAAACACAACAGTTTGTAAAATAGATAAAATGCTTTTCATATCTTACAGATGTAAGTGCAATTGCTGGGTCCCCAAATGTCATTCTGTGCATCTAACTTTCATGGATCCCAGGCATACTTAGATAGCCCATAGTGTCCTATTTCTTGGCCATACTTGTGAGTGGATAAACTGCTACAGGGGCTACTGGCATAAAAGAGTAGAAGGTCTTTCACTAACAACACAGAATGCTTTTAAGAGATTTCCCAAAAGTCAGAGAGAGTAACTCAAGCTCATTAAAAAATGTGATTGTTTCAAGAAAATGAGAAGTCATCCTATGCTCAGCATGGGCCTGAACAGGAACTGCTTGGCATGGTTATGAGGGAATCGCCATATCTTCCTGATTGGGCCTCCTTCCTGATCTTTTTCTTTGGGCAACAAAAGCCTTGCCAGGCAATAACTAGCTTTATTGATGCATGAGTTATTCTTTCCTTTGGAACAGATGTTGTATCACAGGAGATCATCATTCAAACAGCAATTTTAAATACTTGAATCACACCCCAGAATCATAAATTATTAACATGACTCCACATTGTGATTCTGAAATGTAAAGATGAGAGAGGAACGCAGAACTGGAGAGTGATTTAAGTGGAGAAATGCCAAAGTTACCCAAACAAAAAAGGAGCATCCAATTATGAGAAAGAGATCACTAAATGAAAAATCAAATGTTACTCTGTTGGATTTTTTCCCCCTTACTTACAGAATCACACTTTCAAAGCTCAGCCCCACGAAAGAATTTCTTTCAATTGTGTGGATGTTTATGTTATCTTGAATGTCACTAGAAGAAAGTACAGACAAATAAGATACTTACATCAGCTCTACTCATGTAACCTTCCAAAATTTAGTTTAACTGGCATGATGCGGTCTTCAGCTGAGGTAATGTATTAATATAACTAGTTGTTGTTTAGAAGATGATCAGCTCAAAGTTTGGAGAAAAAATTGTCTCTAATTTATCTTTAGTATGTTCTTACAAATGGAATTGCAGACATTCAGTGTCTTTTTTTTTTTTTTTTTTTTTTTTTAAGACAGGTTCTCTTGCTCTGTCACCCAGGCTGGAGTGCAGTGGTGCCATCACAACTCACTGTAGCCTCAACCTCCCAGGCTCCAGTGATCCTGCCACCTCAGCCTCCAGAATAGCTGGGACTGCAGGTGTGCACCACCATACCCAGCTAATTTTTGTATTTTTTGTAAAGTCAGGGTTTCACCATGTTGCCCAGGCTGGTGTCAAACCCTGTGCTTAAGTGATCTGCCTGCCTTGGCTTCCGAAAGTACTGGATTAGAGCCACTGGCCACTGTGCATGGCTTACTTTTTTCTTCTGAAGGTTTTCTTAAATAATTTCACCCTAATGTAACAAACACTTAAGCTGACCTTTCACCTCTTGTCTAACTTCTCTGTTCATCTTAGTTGGGCCTTCTCCTCATGTCAATCCCCTTCTTACAGCTAGTTTCCTTCTGCCTGTTCTCCTTGGGTCTCAGAATGGCTTTATCATTGATTTTTCTTTTCCTGAATGAAAGGATGAGGAAACTCTCATTTTCTGTTTGTATTCCTCATTTCCCCCGTCAACCTTCCCTGTTAGGTCTGATCTAATATGGAGAAGTAAATGTGGAAGTAACAGCTGTACAAGTAGTGTAGTAAACAGCTTGGAACAATTTGAGAAATTCTGAAAGATTTTCATATTTTCCTCTTTCTCTCCTCCCTCCCTGCTTATCTCCTTCCTCTCTGCTTAGCTCCTTACACCCCTTCCCCATCTCCTCCTTTTGGATCTGTCCATATTCTTACAATTTCACTATTGGGAATAGTTGCCATTATATGCTACCTTTTCTCTTCCTTTTTCAAAATACAAATACCTTGGGAAAAGGCAAACACAGCCTGTCATTAACTCTTTAATATGAATGTGTTTGTTAGATAGTTTCTTTGTGCCCAGGGCAGCATAGCAATTCTAGAAAGAAGAGGAGAGGATGCTGGAATACAGGGGGTGTTGTTTATGTGTGTGGGGGGCAGTAATTAAAGCGCTAAATAGTGAAAAAATGAGCCACTTTTTGATTTTGCTACATGCTGGTTTTGTGAACAATACTCTTATTGAAGGGTCTTTCAGTTTCCTCCAAACTAATATTGACTGGCCTGCAGGTAAAATCAAGGACCTCACTTCTGGCCTCCCTATCTTTGCTAACCCAGAGCAATACATTTGGAGGATGTAGACTACACAATGCATATTAAAGGCCCAGATAGCCGTTGGGCAAGACAGATACTGAGTAAAGAGTTGGTAGTCACTCAAGGAAAAAACTTACAGTAAAACTTTTTGGAGAGAATGAATCTTGTGAACATCTGGAAGGTGCTTAATACCTGTGTTGGATATTAACCTAGAGAGAAACAAAATGAGAGTGAGTGAAAATGAAACTGGCTGTTTAAACAGTTGTTAGAGCATGAACTTTCCAGAATAAAAATATCAATTTTGAACCATCAGAAAAATCTACGAGAAAAGCCCGTATATACGTGAATTAGGCTCATGTTTTCTATTTTAAGGTTCGTTCCACGGTCTTAAAAGCTGTTGATTCCTCAGAGAAAAGAAACTTACACTTCAGTCACAAGGGGATTAGGATGCCACAGTATACATTAAAAAAAAAACGATTGATAAGTTAATGTGACCCTAAAGCAACTTCCAACTAGTAACAAAAGTTTCTTAAAATTTCCCCTATTTCCAACCTCATCATACTTGTTGGAAAACTCCTTTCTCCACTCCAAGCGATTCTCTTGGGATTAGAGCATGAGATTCCATGCCCTAAGACCCTAGGGTATGTATGTGACCTAAGCTGGGCCAATCAGACTCTCTCCTGGGAACTGGTTAGAGGTTGGTTAGAGCTTCTGCTGTCATTACCCTTACGAGATGGTTATAAATTTCTATAGCTGAAAATTTCAGACCTACCCAGGATCCTTCCCAAGGTCTGGTTGTATTGGCCTGGCTTTCCCGGGAAGCAGAGCCTGAGAAGAAGCCTAGCTGTGGGTAATATAGCTGATAGCATGATTTCAGAGCATTCAGGACAGGGAGTGAAACTGGCAAGGAGGTGAAGCTAAGCAATACTACCACTACTGGTGATTAGTTCCTAATCCCAAGGACTTGAGTTAGGATATTTAAAAAATTGGTCCTCAGAACTGTTGATCTGAGTGAGGGAGAGTAGTGGGGGAAGGATGTGTCTGTAGACTCCCCTTTCCTATTGGTAAAAGGTGACCCTATGGTGTTAATTCCCCACTTATGGCTTGCACATTTGTGAGCACCCAGTGAGTTCCTGATGGGCATCTCTCACAGTGGTGCCCAAGAAGCCCCAGAGTAGGAAGTGAGAGGTGTACAAGGCTAGGCCAGGTGTTGTCCAGTTGCACTTGAGTGAAGCTGGATGAAATGTGGGTGGAACTGGCTGCCAGAACAATGGTGAGGGTTTTTAGAGGCACATACGAATTATTGGACGCATTGTTCTTTGTCATTTCTCTAACACCTGTGAGTTATTTGAAATCCTTCTACTACCTCTCTACTCCCATTCCCTTTTCTGTATGTGACTTACTCAAGATGGAGGTGGTGATAGTTGCATGCAACCTAAAGAACACTCATTGATATATATTAATCATTGTGAAGGACCATATGTCCTTTTGAGGTTTATGACTCAAGAAGATTTGGTGCCTTGTTCTCTGCTTCTGTATTTAGAGAGGAAGTGAATGCAGTCTATGGGTTCTCGGTGATGGTTCTCAAATTTTTTTTTCTTTTTTTCCTCTCTTGATTCCCTAATGTCCACATAGAAGCTGTCTTGGGCAATTCTCTTTTAATTACTTCAACAGCCCTTGAGTTAGTCTCCCTTTGCTTTTTATCCAGGAAAAGAGGTTCTTTTTTGAAGGATTTGTTGTGTTGTTAATGCGCTAAAAAATTATATACAGAAAAATAAACTCTTTTCAGCATAGAGGTCTATGGGCTAAGACAAATACATATAGCTACGTAACCACGAGCACAATACAGACATAGAACAGTGCCGTCACTTTCTAAATTCCCTTGTGTTTTCCCTTTGTAGTTCATCTCTTCACCTACTTCATATCCCTAGCAACCACTGATCAGTTTTCTGTTTCTGTAATTTTGCCTTTTCCAAAATGTTATGTCAATGGAATCATCCATGATGTCCCCCACTGGAGCCCAAAGATGCTCTCCACACAGCCACTGCCAGGGAAGTGGGGAGGAGTGGTGTCAGTGATTCAGGACTGTCTTTTCTATCTCTTCAGTGCCTCTTTCAGCGATACGAAGTTAAAACCAGGTACTGTGAGTGCTCACCTGATTTTTGGTTCTCATGAAGGTGTTTTTTTCTGTGTAGAGAGCTGTTAATTTGGTGTCTTTGCCCAGGGGACAATTGGTGGAGCTTTCTATTCCACCCTCTTGCTCTGTCTCTATCAGTGGAATCATCTAGAATGCAACTTTTGGGTCTGGCTTCTTTCACTTAGCCTAACTCCCTATTTCTCTTTCTTCTTTCACAGCAAAGCTTCTAGAAAGAGTTGTCTGCACATGCTGTCTTCATTTTCTCATATCCCATCGATCTTCAACCTGCTCCAATCTATTTTCATCCCATAACTCATAACTGAAACTGTGACTGTCATGCCAAAGTCTACAAACTCACCAACTACCAAATGTAAGAAACACTTTAAACAGTCACTTTATTAGGCCTCTCTGGATCATTTAGCATTTTTTTTCCGGACTCTCTTTTCTATTGGTTTCTGTCATTTTGCATTCTTTCGTTTCTGCTCCTTCTCCTGTTACTCCTTTTTAGCATTCTTTGTTGATTCCTTTTTCTCTATTTGTGCTCTGGGCCTTTTGCTTCTCTTTTCTATAGTCTCACTACATAGATCTTGCTTCCTGTGATTTTAAGTAGCATCAATATTGTGTGACTCCTAGATTCATACTTGCTGTCTGACTTCACTAGTCTATTGCTAATTAAAGCTTACTTTGCATATCCTCCTGAATGTCTCATTGACATAGCCAACTAAACTTGTTCCCCCCATTATCACCTCCACCAAACGGCTTCTTCTCAATTACTCTCCATAGATAGAATTGCTATCCATCAATTTTAATTTGACAGTTAAAGTTGGCTTGGCTTCTTCTTTCTCACGTTCCGATATCCAGCCCATCTCAAAGTCCTCTTAGATTCCATTTCCAAAATATGTCTTGACTTTATGCAATTTTGCCTATCTCCACTGACACCATTCCCAAAAGACCCTCTGAATGTCTGCAATATTATCCTCCTCTTCTTTTCCAATCCATTCTCCATACAGCACTCTGGGCCTTCTTTTCAAAAATGTAAATCAGATTGTTTTACTCCTTTGCTGCTAAGGCTTTAGTTCTTTCCCATAAAACTTAGAGTAAAATTTATACTTCTTACTGCCTACTCTTGCACCTTTATCTTATGCTATTTCCCCAGTGCGTTTTAGCCCCTGTGGCTTTCTTTCAGTTCCTCAGCTGTATTAAGTTCTTTCCTTTCTCCAAATATTTGCATGTACTTTCTCTAGAAGGCTAACCATCCATTCTTCACCTGGCGAACTTCAACTCACCCTTCAGAGTTTAGTTACACATGTCATTTCTTCAAAAAGGAGCTCCATATATGCTAAACTAAATTCTGGCCCCTGATTTATTCTCAATATAACTGCATCTGTTTTAGCACTCCTCAAAACTCTGAGCCATGTATTATTTTGTGTTATTTATCCAATGTCTGCCTCTTCAACCAGATTGTGAATCATATGAGGGCAAGATTCATGTTTTCCCTGAAAACCCAATGTTGGCACAGTAGTTGACGCATAAAATGTGCTCAATGTTTGCCAAGCTCTTTATGCCAGGTAATGTGCTATGTTTTGTCAAGAGATGAACTCACAAGGAATTATTCACTGCCTATGTTTATTACAGCTTACTCATTCAACGTTATTTGGGTAGCAACTTCCCCATCTCTCTTAGTGAATGAATAGGTTTTATATAATTGAAAGAATGAAGAATTCATGATTGCTCAATAATAAAGTTATGAGTGCATCATTTAACATCAATTGCATGAGCTTCCATAGCCACTGTACTTATGAAATATCTATAGATATCTGCAGATGCACATTGAGATCTTTGATCTTTATAGGAAAGAAATCACACTGCAAAAAATGGCTAAAATTATTCCAGTAGTGCTGAGTTTAAGGCACTTAAAAAGATCTAGTGACCATCTAGTGAGATGGATTATTGGTGATAATTCTGTAGCTGAGACTCTCTATAACCCCAAGATAATACAGGAAATGGAGTTCAGACGAACACTTAGTTTTCAATTCATTTTTCCCCTCTGATCAATAAATTCATGCTGATGGAGGCTGGAAGTGGGTAATCAGCTAGGAACTGTATGTCTCAATGGGTTTGCTTTTGTCAAATGACTGTTTGCTGCAAAATTATTTTGATTCACTCAACCATGGTTTATCTTCAAAAAACAGTTAAAGGCCTGAGGGTAAAATGTCAGTGAATTTAAGTTCTGCAAATGAGTCTTTTAAAGAAAGGTAACTGACTCAGAGTTTTCCCTCTCTACAGCCAGTTTTACATTCTAAGTTGATGTTAGCATCTTTCATGCCTGATTGTCCTTAATCTTCAGGTTGTAAAGTGAAAGTGAGCTTCTCTCCAATCAGGATAAACTTAGCGGGGTCCTGTAATTGCTGGGAACCATTCTTACCTATTCTGCCATAGGATAATATGCTTGCCTTTCATAAACAGGTGACCCTGAGGCTCTAAGGCTCATTGTCCTAAACATCATTAATGCTTTTATTAAGCTTCAGTAGTGTTGATGGGCTCTTATTTTTTCTTGAGTTAACAGGGTCTGTGTTTGCTTGTGTTGCACTGGTCTATGTGCCATCCTTCCAATAAAATCTCTGTTTTATCCAAGGAGGAAGGCAGACACAGTGTGCCGGTTTCAGGGAGTTTGGGAGTGAGTTAAGACTAGCACAGGTGAAACACTCAGAATGGTCTGGTGGAAAACTGTATGCTACTGATTGTGAATGCTTTATGAGTTCAGGGAAGGGGCTGGAGGAACAATATGGGCTGGAGTAGCCAAGAAGAAGTGCTTATAGGAAGAGGAAAAAAGTCAAGTATCTTAGAAACTACAGAGCCTTCTGGCCTAAACTAAGAGTAGCAAGTGTGTATATCCGGACCACACGAGGTGGATGAAAGGATGGGAAGCAGACAAAAATGAAATTAAAAGGCAGGGAGGAGGCAGGATTCCAGAAACTTTAAAGCTAGTTAAAGAAACATGGTAAAGAAGAAGCATGGTGTTAATTCCCCACTTATGGGCAAGCATTAGAAGCCACTTTATGGGGCTGCAAGGGGAAGCAAGAAGACTTGAGGGTTCCCTGAGCAGAGCTGGCCCATGTTTTCACCAGCCCATCATCTCAGGAATTCACAGAAGTAATCAGACCAAAGTGATGGTGGTTGAGAACCAACTGTGGAGGTGAATACTTAACCTACTGGAGTGAGAAAATTAAGCCAGGAAGGACAAGACATCCCTTTTTATCACATATGTCAACAAGGAAAACATTTTTTTTTACCTCTGTTCCACACCAAATCTACCATGGCATGGAATGATCGATTCTGAGACTGTGTGAAACAGCTCTCTCTTAGTCTAGGACTTAAGGCAGCCACAGAGTTCATGCTATGGCTTGAGTAGATCATTGAGATGCTTTAGGCAAATTTGATTAAGAGAGAGGATGCTGCCAGTTGTGTGTCCAGTTTATCCTTTTAGCCAAAGCGCATTTCCTAGTAACCAAGGCTGAGGGTTTGAAGTTGAACTCTTTTCTCTACCTACTAATTGGTTTCCTATGATATAGGATTTGTTTCCTTTTAAGCCATTTGATTCTTTTACTCTTTTACATTTTTAATTACATTTTTAAAGTCTCTTGCATAAAGTTGAAGTTGACTCCTTCCTCCTGACCATTCTGAGAGAAGTTAGGGCAATGATGGATAAGACTAGGAAGAGTGGGCTGAGCTTAACTATATACAGTTGATTCTCATTATCCACAGCAGTATGTTCTAAAAGTCACCTCAAACATGGAATTAGTGAATCACTGGCCCCATGGGAAATTCAGGGTTAGATTCCTATAAGCCTTTGGTGGCAACATTTTTGTCATGGCTTGATCAATATACAACCATGTTTTATATATGTTTCTATTTAAAGACACCTTATTTAATATTTCTTGTTGATTCATTAACACAACTCATGTTCTGGAGTATATAACTCATGTCTGAAGGAAGCTTATCTTACACATATATTTTTGGCCATTTTAAACCATGACATCACCAAGAAAAAGCACAAATATGGGGATAAAAGGCCCTAGATAGACCATGCAAAGGACACTTGATTTTCAGCATGACAGCTGAAACGAGGTGGCAGAATGCAGAGTCATTCAACCTCAGTTGGGAACCCATGTCAAGACACTCAAATTTTTGTCTTTCTGCAAAAGCACATGTCTAGGAATAATGCAAAAGTGTTTCACGTACTGATTTTGGATTGCAAATACATTTTAGCAAGTAGATTAATTAGCACATACAGAATCTGCAAATAATGAGGATCAACTGTATATGAAAAGACTCGCTACTTTATGAGGCTTGCTAATATTGATATTTCTATTAATTACAGATCCTTCTTAACTGGGAGTTTGTATATCTATATACAACATGATAAAAGATGCTAACATATGCTTTCTGAATCATTAAATAAACATTGCGCTAGGTATAGTATCACAGAATCGTGGAGTTAGATGGCAGAGCATGTAAGAAGGCGTATGAAAAAGGTCTTCAACTTAAGGTTTAGAGACCCTGGGTTCCAGTGGTCTCTCTAGCTTCTGGATAACACCAAACAGTTCACTTACCTTTTCAGAGTCTCAGTTTCTCTCTGTAAAATGATTTTGTGTAAGAAATTATGTGAGACAGTAGGAAAGCCTGGTTTCTTGCCTTTTCGATCTCACATTTTCAAAACTAGAAGTATTTAACTCTCATATTTAACTGGAACTCTTTGTCTCAGTCTCCATGGAAACCAAACTCCTTAGTAATCAGGGGAAATTTAAGGAGCTCAAGGGTAACATTTCCTAGAGGAGAGGTCAGTCCTATCGGCTTGGCTGCAGATTCTGTTCGGACCTAGCATCCTAGATTTGCAATCAGCCTCTGTTTTTGAGCAGGGCATGTAGCATAGCTTCAAAGGTAAGAGCTCTGGTGCCAGATGGTCTGGTTTCAAGTCCTCCTGGCCTTATCATTTTTTAAGATGTGTAGCCTTAGGGGTTAGTTGGAGTCTCCAGGGCTCAGATCTCTTATATTTTACACAGGGAAATAAGATTTACCTTTTAGGACAACTTAGCCCCGTGACCAGGAATTGTTACTGCTGTGGTCATGCTCCAGCCTTGTATTCCAGTTGCCATATCTGAGATTCTGATTTCCTTGATCCACTAGGACCTGGGTCATGTCTTACATCTCCCTAGTTCTCTTGGGTGCTCAAATGCTGTTTCCTTGCCTGAGTCCCTGTGGGACTTATATGACACTTCAGTAGGCTGGTCTGTTACCTTCTACCTGAGGCTCCTTGAGCTCTGCTGAGAACATTGGAAGTCACAGTGGACTTTCCCAGATTCCTCCTGCCCTCGTTCTCTAATTGCCTTCTGCTTCCTTCTGATAAACCTGCCTGGATCAACCTTTTTACCTTTTTACCTGTCTGACTCTGTTTAGCCTCTGGCTCCTGGGTTTTCTGATCAGGATCATACTATCACTTAGAGGTTTGTTGAAGTCAAGGAAAACTACTACCTAGAGTTGATAAATTAAAGATGACTTATACATTTTTTTTTCAAAAAGACAAGTGATCCAAATTTGTTGAGTTTTTCTTTGACAAATGGCTGTCAGAAATAATGGT
Organism: Homo sapiens; assembly: GCF_000001405.40. Taxonomy (NCBI): domain Eukaryota; kingdom Metazoa; phylum Chordata; class Mammalia; order Primates; family Hominidae; genus Homo; species Homo sapiens. Next base: position 48,998,204 of record NC_000002.12, read on the forward strand.
ACAAAGCAGATATTTTCTAATTAGACATACTTGATTTGTCTTTTTAAGTGAAAGGTGGTATATTAATGAGGAGGAAGGCAACAGGATTTGAAAAAAAAATCTGTGCTATGGATAAAGCATTGGGAAACATGTATGGAAATTGTTAATTTATTGCTGAAAGTGATGTATGTCATTATATATGAAAACTCTCATAGTATATGTTTTAAACATAAGGAAATGCAATTTTCTAACCAGTTTGTTTCTCGTGGAGTTTTGAATGCTTTCATTAAAAGTATAAAAAATTCAACATATTCCAGGTAGTTTCCAGGTACTAGTAAAATTCAGCTGGTGTATTTTTTCCCTGATGTCAGCCAGAACATTTGACTGACGTTAGGGAAAAAAATATACTAGCTGAATTTTACAACAGTATTTGCATAAAAGGGGTATAAACACTAAGTATGATGACTCAGCGACTATAGGTATGGAGCTGTTCTTCCATTGGATCTACCTATTTTAGTGAAGTTTTGTTCTCAACTTTGACAGCCATTAAAATCTAATATTACAATGACCTCTTAAACTAAGGATTAAAAAAAAAGCATATTCCATGAAAATGCTTTCTCAAAATATTGTTATTATATTTAGTGAGAGCAAAACAGGATTTTGTGCTATGTGAAATGGTACATAATAAGAGAAGATGCAAATATCGAAGCATATTATTCATCTTGATTTCATTCTTTAAAATATTATTTTTGTGTATGTGTGGTAATGCACACAAGACTGCAGTCATATGTGTATCTACTTTATCAATAAACTTATTCGGAAACATATGCTTTGTTTGTTTGTGTGTTTGTTCGCTGATGGGGTGAGGAATCAAGATCATACCATCCAGTGCATAGGATACTTTGCTTGGGAAAAGAAGCCTGTGTGATTCTGAAGAGCTGCCAGGTGGAAATGGTAATAGATATGTGCTATTCTGTTCTGGAAAGTAGATACAGGATTCATAATAATAATGGTCAACATTTATTGAACACTTCCTATGTACCAGGTACCGCACCAAGCACTTACTATCGATTATTTAATGTATTCCTCTCCACTACCTTGGAGACAGGTACCCTTACCATCCTCATATTAGAGTTGAGGATGCTCAGCTGAGAGAAGTCCAGTAGCTTTCTCAAAGCCACATAAGGAGAAGCACAGCTAGAGGTTGAATTTAGATTTTTCTTAATGTAAAATTTGGGTGCTTATTGTTGTCTTACCTTAAAGACAGATTCTAATTCATTATGAGAGTTGCCCAAGAAGAAATGGATTGTGCTGCTAAGCATGTGGTTCCTTATCTCTGCAACCATAGAATTACTATGTCCAAGTAACTGTATGGAGGGTTTTATTCCTGAAGAGGGCCTTAGACTCCGTAACCTCTAAGATGCCTTCCAACTTAGAAACTGAGCATTTCTCTAGAAACGGTATTTCCAGAAATACAAATACTTTGTTTGTGAATGAAATGTTACAATGGTCAAATACGTTTAGGGAATGCTGGGTTAATAAGGTTAATTAAGCAGCTTGTTTCCTGCAGGATTCTCAGAGCCTTTACCATGACATTATTCATTATAAGTTTCCAAGAGAAGGAAATAGTCGGCTGGCTTTCCCAAACATACTGACTTTGGACTCCCACATCATTGTATAGTATATCCTGAGTTTGGTGTTTCCTAGTTCAACCTTGGAAGCTCTGCTAAAAGCTAAAGCATTTATGTCACCTTCTTTTACTGTAGACTAATTCTTCAAAAAGACTATTACTATTAGGACATGGTTGGTAAACTCTGTCTTAGGAGGAGTATTCCATCAGTCAGCACACTCCATTCTTCTACCGTGATGTACATCAGAAAGTTCACAATACACAAAATCAGAACTGTATTGGTGAAAGGGCAGACTATGTCCAGTGAATTTTGGTTTACTCTCCACCACCAAGTTTGCACATTTTAGGATGGATCTCTTAGATTATAACTAGGGGAGGTAAAGCAAGGGACTCTGTGTAACTACGCTAGGGTTGTAAATGATATCAGTCTCAAGGTCAGTTTCCTACCCCTAGTCCGACAATTAACTTCTACATATAACCAGATTAGGGTAAAAAGAATCACGGCAAACTAAGTCAAAAGGGAAGTAAACTTAGGAGAAATCTTTGAGAAAATAGGCCTGACTTGAATGTAAAAAAATAAATAAGTTTGTGATGGGCTACTGTGTAGTTGTCACTATTGATGTTTGTGCTTTTAACTTGGAGCAAGCTATCGGATACCTCCGTGGCTAAGGCAGAGCTCAGTGTAGCCAATGTCATAGTTGGAGTTTTCCCTGAGACACAGTGGTAGAAGAAATGTTACATTCCAGGTTTCTGGAAACCAGTTACACAATTCTTAACCTCTCATGCACATTGGGCATGAAAGTAGTGTGGAGAGTTAAATTCGGGGAAAGACTTTGTGAGAAGGGTTTCTGGAGAAAGCTGTAGATTTTTCCCTTCCTATTCCTGTACCATGGAAAGGGTGGGGGCTGCTTGCTGCTTCACTTAGGTTGAAAGAGGGACTTTAGAAAGACCATGTGGAAAGTTTCATAGCTGCTCCCTCTAGCTTGGGGAACACAGTGACCAGTGTCTGAATTTGAGCTGAGTGAGAGGCTGGCTAAAGTGGCAGTAGACCAGAACACTGCTAACTGAAAAGGAACTGCAGTCCTAGGAACTGGTTACAGAGGTCACAAGTCTGACCCAGATTTTTCTTCTAAGAAAAAAAGACTTGAAAATAAACTAGCCTTATTATTTGTGTAGCACATACCTGACAAAGGTATTTCATATGATCTCATTTGACTTTACAATAGCCTTCTAAGGTAAACATAATTATGATTACCATTTTACTGATAAGAGAGGCAAGGCTTACAGAGAGTAACTGACCTGCTCAAAATTTCTAGATCTGAGCCAGAAATAATAATGGTTAATACTCACCTATTTCATTGCCATAAGCTAGACACCATTGTAAATGCCTTGCCTGTATTAAAGTCATTTAACGCTGCCCATAACCCTATGAAGGAGGTACTATTATAAACTCTATTTTATAGATAAGAAAACTGAGGCTTAGAGAGTTCAAATTATTGTAGCTTGTCTGATAGAAAGTAGAACAGATGGAACCTGAACCCAGGCACTCTGGCTCCCCTGCCTCTTGGTGATGTTGCTTCCATCATACTGCATTGGCTGTATAAGAACTTTTAAAACCTAAAGATATCTCTAGGTGAGATTCGCAGCTAACAGAGTTGCCAAGCAGCAAACTTTTGAGACCTTCTTGGATGCTGATGTTAGAATAACTTGAATTAAACTACCAATTTGTGGCAAGCAATTACTTTTAAATTACATAAGGGAGTTGCAAAAGAGTTAATATTTTAAACAGTTTGCACACCCTTCCCACAACTCATTTCTAATATTAATTATTTAGAAAGCTATTTCTTAGGTACACTTCAACTTAGCCCAAGAAGATGATCACAAATTCCAAGTGGCAAACGTATTAATAAGGTGTCAATATTGTGTTCTGAGCACTGGGCACATTGATGTTGGCTTCATCCACATTCTAAATCTCTCTAGCTGTGCTGTGTTGGAATGCAGGATGAACTGGGTTGGAGTCTGACATTCCTGGCTTCAGTTCTTAATTATATCAACTATGTAATCTCTGAGTTTCAAAGACCTCATCTGTAGATTGGGAAAAATGCATACCTCACTGTTTTAGAAGATTGGAAGGTAACTTGGGTGAACAGAATGCTTAGTTCAGAATCTGCCATCTAGTAGATGCTCAGTAAGCTCAGTGTCCCTGGGCCTTCTTCCCCAGTATAATTTCATAATCCCATTTTGTAAGTTTGGGGAATTCAGTTAGCATTTCTGAACCTCAAGCTTCTGGTCTGTAAAATGGATCCACCAGTAAATATTTTACAGGTCTTTTGTAAGACTAGTTAATTAATACAAAGTAAAAGAGCTTTCTGCATTATGATTTCTGTTACTCATGCCCGTATCACCCAGCAATACCTTAATACAACTACCAGTGCTTGCATTTCTTCATTGCTTTTAACTTTCAAAATGTTCCCACACCCAGTTTCATCTTGCCCCTTCCTTCCTCTTCTCTCTTTACAATAACCTTTTGTTAAGAAATGAGGCAGCTATTTTTTTCTCCATTTTCCTTGAGGCCCAGTGTATTAGTCCCTTCTCATGCTGCTATGAAGAAATGCCTGAGATTGGGTAACTTATAAAAGAGAGAGGTTTAATTGACACGCAGTTCCTCAGGGCTGGGGAGGCCTCAGGAAATTTATAGTCATGGAGAAAGGGGGAGCAAACATGCCTTCTTCACATGGTGGCAGCAAGAAGAAGTGCCGAGCAAAGGGGAAAAGCCCGTTATAATACCATCAGATATTGTGAGAACTCGCTGATTGTCAGAAGAACAGCATGGGGGTAGCAGCCCCCATGATTCAACTACCTCCCATGAAGTCCCTCCCCAACATGTGGGGATTACAATTTGGATTACAAATCAGGATGATATTTGGGTGGGGACACAGAGCCAGACCATATCACCCCGGGAGGCCCTGTTACTTGCTTACAAGTTCTCACAGGCAGGGCCAGGGCTGGAACCTGGGTCTTTGGATCTCCTGTAAAGAAAAGAGCTTATCCCTGATGTCTTGCTAAGTGAATCTGTGTCTATGTGGCTCCTGTGGTTTGGTCATTGTCCAGAGAGACCATGATGGATGATCATTGTGAGGGAGGTTGCCTAGCTGCTTCCCTTGCAAGTCCTTCAAGCATGCCAGGCTTTCTCTTCTTAGCACTGCTATCTTTGAATTCCAAATGGGTGAGGGAAAAGCTCACTGCCTCTTGAACTAGATGTTATTTGTGGATTGTTTTCTGTGGGTGAGCTCGTGATTAAACCACAGCAGAACATTTTTGCGATGTCTGTTGAAGATGAAAATATTCTTTTGTGGAGCATTTTTCACTTCAGTGTTCACACTCTGTGATGCCCCAAGATATTTCTCTAAAAACAGCAGCTGCTCCCCTCTCTACCCAAACAAAAAGGTTCCAACCACTCCGGCCCACATTCTCATGAAGGGCCACTGTGTGCAGACCCTGTATTCTGTGGGGACCTAGAGATAAACTGGACACAGCCCTTGCTCTGGATTGGATGTCAGTGGAATCTAGTGGGGAAATCTCCAGCTACTTTGTGGTTTCCCCGTCCTGATCTGGCTGACTTGTGAGTCCCTGGATGCATTCCTCCTGCAGACTTGCCCTTGGGGAAGACAACGTCCTTCCCAGAAGGATAAATCAAGAGTTTGGGGGCAGCTGGGACAATTCAGCTAGAATATTCCTGTACCAGGATCTTATCGCCTAAGAATACACGTTATGAAAGATAAAGTAGAAGAGATGAACAAATAGATGGAAGCAGGGAAAAAGTGGGTCTCTCTCAGCAAGTATTTCAGAGTGGGGCGAGGACCAGGTGCAAGCATCTGGATCACAGCCAGGTTTCTATAAAAGAAAAAATGAATAATCCTCCCTCCCTGCACTGGGGATATAGTGATGGAGAAAACCTGGTCCCCCACCCCCACCCCTTGGAGTAGTGCAGAATCTGTCACTTGAGTGACACTCTCCCTTCTCTCCATGTCCTGACTACCCTTGCTGCCCACTGCCCTGCCCTGCCTCCTCTGGCCCATCCCCATGGAGATGGGTAGCTCTCAATGTGTGGCCTGTCCCAGGGATAATTGCAAATCTAAAAGGGTCTCTAAGGACAAAGATACCTTTTAAACCTCCCAATATGAGGCTTTAGTAGTGGAATAAGAGGCAACAGTTTATTTTCCATGGAGGTGGGGTATTTGCCTAATGTCTCTTCAGTTTCCACTGTCCACACTGTCATTCTGTCTGTGCCCCAGGCAGGCCCTGCCAAGGATTTCTCCTTCCCAGGCCAGCTCTAATGGCTGCTGGGTGCTTTCTGCCTCTTAAATATCATTTCCACATCCAGTGCCTCTCAGGCTCTGCTGAGGTGGTTGTTCTCATTTGTCAGGGACTGGGGTGGCAGGAATACATCTATGACTGTCCTTTAGCTCTAGGAGCTGCACTTTAGCTGTGCTTAATTTATGAGTAATTTACAGCTGATTTAAGCTTCTCACTGCTTCTGCAAGATCTCAGCATTTGAATCCTGGGGAAGAGGAGCTGGGAAGTGAAGTGGTCTGCAAGATGCCAAATGTTCTTATCTTGCAGAATCACTTCCTCTTTCCATACAGGGCCCCTCGTGTGGGGCCTGAATATGATGAACTCAGGACAGGCAGTGACACTGGGAGCCCCAGATTCATGAAGATCACAGTTCAGAAACCAAGCACTTCAGGGCTAGAGTAGATCTTAGAGGATTTTCTATTTTCCTCATTTGACTAGCCTCTTGAAGCATATTTTGTTATTTTCAGTTTGCAGATGAAGAAACTGAGACCTGAAGAGATTAGTACATCACTGGCTGATGGGAGTGTCTGATGAGGATGATATAGCAATAAGAAAAAAATCAGAGCTAAGCTTTACTAGGCTAATCTGAGACTTGCTTTTCACCCAGTCCTCTCTAGACTTGTCCTTATATCTGATTTCTGGTGATGAAAGACAGACAGGTCTTATTTCAAAATTAATGAGGTAAGGATACAACTACCTTGTAAGAAGGCATATCCTATGAAAATAAAATTGCACCGAATCTGCAAATGGGTAGAGTAGATGGTCACCTATGTGCTATTTGAGTGGGTCCTGTAGAAATTTTCTCTCCCTCTTAGAAATCCCCCGTCATGGAGTCCATCACTACCAACTCTTGAGTTTAGCATTACCTTTTTCAGGTTCCTCTTTCAAAAATGCAAATTCTCCTTGAAAGGAGAATATCAGAGTCTGAATATGTTGATATAAATTGATGGATCAAGTGATCTCTTTGCTGATGGGAAGGACTTGGGCTTCTTTCAGGAGAACGCATACTGAACAGGTTAGGGGAGAACAGGGAGGAAAGGTAAGCAGCATGAAAATGTCACCACCTTTACAATCAAGAGGTGGTCCTTGCCTCCCTGGAGATGACCGGCTTGGGCTGAAATCTCACCTTCAACATCAGTGTTCTGGAAGGAAAAGCTGGCCACATTTTCCTAGATTTGAAGATGGTAGGCAAAGTTGGCTCTGCCAGGCAGATTACTGATAAAAAAAGCAATTGTAAATCTCGATTGTGCCCAAACATCCTTGTAGTCATGGCAACATCCTTAGATCCTTGCAACACTGACAGCCAGGAGATGGCTAATAATTTCTTCACTATAATGATAGTCCTGCATAAGATGTCTGGATTCTCGATGAGTGATATCTGCAAGATGACTCTGTGTGGGAAGTGCTTAGGAGGAGGTACTGGGGGAAGAGAGGGTTTTAGGGGTTACTGAAAGTGAGTGTGCAAAAAAACAAATCACTGCAACCACTTAGATGGATGTCTGACCCAGAGATGAAACATATTCCAGTGATTCTGTTTTAGAAATGTGTCCCTATTGAACCATGCCTTTCTATCCCTCTAAGCACCACCATTACTGTATCCCTGGATTATGGCAACTGCCCTGTGATGGTTAATATTGAGTGCCAACTTGAATGGATTGAAGGATGCAAAGTACTGATCTTGGGTGTGTTTGAAAGGGTGTTACCAAAGGAGATGAACATTTGAGTCAGTGGGCTGGGAAAGGCAGACCCACCCTTAATCTGAGTGGGTACCATCTAATCAGCTGCCAGCATGGCCAGACTATAAAGCAGGCAGAAAAAACGTGAAAAGATTAGACTGGCTTAGCCTCTCAGCCTACATCTTTCTCTCAGGCTGGATACTTCCTGTCCTTGAACATTAGACTCCAAGTTCTTCAGATTTGGGACTCAGACTGGCTTCCTTGCTCCTCAGCTTGCAGATGGCCTGTTGTGGGACCTTGTGATTGTGTGAGTTAATACTACTAAATAAACTCCCCTTTATGTATACATCTAACCTATTAGTTATGTCCCTCTAAAAAATCCTGACTAATACATGACCCTTAACAGGTTTCCCTATTGTATAGTCTGTACCCTGCTACTGGTCAACTTACAGTCCAAGTCATTCTCATTATGTCACTCTGCTGCTCAAGAATATGTTATAACTTATTTTTTCCTACTGCGTTAGGCTTAAACTTCTCTGCCTTAATTTTTCTCCCAATCTTACCCAACCCTATCCATCCAAATCTAGTCATACTCTTTCTCAGTACACACCTTCTTTTTAGTTGGGACTCAGTTTCTTTACATCCTTTATCATTTCCGTGGTTATTTCATTCTATTCATTTACAGTACTCACTTCTTTCTTTCCCAGGAAATTTATTCTTCTTTTATGTCTCTCCAAATCATATTTATCACTCAAGTTCCAGCTATGTTACCTCCAAGAAGCCCACAACAAGCTTTCCCTGACTAGTCTGGCCTGAGGCACAGGGTCAGTCTTCTCACTCAGGATCAGTGCCACACAGCTCTACAGAGGTATTGCTATTTCCAGGGGTTAACGTTTGATAGACTTTTCTCCCCAAAGGACTGAGCTCCTTGAAGTGAGAGCTGTCCATCGATATCTCCTATATCTCACACAAGCCATCCCTTCCATCCTTTCTCAACCACGCTTTCTAAAGCACGACTCTCTACTTTTACTACTTTATTTTTCTTCATAGCACCATCACCACCTGACATTATCCAACATTGTTTGACAGGACAAATGAAGCCTCTGCCCTTATAGAGCTTACATTTTAGTTGGAGAGACTAATAGCTACAACAAAGCCTGGAGTGTACTATGACCTCAGTAATTGATTGTTGAATGATTGGCTGAGTGAATGAGTTCTTACTGATTGGCCAATTCACTTCAAAAAGGATGGAGGAGAAATGGGGAGCCACCAGGCCTTTCCACCATGCACATGGCTACCATAACTTCTAAAAATGAGCCCAAGTATGGCTCTTTTCCCACCATCATAGAGAAGTAAACATAGCTAAGCACGAAAAGTATAAGAATGATTCATTGTGTAGGGACATTGCATCCTCCTGTCAGAAGAGCCCTATAACCAAGTACTATAGACAAGTCAGCTTACATCTCCTGTAAAATGGCTGTGTGTCCCTCCTACTGTGTGGATTGTTGAGGTTCAAATGCAACAAAGGATGATAAGTGTTAAATTATAAATAAACATAAAAATGGGAAGCATTATTCAACCAGCTGTTTGTGTAAAAAACTGGAATTATTTTGAATAGGGATGGCAAGGGAGCTTGTGGACCACTAGTGTTGAAAATAAACATAAAAGGCAGGGTTGAGAACTTTTAGAATTGTGCAGGATAATGTAGTTTTGCTTGTTGGAAGGACTTTTTTGGATATGTCAGGGGTTCTGTAAGAAGGCTCCTTTTGTCTTTTGAGAAACATGAATGATGTATTTCCATGATAGAATGCTGAGTAGTAGATGTCCTAAAGAAGCAGTTACAGAGGCCTTCAAAACATTAGGAATAACGGAAAGGAAAAGAGACCCCATCACTACTGTCACCACCATCATCATGATCATCATCAAATCAGAAACATTTATTGTGAATGGATAATATACCAGAAGCTTTACAATCAGTATCTCATTTAATCCTACACTGGTCTTAAAATGTAGGAATTATTATAATTTTATCTTTTCCTTTTTTTTAAGCAGAGGAGAGAGCTGAGGTACAAAGAGATGAAGTCTCTTGCATGGGCACCCTTAACTAGTAAATGGCAGGGTCAGGAATTTAATAAGAATGGATAACATTTGTTTTGAATTTTCTTTTTTTTAAATTTTTTTTATTTTTTATTTTTATTATACTTTAAGTTTTAGGGTACATGTGCACATTGTGCAGGTTAGTTACATATGTATACATGTGCCATGCTGGTGCACTGCACCCACTAACTCGTCATCTAGCATTAGGTATATCTCCCAATGCTATCCCTCCCCCCTCCCCCACCCCACAACAGTCCCCAGAGTGTGATATTCCCCTTCCTGTGTCCATGTGATCTCATTGTTCAATTCCCACCTATGAGTGAGAATATGCGGTGTTTGGTTTTTTGTTCTTGCGATAGTTTACTGAGAATGATGGTTTCCAATTTCATACATGTCCCTACAAAGGACATGAACTCATCATTTTTTATGGCTGCATAGCATTCCATGGTGTATATGTGCCACATTTTCTTAATCCAGTCTATCATTGTTGGACATTTGGGTTTGTTCCAAGTCTTTGCTATTGTGAATAATGCCGCAATAAACATACGTGTGCATGTGTCTTAATAGCAGCATGATTTATAGTCCCTTGGGTATATACCCAGTAATGGGATGGCTGGGTCAAATGGTATTTCCAGTTCTAGATCCCTGAGGAATCGCCACACTGACTTCCACAATGGTTGAACTAGTTTACAGTCCCACCAACAGTGTAAAAGTGTTCCTATTTCTCCACATCCTCTCCAGCACCTGTTGTTTCCTGACTTTTTAATGATTGCCATTCTAACTGGTGTGAGATGGTATCTCATTGTGGTTTTGATTTGCATTTCTCTGATGGCCAGTGATGATGAGCATTTTTTCATGTGTTTTTTGGCTGCATAAATGTCTTCTTTTGAGAAGTGTCTGTTCATGTCCTTCGCCCACTTTTTGATGGGGTTGTTTGTTTTTTTCTTGTAAATTTGTTTGAGTTCATTGTAGATTCTGGATACTAGCCCTTTGTCAGATAAGTAGGTTGCGAAAATTTTCTCCCACTTTGTAGGTTGCCTGTTCCCTCTGATGGTAGTTTCTTTTGCTGTGCAGAAGCTCCTTACTTTAATTAGATCCCATTTGTCAATTTTGGCTTTTGTTGCCATTGCTTTTGGTGTTTTAGACATGAAGTCCTTGCCCATGCCTATGTCCTGAATGGTAATGCCAAGTTTTCTTCTAGGGTTTTTATGGTTTTAGGTCTAACGTTTAAGTCTTTAATCCATCTTGAATTGATTTTTGTATAAGGTGTAAGGAAGGGATCCAGTTTCAGCTTTCTACATATGGCTAGCCAGTTTTCCCAGCACCATTTATTAAATAGGGAATCCTTTCCCCATTGCTTGTTTTTCTCAGGCTTGTCAAAGATCAGATAGTTGTAGATATGCAGCGTTATTTCTGAGGGCTCTGTTCTGTTCCATTGATCTATATCTCTGTTTTGGTACGAGTACCATGCCGTTTTGGTTACTGTAGCCTTGTAGTATAGTTTGAAGTCAGGTAGTGTGATGCCTCCAGCTTTGTTCTTTTGGCTTAGGATTGACTTGGTGATGCGGGCTCTTTTTTGGTTCCATATGAACTTTAAAGTAGTTTTTTCCAATTCTGTGAAGAAAGGCATTGGTAGCTTGATGGGGATGGCATTGAATCTGTAAATTACCTTGGGCAGTATGGCCATTTTCACGATATTGATTCTTCCTGCCCATGAGCATGGAATGTTCTTCCATTTGTTTGTATCCTCTTTTATTTCCTTGAGCAGTGGTTTGTAGTTCTCCTTGAAGAGGTCCTTCACGTCCCTTGTAAGTTGGATTCCTAGGTATTTTATTCTCTTTGAAGCAATTGTGAATGGGAGTTCACTCATGATTTGGCTCTCTGTTTGTCTGTTGCTGGTGTATAAGAATGCTTGTGATTTTTGTACGTTGATTTTGTATCCTGAGACTTTGCTGAAGTTGCTTATCAGCTTAAGGAGATTTTGGCCTGAGACAATGGGGTTTTCTAGATATACAATCATGTCGTCTGCAAACAGGGACAATTTGACTTCCTCTTTTCCTAATTGAATACCCTTTATTTCCTTCTCCTGCTTAATTGCCCTGGCCAGAACTTCCAACACTATGTTGAATAGGACCGGTGAGAGAGGGCATCCCTGTCTTGTGCCAGTTTTCAAAGGGAATGCTTCCAGTTTTTGCCCATTCAGTATGATATTGGCTGTGGGTTTGTCATAGATAGCTCTTATTATTTTGAAATACGTCCCATCAATACCTAATTTATTGAGAGTTTTTAGCATGAAGGGTTGTTGAATTTTGTCAAAGGCTTTTTCTGCATCTATTGAGATAATCATGTGGTTTTTGTCTTTGGCTCTGTTTATATGCTGGATTACATTTATTGATTTGTGTATATTGAACCAGCCTTGCATCCCAGGGATGAAGCCCACTTGATCATGGTGGATAAGCTTTTTGATGTGTTGCTGGATTCAGTTTGCCAGTATTTTATTGAAGATTTTTGCATCAATGTTCATCAGGGATATTGGTCTAAAATTCTCTTTTTTTGTTGTGTCTCTGCCCGGCTTTGGTATCAGAATGATGCTGGCCTCATAAAATGAGTTAGGGAGGATTCCTTCTTTTTCTATTGATTGGAATAGTTTCAGAAGGAATGGTACCAGTTCCTCCTTGTACCTCTGGTAGAATTCGGCTGTGAATCCATCTGGTCCTGGACTCTTTTTGGTTGGTAAGCTATTGATTATTGCCACAATTTCAGATCCTGTTATTGGTCTATTCAGAGATTCAACTTCTTCCTGGTTTAGTCTTGGAAGAATGTATGTGTCAAGGAATTTATCCATTTCTTCTAGATTTTCTAGTTTATTTGCGTAGAGGTGTTTGTAGTATTCTCTCATGGTAGTTTGTATTTCTGTGGGATCGGTGGTGATATCCCCTTTATCATTTTTTATTGCATCTATTGGATTCTTCTCTCTTTTCTTCTTTATTAGTCTTGCTAGTGGTCTATCAATTTTGTTGATCCTTTCAAAAAACCAGCTCCTGGATTCATTAATTTTTTGAAGGGTTTTTTGTGTCTCTATTTCCTTCAGTTCTGCTCTGATTTTAGTTATTTCTTGCCTTCTGCTAGCTTTTGAATGTGTTTGCTCTTGCTTTTCTAGTTCTTTTAATTTTGATGTTAGGGTGTCAATTTTGGATCTTTCCTGCTTTCTCTTGTGGGCATTTAGTGCTATAAATTTCCCTCTACACACTGCTTTGAATGCGTCCCACAGATTCTGGTATGTTGTGTCTTTGTTCTCGTTGGTTTCAAAGAACATATTTATTTCTGCCTTCATTTCATTATGTACCCACTAGTCATTCAGGAGCAGGTTGTTCAGTTTCCATGTAGTTGAGTGGTTTTGAGTGAGATTCTTAATCCTGAGTTCTAGTTTGATTGCAATGTGGTCTGAGAGATAGTTTGTTATAATTTCTGTTCTTTTACATTTGTTGAGGAGAGCTTGACTTCCAAGTATGTGGTCAGTTTTGGAATAGGTGTGGTGTGGTGCTGAAAAAAATATATATTCTGTTGATTTGGGGTGGAGAGTTCTGTAGATGTCTATTAGGTCCGCTTGGTGCAGAGCTGAGTTCAATTCCTGGGTATCCTTGAATTTTCTAAATGTCGATCATTTGTCTAAACATTTGTTTTAACTCGATGAACACAACTCGGTGATGCAGGCAATGTTAAGGTTCCTACTTTTCAGAAAGCAAAGTTAAGCCGATTATACAAGCTTATGCAGCAAATAAGGGAAGCAGCTGAGACCTGTGCCCAGACAGGTGCCACTGGATTCTTTGTGCTTCCTTGCTACTCTGAGCTGCCTCTTGACTCCCTACCCTCTGTCCCCTTGCCGTGCTACCTCCAAAAGCAGTTCAGCTTTTATAACCAGAAAAGCTACTTTTAATACTCCTACCAAATTAAATTTAAGGGACAAACACAGAAAAGAGAGAGAGGGACTTAGCTGAGGGTTGGGAAAGAAACAGCCTGGATTGCTGAGGGGAGTCCCAGTGAAGAATCTCCTGGAATTGTTCCCACCTGAAGAAAGCACATGTCATGGCAGCCATTAACAGGCATCATAAGGAGGTCTAACAGGCCCACATCTGAGTGGAAGATGGTTGTCAGTGGGGCATGGGGGTGGGGCTTACAGCACTGTGTGAAAGGTTTGCTAAAATGGAATTATGGTTTATTGAGCAGCAAAGAGAAACATCCAGCTGCCTGAGAATTACTTTAACAGGATGCAAAGGCAAGAAAATATTGTGTAAACCTTATTTACAGATCAATAGACAATCTTTCATACACAAAAGGTCAGCTCCAGGAAGGCAGAGCAGTAAAGAAAGAAATATTGCCTGTAAATACAATATTGACTTAAAAAAATCCACCCAGATGAATCCTTTGATGCATATTCTTCAAGTTAAGAACACTTCTTTATTCATGAGTTTTTTTTTCCTAACCACTTAAGGTTCCTCAGTGAAGCATGAAGGCATTGATGAAGAGCACTGATTTCTAGTTGTCTTGAATTCTGTGCCATCAAATGAGCAGCATGAGATGGCATCAACAGGGAGAGCTTCAGAACAACATTTTTAAGTACCCGTATGCAGAAATTAGGACATTCAAGTCAAGTAGCAACTCACCCCTACCCCTTGTAATCTCCTGCTTCAGTGGCTGTGATGATTAACATTTATCCTGGCTTAAGAAAAAAACAAAATGAAACAAAACCAACAACTCAATCCTACTGGTCCCCACTGAATTCCTTCATCCATTTTGCGTTTTTTCTCTTGAAGCAAGTAGTTCATCATCCCAAAGAATATCTGAAATCGTTGCCATCTACCTCTACCTGGCTGCTGGAGCATGAAGCTGTTAGGACTCCTGCTCAGATGAAAATAAGCATGGAAGATATGCTATGGACTGAACTGTGTCCTCTCAAAACTCAATTGTTAAAACTCTAATCCCCACTGTAACTGTATTTGGAAATAGAACTTCTGGTAGGTAATTAAGGTTAAATGAGGTCATAAGTGTAGGGCCCTAAACCTGTTAGGATTATTGCCATTATATAAGATAAGACACCAGAAACTCATTCTTGCTCACTCAAGTCTCTCTTTCTCCTTTCTCTCCACCTCTCTCTCCCTCTCTCTCTCTTTCTCTATCTTCCCCCCCCACCCCCACTTTCTCACTCTCACTCTTGGTACTATTTGAGGACACAGGGAGAAGGCAGCTGTCTGCAAGCCAGGAACCAAATTGGCCAGTACCTCTTGGACTTCCCAGCCTCTAGAACTGTCAGAAATAAATTTCTGTTGTTTAATTTACTTAGCGTATGGTATTTTGTTATGGTAGCCCAAGCTAACTAGTGTGAGGTGGAAGCTTAATTAGGTTTTGTTTCCCTGACAAAATCTTTCAGATTTAGAGGGCCACCTATGAGTTTAGGTGATCCCTCTTAGCAGTTTGGAAAATATTTCAAAGAGCTAGAGTCTTAGCCCTGAATATATATATAAATATATATATATATATAAATAAATATATATATATATAAATATATATATATATAAATATATATAAAAATATATATATAAATAAATATATATATGGTTTATTTATTTATTGCAGGTAGAAGTGCCTTTGGAGGGCAGAGTTGCCATACACTGAGGAGGAGTACATAGCTGGGAAAGGTCCACCCTGGGCAGTAAGTCAAAGCCTTAAGATAGACAACTCTTGGTCTCAACTCCCTAATGGGAAATCTACATAGCAGTGGATGTGCAAACATTTTGTATAGTGTAGAATTATATAACTGCAATGAATTGAACGTTTGTGTCCTCCCCAAATTTATATGTTGGAACCTAACCCTCAATGTGATGATATTTAAGGGTAGAGCCTCTGGAAGGTGATTAGAGTTAGATAAGATCATCAGGGCAAGACCCTCACAATAGGATGAATGCCCTTACAAAAAGAGGAAGAGACATGGGATCTCTCTTTCTCTCTGTGTATATGCACCAAGGTAAGGCCATGTGCATATACATTGTAAGGATGCAATGGGAAGATGGCTGTCTGTAACCCAGGAAGAGGGCCCTTACCAAGAACTGGCCAGCTGGCATCCTGATCTTGGGCTTCTAGCCCCCAGGACCATGAGAAACAAATGTTTATTGTTTAAGCTACACAAGCTACAGTAGTCTGTTAGAGCAGCCCAAACTGACTAAGAAAATGATATGCTATTTTTCAGAGCAATCAAGGAGAATCCCTCGACAGTGACATAATCCCTTCTAAATCCTTTCTTGTGCTTTTCTTTCCTTAGAAAGCAGGTTTAAAATGCCCTGAGAACAATAATCTTCTCTCAGAAAAAGATGTGTCTGGAATTGGTCACCTCCAGCTTTTTGTGAACTTGATACAGGACTGAGGACTACTCAACACCCCAAAGTGAGACAGAAAGACACAAAGAGGAGGATGGACTTAGTGGCAGGTGGCACAGATTTCAGCCTTTTTCAGAGGCAAAGGCATAGCTCTGTTTCCTCTGTTCTCCCTCTCTCCCTTCCTCTGTCTGGAGCTGTGCTTTCCATGCCCACATCCTTACAAGTTCAAGTATCTCCCCTGCCCTCATCTCCTAAGGGAAGGGCCAAGGGGGTCCTCATTCATAAGAACAAATGGTGCTGGCTGCAAGATGTGGGTCAATGATGAGGTCAAATTCTGAATCCCTTGGTTTCAAATTTTGCAATGATTCCTCATTTCTCATTTACCTGTTTCCAATCCGCATTTTCAGATATGCTATTATTATCATGGGCTAGGGATATCTATGTGAAGAGCTGGTTTTCTTCTTGGGTTTGTCCTTGGCAGGAGTGCTTTGCATTAGCCATATGTGATAGTTTATGAATGAAAGTGTCTCTGGGGATGCCTCTTCATGTCCTAGAGAGCATTTGTTCTGTCACTGAAGGCTCTATGATCCCCATTTTCCACTTTGGCATTCTCCAAAACAAAAGAAGAGAAGGATCTGGAAGGGAGAGATAGAGTTGGGAGAAAGGAAGAAAGAATGAAGGAAACTAACTGGGTAACAGGCACTAATAATTTTATATTTCTATAGTTCTTTATAGTTTTTATATAAAAACAATTTGCAAAGTGTTTTTTTATTAAAGGCATAATCTTATTTGGTTTTTACAGCCGCTCTATAGATAAGCAAACTGAGGTTTAGGGAAAGTAATTAACCAGCTAGCTAATAAATATCAATGTTCTATTTGGATTCCAGTCCTTCTGAATTCATAGTTTTTCATATATAGTTTCTTTTCCATTCTGTTCATTTAAATGCAAAGGCATGCTCCAACTTCCTCTTTTTGAACCCTTGCCAAGCATTTGTAGGTAAAAGCTGAAGGTCTTAATCGGCAGCATAATTATTCAACAACTTACTAGAATTTTCCTGAGGATGGGCTGGTAGACCTTGAGTATTTGACCAGAAATAATTATTCTACAAATACATTTATTAATGTTTTTGAGCACTTCGTATTTGACAAAATATTTTCATATCTAAATCTTGTTTGAGGTTCATATAAGCCATGTGCGTCTCTCAGAAGTCCGGTGATTGGCCCAAGATTTCTCAACTATTGAATGATGGAGTCAGGATGAAGACCTAGACTTTCTGATTCTGAGGTGCATGCTTTTTCTGTTGTCACGTATTTCCTCTACTGTTATGTGCCTAGGCATGTTAGCCTCTGCAGAGAGCATAGCAAAGATTCCATCCCTAAGGAACATGATGAACTTAGAGATCAAGACTCCTAAGCCTGAAAGTAGAAGAGCTCATAACCCTAACCTCTAAGCAGGACTGGCTACGTAATTTGTGGGATGCTGTGTAAATAAAAATGCAGAGCCTCTTGTTTAAGCATTTCAAGAAGGTAACAGCAGAGAATGAAACCCAGCAGTCCTCTGAGTGCGGGGGCCCTCCTGAGCACAAAGCCCTATACAACTGCACTTGTGTGCCCATGAAGCCAGCCTACCTCTGACAGTAACTTAGAAGCAGATGACTTTGTTTCTTTTTCAGACCCTTTCTGGGGTAGCTGTCAGAGAGCAGAAGTTCCAGGTCATATGAATTGTCTCCTATTAAGTCTTTTATTACCTCAGTTCTCATTCAGAGAGCTAAGGCACATGATGGCCCAGTGTTTCTTATTATACCTGTTAAGTCCAGTTCTTATGAATGAAAATTTAGGCACAGAATCGTAATATCATTAATAGCTAATATTTACTGAGCATCTACTATCAGAGGCGTAGTACAAAAATGTTTAAATACTTTAAACTGATTTCAAAAGTGGCTTCAAAAAATGGCTTCAATTCTGTATCCTTCCCTATGCCTTGTGTTGTGACTTTGCAGCTTTTCCCATCAAGAAGTAGCATCTTCACCTTTTGAATCTGGATGATTCAGTGAATTGTTTTGGTTAATAGAATGCATCAGAAGAGATAGTGTGCTAGTTCAGGATCTTGGCCTTAAGATGCTTGCAGTCTTCAGCTGTCTCTCTTAGAACCCTGGGATTACCATGAAAACAAGCCTACTATGCTACCCTGCTAGAAATGAGTGCCTCTTAGAGGAGGGCTGAGTCATCCCAATTGAGGCCATCCAGAGTGGCCAACATCCAGTTGATCTGCCAATTAACAATAGATGTATAAATGAACTTAGCTGAGGTCAGGCAGACCTAGTCCAGATCAGCAGAACCATTCCACTGATCAACTCACAGAGAGGTAAAAAATGACAAGTAGTTGTTGCTTTAAGCCTCTATCTTTGTGTAGTGGTTGGTTGGTTATGCATGATTATGATGCTAATAGATAACAGATATTCAAGGATTATTATTTCCATTCTCTTGATGAAACAATATGCGAGGTTAAGTCCATACCTATGATCAGTAGCTGGTAAATGAACCCAGAAAGTTTAACTCCAGCGACCAAATTCTTAACTGTTATTTTGTGGGGTCCCATTATAACACTCATGGCTCTGTCAAGCCCTCAGCTAATCCGAAAGCCATTTGAGTAGAGGAAGCAGTGCTTTTGCTGATAGGGGCAGGCCCAAAGAATGCAGCTGAAACACTAGGAATCTCTGCTGATAAAATACCATGTGTGTTATTAACGAAAACATACAAAATAAACAAAATAAAATGCTGATATTTATCAAGGGAAAAATGCATATATGCAGAATAAGAGAGACAATGGCTTTGAAGTCAAGGTCACAAGCTAAATGCTAGCAGAAATTTTGGCTGTATCTCATTAACACTAAATTATGACTGAGTTCTGTACGAGGTCCATGTGACCGTCCCATTAATGCAAATGGCATTTCTTATGTCTGTTTTTGCAAATGAAAACAAGATACAATTATGTTAGTAGAATTTGCTCATTAAACTAAAATCCATCACCAAGTATCTCTCCACCTCCACTTCTGCCCCCCACCACCATCCTTGATCAAAAGTAATTGCTCCCCAGAGTATCAAGTAGGCCTTTTAGTAAAATAGGCTTGCACTATTTAATCATAGTGGGGGTACCAAACTACATGAGTTCTTACAGATATTGAAGGTTGGGAAGGTTCTGGAAGGCCTCAGGGTTGATGTAGAGCAGGTTGTTGGCCTTTTCAATTCTACTGTAAAAGAAGAAAAAACATGCTAGTGATCTTGATGGTAAGGAATGCTGTAGTATTTTTCACATTTTACAGAGTACATAATAAATCATTCATCCCATCCACTCATCCACCCATCTATTCATCCATCCATCCATCCATCCATCATTTCAATAAATATTGAGGGAGCATGCAGTGCCTTTTATCACACTAAGCTGTGCAAACTAAATATTAACCCTGTCTCCCTGCTGTTTCATTCTCATTACCTGGGCCCTGTCCGCTGGAGGCAAACAGAGCATTGGCTGGGTGGGTTCTTGTCACCCTGAGCAGAGCTGCATCTTTAACCAGTAAGAATCGCCCAGGGTTGGAGGAGGCTAAGAGGTTAGGAATGAGACTAATATGGCGAAATGAGTGTTTGTCTGGTCGGGAGGCAAGAGAAAAAGGAATGAAAGTAATGAAAAAGAGCAATGAAAAATGGAAAAGAGGTGAAAAGAAGATAAGGAAGGAAAAAGTGAGGGGCAAAAAGGTATTGGAGGAAAAGAGAGTGAAATGGCAAAGAAAAAGAAAGTTGGGAGAAAAACAATCGATATCTTTTTGCTTTTAAGCATGAAATCCAAGCATACAGTAGCTGGGAATGGCCATTGATTCCCTTTATGCAGTAGACTGAGGCTGCTCACTCAGAGCTCATGGAAAGGGGTGACTTCTGCCCTATTTTGGCTTGTGCTGTGTCTTGATCAACAGTCTGGAAGTGAGCATGTTCACATTTGGATTCCAACACAGACAGCCTGCCCTTTCCTTGTCTTGCTGGATCAATGTGTATTTGTAGACATGCTCTCTGTTAGTTACTTCCTCCCTGTTTCATTAGCTTTTATGTTGCTGTAAACTGTAGCTACCCAGATCTAAGTACCAGGCAATTAATCATTTTAAGTACAGTCAGTGCTACATGGAGGTGAGCACCTCTTTATGCAAGGAAGAGATGAAAGACCCAAACCACTACCTTCACTGTCCATTGAAATGTTTCAAGGGATGCCTGCTTGACCTTGCCCAGAGGGCTGGCTGCCCTTTGGTTCATTTCTCTGATAATGTCTGTGGGTTCTTCCCAACTAGACCAAGTGGAAAGAGAAGAAAGGAAGAAGCATGAAAGTAATGGGGAGAGGGAGGGTGAACATCACTTGCAGAGTGCAGAGGCAACGAGGAAAAATGAAGGTAGGAGGCAGAGTGGGTAGAAGGAAGTAAAAGGGAGAGGGGAGATTGCCAAATGAGCAGACTAAAGAAATTCACACACACGCGCATGCACACACACACACACCTGTGTGTCTATTTGTGTGTGTGTGTATCTGTTCCCTACTGATATTTGGCAAATGATAAAAATAAATTCATCCTTGTTAAAAAGATACAAAAGAGTCAAAAGATTAATGTTCAAGTTCTTATTTGTGTGTGGATTTGGACAGATGACCTTAGATAAGCCTTACAACTTCTCTGTGCCTTTCCTTCTTCATCTGTAAAATTAGGAGGTAGTTCATTGGCTTTCTTAAATGTGTTCCATGGGGATTTTGTGAGATGGTAATCACCAATCTCTAAAGAAAACTTTCCAGTGACATTAGTTGACAAACACACAATATCCTTCTTGGAGATTCTAAATGCATATTAGCATATTATAGACTCTGAAAAGTTTTCCTATAAGAAGCAAACCTATCTAATTTTATTTACCTAATATTTCCTAATCTTATTTGACCATAAATCTTTTCCTTTTTAAAAATACCTTATAATTCCCTGAGTTTTTAGTGATACACAGAATATACTTTGAAAAATTGTTGACCAGTCTCTAAAGTCTCTTCTGGCTTTGACATTCTATGATTCTATGAAATAATTTATAGTAATAATAAACTGGTATGAAACAGAAGTGGATCTGTGTGAGCAGCGCTATTATGTAAAACTGGAACATCAACAAGAGAAAGTAAATTTGGCTGGAGTAGTAGAGGAACCAAGGATCATTATAACATACACACTCTAGGCCAGTCAGTATGCTAGATTTAATTGACATTTATCTTCTTTATTCATCAGGGTAATCCTATGACATATGTAATTTTATTATTCCAGTTTTACAGATGAGAAAACTGAGTCTCAGATAGTTATCTATCTTGGCCAAGGTTTCATGGTGAATATATGGCATAGGCCAGTAGTCAGACCAGGACTAATCAACTTCAACTACATCATGTGGGACTTATTTTGGGCTTTGACTGGAATAACTCTGAATGGAAGGATGACACAGAGGTGCTTGCACATAGTCACTGGGCAAAGTTCTTGGGTCTATGATGCAAAAAATGATGACAGGCAGGCAACAGGATGAGACTAGGCTCTGAGCTGGTCCCTGGGTCACCAGATAGAGACACATTACAGTGCCTTTTAGGCTGATTTTGACATCTTATAATGACAATCTAGGGATCTGAGGCCATGGCAGAATCAGGGCCTCCCAGGAATGTAGAAGAACTTTAAGGGTTTTTTCAAGAATGGCCATGAGCAAATCCCCCAATCTTCTTGCTTACATTTCATGTAATTTGGGAAGGTTGGAGAACACATCTGCCTCTATCACCTCCAAGACATCATTCTGAGAGATCTCTCTGTGGAGAAAAAAATATATAAGTCAAGCCAGTTCAGTTACACTCCTTGAATATTTTTAGGGCTCAGCATAGAGCCTTGTGTCTGGGAGGATTCACAAGACACACAAAACTCCTTTCCTGCCATTAAAGAAGTCAGCTGTAGTAATAAGGCAAAACTAACATACTAGAGGCTAACACTTACCGAACAAGAGGAGAATAAGTCGAAGGCTGTGGCTCACCTTGGAGATTATCCAGTCTATAGTTGTAGAAAGTGAGGTCCAGGAAGGAAGAGATTTGCTTAAAGATATTTAGGGAATATACAGGATGAGAACAAAATTTAAGTTCCCTAGACCACGGGTCAGTAAACATTTTTTTTTTTTTTTTACAGGGCTAGATAGTAAATACTTTTTTGCCCTTGCTGTGGTATTTGGTCTCTATCACAACTGCCCAATTGACATTGTAGCCCAAATGTAACCAAAGGTAACACATGAATGAATTAGCCTGTGTTCCAATAAAACTTTATTCATAAAAACAGGTGTCAGGCTGGATTTGATCCATTGGCTGTAGTTCAGTGACACTGTCCTAGATCGTGGAGTTGTTTTCTCTCTGCTAATCTGGCTTTGAGAGATGAGAACTTCAATCCAGTCTCTTTTAAAATACACATATGTTTGTTGGCCCCATTAATGTCTAACGTAGGAACAGAAAGCCAAACACCGCATATTCTCACTTATAAGTGGGAGCTAAACAATGAGAACACATGAACACAGGGAGGGGAACAACACACACTGGGGCCTGTCAGGGGGTAGGATTGAGGGAGGGAGAGCATTAGGAAAAATAGCTAATGCATGCTGGGCTTAATACCTAGGTGATGGGTTGATAGGTGCAGCAAACCACCATGACACACATTTACCTATTTAACAAACCTGCACATCCTGCACATGTACCCTGGAACTTAAAAATTAAGAAAAATAATAAAATAAAACATATATTTAAATCCCTTTCCACTCCATGCCATTAACTAGGTGGAGGTTGTTGCAAGGCCATTGCCATTAATGATGTCTTGGCCTAGAATACACAGAAAAGATTCCTCAGGTCTCAGCGTTTTTTTCTCCCAGAGTAATTTGAGGGCAGAAGAGAATGAAGTCCACTAGGCAGAAGCCCAGAGGTTGTGAGGAGAGAGGGCAGCTTAATCAGTTAATATTTATAAAGTGTCTCACAGATGAAATGTGCTATTATTAGGCCTCCTGAGGAAGACTCTTATGCAGTTTTAATGCGGCAGCTGAGTGTCTCAGGAAATCTCACAGGCAGCATGCATTCAAACTGGCTGGGGTAGAAGTGCTGTCTGCTGGCCTAGGATTTAGCGGAAGAGTTCTAGAAAGGCTCTTGATCAAGAGAAAGGCCTGGAGGGGAGGGAAAAAAGAAGGCCCCTGGGGGAGGGGAAGTGTGACTGTGAGCAGCAGCAGTCTGCTGGTGCATCTGTGACTGGTGCATCTGTGACCAGGGGGCTGGTGACATCTGTGGCTTGTTAACCCAGTGGTGGCAGGGCCATTTCTCAGAAGCCCCCATGAATGAGGAGACATTATGTGAGAAGAGCTCCTCTTATTCCATAATAACATCTTTCATGATTTATTTGGTAAATTAAAGTCCTCACCATTTGCACAGTTGAACATAAATAAGGGTGGGGTATGTGTTTCTCTCTCTCTCTCTCTCTCTCTCTCTCTCTCTATATATATATATATATATATATAGAGAGAGAGAGAGAGAGAGAGAGAGAGAGAGAGAATGAACACCATGCTGGCTATTGGCCGTTTATTATCTCATTCTTTATCCTGTAAGTACAGGGAGTTCTGAGAGGTACAGAATTGAGAAGGAGGGGGAAAGGGATGGAAGAAGAAAGCCTTCATTTGAATGCAGTAGAGTGAAAGAATGGCACAGGTAGAGAATAAGGCATGCAGGAAAAGGCTAGCTAACAGGAAGGGCTCAAATGCAAATAAGGCCATCTCCTCTAAAAGCTATTTCCAGGTTCACTAGCAGTTAGCAGTACATTTGGTCACCACTCGTAGAGACATATGTCCTTGCCGAAGTTCACATATTGAGAATTCCCTTAACTGGATTTGTTTTTCAAAAGGAACTAGAAATTATTAGAACAAAGTAAAGAAACACTTCTAAATTAGTGATTTCAGAAAGTAGTCCGTATTTGACGGTCTCAACTTCAAAGACAGTACCAGGTGTTAGGGTTGGGTAGGGGGATGCCTTTGGCCAGACGAGGGTTGGGGGCAGGTGAACAGGGTACAGTCATGGAAAAGTCCTTCAATGAGAAATTTAGACATCTTATTCCGATCTAACCCAATTCTGTCTCTAGTTATTACTATTATAATTTATTGGGTGTTTACCGTTTATCAGCCACTTTACCTACATACTCTGTAATCCTTTTGACATGCTTGTGAGGTTGGTATTTTGGTCTCCACATTAATAAATGGTCCCACCTGTATGAGGAACCAACTGTGGCTGACAGAAGGGCTCACACACTTTCTTCTACCCTCCCTGCCTCCCGTGCCATATTGAGCACCCCTCTGGGCCTTGGATTCTTTGTTGCAAAATAAGGGGATACGATGAGATCATTTGTCAAGTCTTTTCCAGAACAGTGCAAGGTGCCTTCATCCTCAAGCACAGAAGCTCTGCAGAAGACAATTTTCAGAGATGAGTCTCTCCTTTCCTCATCTTCTAGGACAGCGCTTC
Organism: Homo sapiens; assembly: GCF_000001405.40. NCBI lineage: Eukaryota > Metazoa > Chordata > Mammalia > Primates > Hominidae > Homo > Homo sapiens. The sequence goes on from NC_000002.12 coordinate 49,022,879, forward strand.
TCAAATGCTAACACACATGAGAACCACCTAGAGATCTTTTTAGAATGCAGATTCTCATTGGGAAGGTCTTGACTGGGGCCTGAGGTCCTGCATTTCTAATAGCCCAGGTGCTGGTCATACTTTGTACTGCAAGGTTCTTTAGGGAAATAGTAATAATATGCTACCAGACTTTTTGACCCAATGTACATATTCATAGGTGGATATGCAGAGTGTGATAGAGGAGCTCCAGGAGAATGAAGTAGTTGGTTTAGAAAAATCTGCATTCCCTCTGAAAAGCCCTCCTTTACTCTACCAGCACTGAAGTTTTCCTATTGTCTAGCTTCTCACAAGATCTTTTTCATTTCTCAGCTGAAGCAATCACAACCATGTTTTGTCGTTGCTTTTTTTTGGTCATTGTCTAATTCATCTGTTTTTGTATCTCTAGCATCTAGTGATAATTTGATATGTAGTTAGTGCCCAATAAATGATTACTGGATGAATGAATGGATCAAAGGGTAGACTAAGGAAAAGAAATCTTCAGGCCTATGAATATCATCACTAAACTGAAGGAGATGAAGTTTGTGGCATTCTTTCACCCCCTTTTCTGCAGGCAACATGTCTAAGTCCAGCAGGTGACAGCCCAGCCTAGCTTGTCTATGACTTAGGATTTTGTTCCAGGGAATTTTACTAATACAGAGTATAACATGCAAGTGACACACAAAAATATTTGGTCTGCTGACCAGATAGTATCTGGATACCTTTATCCGTGCCTCTCTGGGTCACAGCTCTCTCCCTAGGCCTTCTCTGGCTATCAGTTGAGGTCCTTGAATTGACAAAACACCCATAGAAAATAAAACAGGAGAGAGGACGGGTGACTATAAGGGTTCACTGAGTGTCTGACTGGGGATTAGGGAAGATGACTTTTAAGGCCCCTTCTGTACATGAGATTCCATGTTTGTATGAAGGATAGGGACATGTGCTTCCATGAGGTACTGGGGGTTATCAAGGCATTCTCTCTGGTGTGGGTTTCAGAGCCATTATGAAATTCCTTTCCTTCAAATATACAAGTACATTTGATGGAGGGTTGGGGTAGGGTGTTTTCCAATATTGAGGACTTTAGGGAGCGAATAAGCATACAGAATTTGGTCTGCTCCAGCATGAAATTTCAACCTCTTACAGAGTCATATTAATTTGTTCACCATTATAACTGATACTCATTTGACAAGTGCCGAACTGTTTTATTCCGAGTAGAGTTGTTACTGACTTATTGGATACAAAGAACTGAAGAGCTGTGACCAGTAGTTAAAGGCCTCACTAGGATTTCGATGACATGAATTGGAGAACAGAATGGCACATGTATACCTATGTAATAAACTTGCACGTTCTGCACATCATGTATCCCAGAATTTAAAGTAAAATTAAAAAAAAAAATAAGGGCCGGGTACAGTGGCTTATGCCTGTAATCCCAGTACTTTTGGAGGCTGAGATGGGTGGATCACCTGAGGTCAGGAGTTTGAGACCAGCCTGAGCAACATGGTGAAGCCTGACCTCTACTAAAAATACAAAATTAGTCATGCGTGGTGGTGCATGCCTGTGCTCCCAGCTACTCAGGAGGTTGAGGCAGGAGAATCACTTGAACCTGGGAGGAGTTTGCAGTGAGCCGAGACTGTGCCTAAACTCCAGATTTTGGTGAGTAAATAATATATCCCTGAAATGAATAAAATAAACAATAAAAATAAAAGAATAAGAAATCAAAAACAGAAACTTCTTTTTCACTTTCTTTCTGATAGAGGAGATAAAGTCCCCCTCTGGGTCTTTCCCATCTTGTCCCTCCTCCCCTGCCTTTCTCTTCACAGAGCATTTTTCTCCAATATATCCAAAATATTTCTCCCTAACTCAGTAAATTAAGAGACTCAACTGCATTAAAATATTTGTAATAGTCACTGAATCAAATTTTTCTTTTGTTGTTAATAAGCTCAAACTAAATTCAGTTGACTGTTTTCCTTCCCTGAGTCCCCAGTGGTTGAGGATTTCCATAGACCCTCTGTTACTGCCCCTTGCATATTGCATTGGGTTTGCATTCTGCTTTGTTTCCCTCACTAGGCTAAGAACTGCTGGAGGACAGTGACATTGCCCTTTATCTTAATATTCCTGCTCCCAGTCAAATGTTTGCTGAATGAATGAATTATCTTTGAAAGATTATAAAAGATTTTCCACCTTTGCTTTTGTACAATAAAACCGTGTTCCTGAAAACTTGCAGTAAACAGAGTATTTGCAAATCAAATTGTGTATTCGCACAGGAGGGAAGCTTCTTAGCAGAAAACTTGGAGTGAATCTTTAAGCGAGTGGAGAACTAATTCAACAAATGTTCAACGAATTTTGATTAAGGAGCTTCTGTGTTTCAGGCACTGGGATCAGTGCTGGGAATCTAAAGATGAATAAAATGGATCCTTGGTTCATCAATCATCTCTAACTCAGTGAGAGTAGTATTCTAGGCTTTCCTTAACTGGTGCTATCTGTATTTGATGGGGCACATTTTAGTTACTAGAAAAAATAAACTTTTGGTATATTGCTTTTCAATACAACAAGATAGAGTATGTGCATATAGTAATTCATATTATATATGTGACATATGTTGTATACCTTGTGATATTGAAGTGTAATATGCATATAATATAATTATAATATGTGTAATATATATATGTCATGTATAAGAAGGCAGGTGAAAATTCCCATGAAAATATGTTCCAGAAAATTTCATAAAACTCTCTTTGTGGAGTCTGGGACTAAATTCATCTGCAGCTGGGAGACCTTGTGACAGTCAACCACTGTGCTGAGGGAAAACTCTACTGGCAAAGGTCCTAGAGAAATTCAGGTTATTCCCTTAACCTCACCTATAGAATCATTTAAATACTTAAACCAGGCTATGTTATTATTCCGAACCCAAGCCCCTTCCTAAATCCTATAGTGAGATTGGCTATCTGGTCTGCTGACCGCATAAAGGAGATTAGGTAGAGCATGTATGTGCCTCAACATGGATTGTCTCCACCACTGAAATCATAACCTAAAAAGCATGCTTTTCCCTTTAGGAGAGGCTCAATTCAAGGTGGGACATGTCAGGGTGTGGTGAGGATGTTGCCACAAGGCTCCTTTTACCTCCTCAGATGACAGCCAGTGGTGCTATCCTTTCCTGACATGCCTGAGATGGTCTTGTCTTCCCAGATCTGCTTCCTTCTCATGGGCAAGATAAGTCTTTGCTAGAGTCATCCTACAGATATCCCCAAAATGAGACAGAGATAAAAGTACCTTCAGTGGCTCAGCCTAATTCAGTAATTTGAATTAAATGCACTTGGTTTCAAATACATCAACAACAAACGATTGTGTTCATTTTTAGGTTTACCTTAATTTAAACCTTAAGTAATCTAAAATTTGACATAATATATTTCCCTTGTTTCCCTCAGTAGATGAGCAAAGGGACTAAAAATCACAGTCATAATAGCTAACGTTTATTAAGCACTTACGTGTCAGGCAACTTTTCTCTGCTTCACATTTATTAGGTTGCTTAATCCTCACAACAACCTTGTCAGCTAAGTGCCATCCTTAGCCCCTTTTACAGAAGAGGGTGGCACACAGAAGTTCAGTAATTTCCCCAACAGCACACATAAGTCAAAGTTCCAAGCAGCAACTCATATAATAAGCACCTTTTAGTACATTTTCTGTGCAAGTATAAAGCATATAAGATGGTAAATATTACTGCCCTTATCTTGCAAACATCGGCAGGTTAGGCATACGCATGAAAAGTTGCGAGTGCAGAGTCAACAGAAGTGGAGGACAGTGTGGGAAGGATGCCCGGTGCCCAACACAGCCGAGTAAACAGTGGGGCTTCAATACATTTTATTATTTTTCCCTGTACACCATATTTACCCCAACACACTCTCTAAATGTCACCATTTCTTAATCCCTGTCTTGGTGTCCCTCAAGCTTTTCCTGTTGACCCCCTGAGGTCACCTCATTCCCTCAGTTAGGACCTCTCTGCTGATGAATCTGCTGATGAGGCAAATGAGGTGCCCTCTGAGACCAGCATCCCTTGTCTGTAACAACCTGAGGGATACATGTTTTGTGAACCCATCACAGACAATCAGTCTAGAGCAGCTAGATTCTTTTCCTCTCCAAACTCTCTTCCCCTCCCTAGTCACGACCCCTGCCAACGGCTCTGTCTGACATCCCTACTGGCCCACTGGACTAACCTAAGTTTTTAATTCTGCTGCCATCTCCAACTTCTCTCCACCATTTTTGTCCAAACAGATCTTAAATTCTCTCAATTACTCTCTTCTGTATTTCTTGCAAACCTCCCTTTATTTCCCACCATCATTGTCAGCTTTGCAATTTCCACCACCAATAGTTCTTAACAGCCGTGTGGTGACTCCGGAGTGGTTTGATGTTGGTCATAGGTCATCTGTTTTCAAATGAATAAAGTGTACCAATTATTTACTTAATATTTGGGAGAGATTTAAGTTTATGTATATAATATGCAAGACTAAGAATGAAGGGATGAGTAGAGAAAATAGTGAAGTGGAAGCTGGTAGCCTATGAGTCTATCCCTACCTGGACACAGTGGTGCAGCTAGTCTTTGTGCTTGGGAGCCATGCATAGGATAATTATTTGGGAAAGCAAATGGAATTGAAAGAAGATGAGAAAATGTGAAGGAAGGGCCGGGCGCAGTGGCTCACGCCTATAATCCCAGCACTTTGGGAGGCCGAGGTGGGCCGATCACTTGATGTCAGGAGTTTCAGACCAACCTGGCCAACATGGCAAAACACCATCTCTACTAAAAATACAAAAACTAGACAGGTTTGGTGGCACATGCCTATAGTCTGAGCTGCTCGAGAGGCTGAGGCATTAGAATCACTTGAGCCCAGGAGGCGGAGGTTGCAGTGAGCTGAGATTGTGCGGCTGCACTCCAGCCTGGATGACAGAGTGAGACTCTTTCTCCAAAAAAAAAAAAAAAAAAAAAAGAGTGAAGGAAGGACAAAGATTTTCTGGAGGTAGAGTCAGATTAGGGTTGGAAGCTAGAAAAGGTAGTCAATTTCTTTCTTAAGCAGGAATTTACTGAGTTCCTAGTGATGAAAGACAAGGAGTTTGGTAGGTAGTAAGGGAGTGGATATGCTGTGTAGAGGAGAAAGGAAAGGCATGTTGATCAGGTCGTTTGGGTTTCATGTGACCTGACACTTTTGGCAGAGGCAAAAAAAAGTGAGGTGCGAGGTTGGAGTAGCCTTTGACATACAAGGGACAGGGACAGTAAAGTGGCCATAGGTTTGAGACACTTGTAAGTTTGAGTTGTGTAACTCAAGGCTGCAGGAATAATGATGACAATGATAATAATTAACCTTTATTAGATGTTTGCGGTGTAGCAGGCACAGTGCTAAATGCTCTGCATGGGTAATCTCACTAATGGCTTTGTCTCATCAGGGCCCTGCTGACTCATATTTGTCTTGGTTGACACACATGTGTGAGTGGCAGCATCAACCTGGAAGCCAGACAGGTCTAGATTCAAATTCTAGCCTTATCATTGCCCAGTCGTGTGACCTTGGACAAGTCAATTAATATGCATGACATTTATTTTAATGGGAATAATTATCCACCTGTTAGGGTTTTTGTGAGAATATTGGAGATAAATATGTGGCATGGAATAGATTGCTAACTGTCCTCAAAAATCAATTTCCCTCCTCTTATTCCTGGGAGCATAGCTGGACTACATTTCTTGGCCAATCTTACTGTTAGTTGTAGCATTGTGAGAAGAAAGCTCTTCCTGTGGAAGGTGAACAGAAGTGGTGTGTGCTATTTCAGGCCTGGTCCTTCACCCACCATTGTGCTTCTCCATACACTGTCTCCTTTTTAGCTGTTGGTTGGAGGTGCCCAGAACAACCTTGAAGGCCACAGTTGAAGATGGCAAAGCTGCTTTTGCCCTGGGGTCTTAAATAAAATGCTGAGAAATACCAACCCAGACCACTCGATGAGAAAGAAAGAAACTTGTTCTGAAAGTCCCTGATATTTTGGAGTTTGTTGTCATCTGTCCTACTCTAATATCTAAGGTTAAGAGTCTAGTACCCTGGGTGGTTGCTAGCACTTGTTCAGCAAATGCTTCTCACATCAGGGCAGGGTAAGAGTTTTATATCTACCATCTGGTGAAAAGTGGATACATACAGTAGGTGTTAAGTACATTTTTATTGATGGATTAATTAGTATTGCTTGGCCAATTTGAAGAAAAGAAATAACCAAAAATTCTTCCTCAAAACGAAATCTATATTTGACCTAATTTAACCGGAGACTACTCTTCTTCAGTGACACAGTATTTACTACCTGTGATTGAGTTGCCTTCCCTCTTGTGAGCACACATCGTGGCTGCTGTTTATTGAATTACGGGCCCTTGGCTGTTTTATTCCCTTTTTCAACTGTTTCGTGAAAAAACAACAACAAAACTTGGCATGCTAGAAAGAACAACTGTTTAACAATGGGGGCTACTAAATCCATTAGCACACACAGCCTGAGAGGGTGTTAAGGTTAAGAAATTTGAACCCCCAGCTCTCTAAGCTCTAGAAATGCAAAGCTGCATTTGGAAAGGTCTCTTGAGTGGGCCAAAGGAAGCCCTTCATCACTTTGGCAAATCACTGGAGCTTTCTGAGATCCATTTTCCTCTGTAAGATGTGTGAAGGTCCTCTGTCCCTCAGTACATTTTATACTCAATCCTTTGTAGTTGGCTGGGCTGTTGAAGATCACATGAATAATGCATGTCATGCACTAGGATAAAAGCACATAGTGTTATGCAAAGGTCGTGCTGCTTACTATTATTTTTATTATTTCACTGGAGTCAGGAGGCCTAGGTTCTAGTCCTGACTCTGCCACTAATTAACCACTCTTCTTGAGTCAAATCAGTTACCTTCTCTGGGCCTTTGTTCCTCATCTATAAAACAACACTGTTGATCCAAATGATCTCCAGGGTCCCTGCTAGCCCTGGAATTCTGTGATTTTAATTATTTCTGTGATTCTGTTATTAAAAGGCAGCCAGCCTCATCCTTGGCAGTCCTCTATGACAGCCAGCTTTCATTTTTAAAAAGCTAGGGTGAGGCGGGGCTCCATGCCGCATCCTTCTTATGGCACTGCATCTTTGGGAGTGGCTCTGCGGCAGACCTATCAGGGAGTAGCAGCAGGGTAGCCAGCAAGGGCCATTTACCACTCGAAGCCCTGGACAAGTGTGAGAAAGGACTTCTGGCCTGAGCCATTATTCTCTTAAAGACAGCATATGTTTTATTGTCAGTTTAAAGAGGGCTCCATTGATACCCCCTACAAGCCAGTAAGCCAGTGTTGATTTCCTCCTTGACATATGTCTTGAGGCTCTTTGCTAAAGGAATAGCAAGTGTGTGTGTGTGTGTGTGTGTGTGTGTGTGTGTGTGTGTGTGTTATTGGAGGCTGTCCTGTCCACTGCTGGCACCACAGAGCACCCCAAAACCTTCCTTAATAATTCTCTCTGGGTTCGATTGTGCCTTTTTGATACCGTACCTGTAACAAATGGCTTCCCCAAATGGCTTTTCTCCTGCTTCCAGCCTCTGTTTTCACTCTGTAATTTATAATTACTCTATTTTTTATGCCCCTCCATTTTATACCTCTTTAAATCTTATCTTGGCTTGAAAGAGCTTCCTTTATGAGCCACAGTGAAGGAGCAACAAGGAGCTCACATTTGGCTGCTTTTGTATTTGAGTCACACTGATGGTCTTATTTTATCCCTTGGAAGCCTTGAATGTAGCACCCTTATGAGTGCCCTGCATGCAAAGCTGTTATCCATCCTGCCCTTTGCAACAATTCAGAAATTTACAGGTCTGTATTCTCTGACTCCATATTTAACTGGTTTTATATCCATTTTTGAACAGTAGTTATCCCCCATTCTACCCCCAAATTATAGGCAAAAGCCCTACTCCTGCACCTCCTTTGTCTCCTATTGGTCCTGAGACTGTCCGTGTTTTTACAGTGAAGGGACCTGCAAGGTCAGGAAAAGGAAATGGTTTTTAAATGCTTCCTATTTTATGAGACTACCAATGCCTAGAGAAAAACGCCATCATTCTAGGGAGGAATAAGAAGACTGGATTATTTTTTAACATGAGTCTTTCATGTTAGTGATCCAGCCAGTTAGGCCACCCAAGATATTGGGGATCAACAACCTGGTTCAGTATATTTTCAGGCCTTTGCTGTACCTTTGGGACCCTTTGTTTAAATAAAAACTTAGAGAGTAGCAACACAAACAGTGGAATGGCTCCTATTGAGGATGGAGGGTACTGGCTCTGTGCGGAGGGAGAAGAGAAACCAGATCTCATTCCTCATGTTAGCAGCTTCTGAAGGGGTCCTCTGTACCCCTATTGATGTGTATAATTTAATTGTGAAGCACGCATTTGTCCTTTACTAAAATAATTTCAGGTAATGGGGATCCTGTTAGAAAGACACCTTTTAGAAATTTTGTTTTGTTTTTCCAATGACCCTGAAATTAGAATTTCAGAGTAATCAGCAAAGGAAGAGATTTTATCAGCTATCTCCTAGATTTATTTTCCTACACATGCCCCCTTTCCCTTTTTTCAACACGTAAAGTAACAAAGGTATAAGAAGCTATAATTACATGGCTAATTAATAATGGAACTGATCTAGGTTAAGATGTTCTTGATATGTGATGATAGGAGTGCATTTTCATTAATGCACTCTAGTTCCAGGGGTCTTCTTGCTGGAGCTGTAGAACCAATGGGTGAAAGCTATTACTTCCAGGGAAGGAGGTATCTAGGTTATCAGCCAGGCAGCAGAGGTAGCATTGTAGATCCATATAAGCACTTACTAGCTGGGTGAAGCTGGCAAAGTTATTTAGCCTCTCTGAGCCTCGGTTTTCTCATCTTTGAAATGGGGATAATGGTATTTACTTCTATAAAACTTTGTGAGAATTCTTTATGAAATAGTTACATGTTAAGTATCTGAAGCTTAGTAAGTAGTAAAGGAATGATATTTATAATTATTGTTATTATTTTCTACTAGAGTCTAGTCTAGTGACTATAAATCCCTTAGGGTCAAGGATTTTGTTATATGCATAGCTTGTATCTGTGCACCCAGCAGGTACTCCATAAATGTGTGTTGAATGAACAAGTGACATCCTCAGGGCTTGAAGTCCTTTGCCTTATATTGAGTCAAGTAAACATATACTTTACCCTCCCACCTGAGCAGTGGAGTGGGAAAGAAACCCCATTCCAATTTTAAGGCCCAACGTTTAAAGTTTTCTCCAAGGAAGCCTTCCCTAATCCTCCAGAATTAAGACATTTTCCTTTCTCTGAGTTTGTCTATCACATTGCTTTTGCCTTTATCAGGGTATTTTATCATAGTCAGGCTGTCACACCAGCTGCACTTCTGTTTGTAGGCCCCTGAGTGCTGGAGCTGTGGCAACTGTCACATTCTCCATAATACCAGGCCCCTCAAATCACACTTGGCAGGCTCTCAATTTTTATTTAGTTGGAGGGAGCAAGAATTAACAATACTGTAGTATTTTTGGTGCCAAATCTCAAATTCCTTTGCAGTCCTCTTCTTCATACATATTTGAAAGAGTATAGTTTCTGCCTTCAAGGAGCATCTAACTTAACAGAAATTGTACTCTCTTTGGAGTACATAGTGACAAGAGAGACTGACTTTCAATGTTTCCTGCTAATAGCAGGTGCCCAGTAAGTGATCACTGATGGGCGAAATAAATGAAAAGCACAAAAGCTGTTATTTTGTTTGCTAGTGAAGAATAATAAGGCACAGAAAAGTTAGGTGATTTACCCAAGGCCACACAGTGAGTGAAAGATAGAAGGAGGAGCAGGATCTGGGTCTGCCATCTCCTGAGCTGGTGTTCCTTCAAGCACGCAATGCAGCATACTGGTGTTATGGATCCTATCCCCAATTTTCAGCTGTGAATAGCCACCCCCTTCCTGCTTCCATGATACATTGTCTTTATTTATTTTTTCCTAAAAATATAAGTATTTGGAGAAAAAGAATACCTTCTGACCAAATGTGCCTTTGGTAGAAATTCTGGGACCAATTTATTACATCAAATCCTTACTTAGATTTCAGAATTCATTTGAATACATTAGTTTCACAATTTGCATATCTAATTATGTTTTCCTCTGTCACCAACCACAAGCAATTTTCCCCCTTTTAGGATCATTGTGTCTTTAAATGTAAGACAGAAGATACAGGAATTACCATAGCAACTTGCTTTCCAATTAGACTGCAATTGCTGACAATCAATATGATTAGACAAGGTCAGTGACTGAGTAAGCCCAAAGTACTTAAAGAGAGCTAGAGATGTGCAGGGACAATGAGGAAACGTGAAAACTATTGGAAATCTCTCCCCAGAGTTGAGTGTGATTTTTTTTCATTGCTTGCTGCTTGTGTAACCTAAAGATATGTCTTATAGTAGAAACAGTTTATAACCTGCCAAGAAGAACCTGAGCATGGATTCTAAAGGATGTTCAGTTATGGTTGGTTTTTCTTTCTTCTAGCACCTAAATGCTGTGCAAAAGTAAGGGGGAAAATCACCAATTTGAAAGTGAGAATAAGTAGTAGCTGAAAGGGGAGTTGATGAAGAGGCCAACGCAGGAGGGCTGTTTTCAGCTCAGATAAGGAAAGAGGGCATTTGAGAGGAAAACGGATGGTCTGCAACCAAGCTGCCTGCACTGGGGGCTGTGTGCAAGCTGGAGCCTGGCATACAGCATCATGGGAAGCATGGCGAGCCTTTCACCCTGCATCCCTGGGCCCCTTTGAGAGCCCTCCTCCCCCCTGTTCCCTATACTAGTCTCTGCTGTAAGAAAAAAAATCATTTACCCCCAAGTGCCAGTGTCTGAGGACTAAAGTCTGTTTGGAGGGGAGGGGATTACATTTTAATAGGGAGCAAAGCTTTAATAAGAGAATTGTCATGAATACAGGGCACAAAGGGGCAGGGACTGGAGGTATTTTTAGAGCTTTAAGTCCTTTCTGGAGCCCCTTATATCACATCTGTCATATACTATGATTTTATAGCAGGCTGGATATCAATGGGCTTTAGGTCCTCAGCCACTGAAGGAAAAGATGAAGTGAGGTAATTATTGTAGTGGCTGAATTGTAGACGTCTCTCAGGCACAGTGCAACACTGCAGAAAGTAAACACAAAGCCAGCTATCAGGGAGCATTTGTGTTGAGGAAACAAGACCCAGAGTCTGGAGGGCTCAAATGTTTAATATCTGTAGGAGAACTTACAGTGATTGACTTTCTGCCTGCCACTCCCTTCCTCTCCCCTTCCCCAGTTATTCTTAACCTGAGGACTGAGTAGGAGGAAGCCAGTTCTAACACAGGAGAGGATGAGAGCTAGAGCTCATGAAAGCTGGTGAGATGAGGCCTTGGATTTTCAGAGTATTGCCTGACCCCCCTTCCGAGGTCCCAAGGAGTTAAGAAAAGTCTGATCAGCAAAGAATGTGGTTAACTTCCCCAAATCTCCTCTATTAAGGAGTCACTGTGGCCCTGTGGATACCTTTAGAGCAAAGTGGTATATGCAGGTGTCAATAGCTGGCATCTAGTTTTAGTTTTCCACTTGCTTATTAGTAGTGTGGTCTGGAAAAGACCCTTTAGTTCTCCAAATCTCAAGTGTAAAGTGAGTAAAAAACTGTCTCTTATCTACTTCATATGATCAATGTAAAGATTAAATTATGTCTGTGAAAGCATTTGGTAAACTGTAAAGCATTTAACACATAAACACCTTTTTGGAATGATTAGAATTATTATTATCCCTGGTGTTATTACAGTTTTCTTTGACGATACTGCGATTCCCTGCCCCATTCTGTATTCCCTTTTCTCCTTGCCATTATTCTTTTCTTCCAGACACCCATTTTTGAGATGAAACTCATAATCGACTTGATACATGGACTCCCAGAGCTATTAGTCTAGACCTAGCATTTCTCACCCCTGGAGAAATAGATGGAAGGGTTAGAAGGAGGGTGGCATTTAACACAGAAGATGGTATTTGAAGGTGGAATTTGGGCATTAGGGATAAGCCAGCAAAGGTGTTTTATTTTAACATTCTCTTTTGTGGCAACAAGCCCTCCCAGTGCCCCTCACGCAATGCTGCAGATGGGGCTGCTTCCTCTGCTTACACAGGTGGCTACCCAGTGTCACATTCGACGTGTTTCAACGTCTTTAAGCATCAAGCCTGGTCTTTATAGGCCTTATACTTTATATAAAGCATTGCTCTTTTAGAACTTGGGATGGCTGTGTTAAACCATGTTCTTTATTGCTGCTGAAGGCAAATCACTGATAATTACAGGAGAGGGACAGGGACAGAAATGTTAACAATGTCCTAAACAGGTCCTTGTATGCAACTTGCTCCCATGAGCATGGTTTTCTTACGTGCTTTATTTGATTTCACATTGCCTTTCATTTTCGAAGGGTCTCTGCCAGTGACAGAAGAGACCAAGGACAATTGGCATTTTAGGTATGTATTAACATCATGCCCATCCAAGGGGCAAAGCCATGGAGTGTAATTCCTCAGTGGTATCCTCTTCTCTGCCTCCCACCAGGGAAGTGTTTTGGATCCAGAGGCCTCTGTGGCTATGCCTACCTTGGCTGTAACCACCCCTCCACTCCACTCCAGCTTCCCTAAGTGGCATTTAAGGCTCTTGATCCACCTTGACTCCTAATCCTCTATCAAAACATCAGCCTATGAGATCATCATATTATAGAATTACAGAACTACAGAATAACGCTTAGTGAGAGAAGGGACCTAAGAGATTATTTATTTTGGCTCTCTCAGGAATCTAAGGCCTCAAGAAGGTGACTGGTCAAAACCACTCATGGGTGCTGGTGGTTTGTATGTTACTATTTACAGGCAACAGCTTTGCATTTAATAAAGGACTACAGTCCTTAAAGCATGAGGAAGATGAAAATTTCAAGCACTCTGAGAAGCCAGTAGGAGGAGAAATCTTTGAGCAAGTAGAGCTGTAGATAGGTATTTCTTAGATCATAAGATGCAGAACTTAGTAACTTTCATTTGAGGTCAACATCATTAGCAAGTTTAAGCATGTAGATTTCATTTGAAAAGTTCAGCAACACTTCTCTTACTCCCTTTCTTTCTTCTCAAACCCATGATCGATACATGGATAGGTAGATATAGATACTGTATCTGTTAGATTCTAACAAAAAGAAAGGTAGATATATGTACCATGTATTTTAGATTCTCTATTATGATGGACATTAATCAACATCTGTAGCCATGATTATTTATACTTCAGGGACACTCCCATTGGAAACATGTATCCAAATTGTGATGAGAGGTACGGTGGCTGATTTTGTTCTCAAGGAAATTATTTTTCTTCCTCTTTTGGGGTCTGAAATTTATTACCACCAAAAAAAGGTTAGACTTGTTATCTTTGATCTGTGTTTCATCATCTCCAGTTACCCTTTTTTATGTTCATTTATTTTATTTACTCTCCACTTAAACATTGTTATATATAAATACCTATATCCTTATTTATATGGATATATTTTATATATAAATTAAAAAATCATGTTATATATTGTTATATCTTACCTATTTCTCTATATTTGCATCTGTATATCTATATCTATATCTATATCTATATATAAATACATAGGGCACAGTCAGGGCTGCAGCTTTGGACAAATTGGCCTTTGGTGTGTGTGTTCTCAGCATCTTGTTTCCATAATGTCTTCCCTCTTTCTAGCATTTCTTCTTTGTCTAGATGCTCAGTACCATCAGGCAGCCCCAGTTTGTCAAGGTAGAACATAATCTAAACTATGTCTTTTACTAATTTATTGGTTACCTCTCTCTGGCATTTTTGTATCTTTAAAGGAGAGGGTGATAAACTATCACAAAGACTAAAACAGTGATGTTGCGAGTTCTGGCTGACATGGAAGTCTGAGACAAAAGCCTCTCCAGATCCAGACACAGTAATGCTGAATAAAATATGTCAAACATTTAAAAATTTTTAGAAAATTTAGAAATTATAAAAGTAACTCCATCTTCAACATGATCAGAACGCTGAGCATGCATTGAAGCAAAAAACCAAGGAAAAATTTTAATTAGCATAATGGCTGGGTCTTGGAGCTTCAAAACCCACTTGGGAACATGAGCCCAAGTTCCACAGTTCTTTGAGAAGAATTAGAGATGAACTACTTGCATAAAGCCTGGAGTAAGGAAAATCTTCCCATTAGAGAAACTGGGGAATCTAAACCAGGGAAAACATCAAAGCAGTATCCTGAGGCCCTTGGTGGAAACAGTCACCTGCAAATATTTATAACATGAGGCCAATGACACATGATTATGTTGGGTGAGAATTCACAGCATCCACTAGGCACAGTGACCTCAAGAAACTAATTTAAATGTTATAACAGAACTGGAGAAAATTAAAATGCTTGATAGCAGCAAATGTTAGGATATTTTCATACCTACAGCATGTGATCCCCATTGAACACACTTCATCCTTCCTGCTTCTAACCCACTTCATGGGATGAGGGTAAACATTAGAAACCATAAAAGGAAACACCATATTAGAGGGAATATTTGCACTTCAATAAGTGAGGATTTTTAAGAAGCTGCAGCAGATTTTAAAATGAGTAACTTTAATTGCTCAAAGAGATACAGAAAGATATAGAAATTATAAGAAAAATAAGAAAATTTGAAGAAGAACAGATTTTAAAAAAATGGAAAATACTAATACACGAATATAAAGTTAAGGTAATTAAACACTCAATAAGTGGACTGAATAATAGAATAGCTATAAACAATGAAATTAATGAATTGGAAAATGGATGAGGCAATCACTCATGATATTGCTCACAAATAAAAAGATGTTAAATTGGAAAGACAAGTAAAGAGACATGGAGGATAGCATAAGAAATTCCAACATAGTCCTAACAGGAAATCCAGAAAGAGAAAATGATGAAAGAGGAAGAGGATAAAAATAACAATAAGAACATTTCTAGAACTGAGGAAAGGCTGCCTCAGTTTAAGGAAATCATTAAACCACAAGCATTAAAAAAATCCACACTCAATAGTGAAACTACAAAGATAAAAATCTGAAAACCCACCAGAGAGGAAAGACAAATTACTAAAAATTAGACTGGCAGCTGACTTCACATAAGCAACAAGAGATATCAAAAGATAATAGAGTTATGTGCTGAATAGAAATTACAGTCAGCTCAGATTTATGAGTTCATTAATAGTTCAGGAGGAATAAAGAAGATATTTTCAGACATGCAATAACTGAAGAGAGTTTACCACTCATAAATTTTAATTAAAAGGATAATTAAATAATTTTCTTCAACAAGAAGAAAATTAGACCCAGAAGAAACAAATAGAGTTTAAGAAGTGAAGTCTCTGGCAAGTAATAGTAATATTAAATACTTACACAGTTAAAAATAATACTAGTTTTTGGCTGTGCGCAGTGGCTCACGCCTGTAATCCCAGTACTTTGGGAGGCCAAGGCGGGCGGATCACGAGGTCAGGAGATCGAGACCATCCTGGCTAACACGGTGAAACCCCGTCTCTACTAAAAAAACAAAAAAATAATTAGCCGGGCGTGGTGGGGAGCACCTGTAGTCCCAGCTACTCAGGAGGCTGAGGCAGGAGAATGGCGTGAACCTGGGAGGCGGAGCTTGCAGTGAGCCGAGATCGCGCCACTGCACTCCAGCCTGGGCGACAGAGCAAGACTCTGTCTCAAAATAATAATAATAATAATAATAATAATAATAATAATAATAATAATACTGGTTTAGGGGAATTTAAACACAAGATACAACTAAAATACTGAACAAAAACGATGTAGAAAATTGCGAGAGGAAGAGTAGAATTAAAACATTCTAAGGTTCTCATGTTGTTCAAATAGAACAAAGTGACACTGATTAATTTTGAGACTTCATAAATATATTTTTAAGAATTATAAAGTAACTATAACATAATATGAATAGAACATGTAACTTCCAGAACAATAGAGAAGGAGAAAAGAAGGGCTAAAGAAATTGTAATGATAACATTTCAAACCCTAACGGGAAAGATTTTATTGTACGTGTATTTGAGAACGTGTGCATATGTGCTGGATGAGTATGCCTTCTGAGACTTCAAAAAATATCTCTATTTCCATGAGGCCCTGTACATGTCCTAACTAAATCTAAAGTACAGTTTTCACACATCCATAGACTCAGAATGATATATATTTTTTTACAGGTTATTTTGTTGTAGCAAGTACAATTATATATGTTGCTGCACTCAGTAGATTCTTTTTCTCTGGGAAACCAGGCTGCAGGTCACTCTAGGGACCCTCTTACATCTTTTGTTTTCTGGTCAGTTTTTGAAGAAGCCCAGGGTCTTTCTTTTTCCTGTGTTACCAAGCCTGTAATTTGAAGATGTGATGTCTCTTACATTGATTTCTCTCTAATGATATTCAACATCCATTGACTATAATGACAACATATCACAGAGTCCCTTTCAGAGAAGTCTCCACCTGCTGCACTGTCTAGACTCAGCCTTCGTGGAGGAGGGCACAGAGCAGTATACAAAGGTCAACAGTGCTCCACTTTCTTGTTATCTTTCCAAAATGATTAACAAAAATTTACTTTTCTCATCAAAGTGTCTTCTTGGTGATTTTTAAATTTTTATTCAGCAAGGCTTTTGGCTTAGACTAGAGGTGACATGTTCCTTGCAGACTTCTACTTTTTTCCAAACTGGTAGCTGAATCCTTTCCACTTGTCACAGTCATGTGTGAGTTCTGCTTTCCTTGATCTCTGAATTCTTCCTTGTCTTTTTAAATATTTTAATGGCCATCAGTTTCCTCTAAAATATTTTGCAGGTATATAGTTAAGTGAAAAAAGTTGGTTATAAAAGAGCATGTGTAATATAATTTTGTTTTATGTGTAAGTAGAGAAAAAGTTGTGGAAAGCTGTTCATCAAAATATTAACCATGGATATCTTATGGTGGAATTATGTAAAATTTTTGTTCTTTATAACTTTCTACATTGGTGGTTTTTTTTTTTCTATAGCAGGCATGTATTACTTTCATAATCATAAAAATGTCCTATCTTAATTGTGAAAAATAAAATCTGAAGCATTTCCAAAAGCATTTCCAAAAGAGGCAGCATTCCTGGATCCACAGCTTGGAGAGTCTATAGGTTATCAAAGGAAGGCATACAGTGAATACATAGAGGTGTTCTGTGAAACAACGTATATACTGGAGTTTGCTGCGCTACTTGAAAATCAAATTTGATGTCTACTTTGTTTTTCCTATTCAATTGCAATCAGGTTTATTTTAGAAAAAGGCCTTATAAAGTGTTTCAGAAGTGGCCATGGAGATATTGTGAGATGGTTAGACCAGCATGGACTTCTGTCTTGTAGACTGTGTACCTCAGACTGGGGAGTGGGCTTTCTTAGAAGAGTACCTCCCTATCCTTCTAACCCTGCTCTAATTTTTCTCCCTGACCACCTCCAGAACTTATCATCTTAATTTCTATATAAGTTACTCAATTTTTTAAAAAAAGGTCTATTGTTCATTTATCTCTCTCCTGTTCCAAGAATCTAAACCATATGAAGGCAAGGAACTCTGTCTGTTTTGTCAAGGTTGTCTGTGGCATCTGGTACACAGTAGGTGCTCAGTAAATATGTGTTGAAAGTAGGAAGGAATAAATGTGAAATGGTTGTCTATGTGGAGAGAGGTATGGTACAGTGCAGGCAAGGGAATGGCATGAGTAGAGATAAGAAGATAAGAAAAAGAATAGCATGGATGTGGGGCCATGGGGAGTCTGGCCTGGCAGCAGGGAGGGTCCTTGAAGATGAATAATAGCAAACAAAGTTTAATGATTGGACTGGGAAAAGATGATAAAAGGGACTGTAAAATAAAACAGAAGAGAATCAAAATAAGGAGTTAGCATACTCAAGGGGATGTGCTGAGAAGCAGTGCAGGATTTCCTGACATGGCCTTAAATCAGGGCCCAGCGTTGATTGATAAAGAAGCATTGATTGATTTACTGGAAAGGAAAAGTGGACACTGGTATGCGATTTGGAATAGGAATGGGATAGATGGTTTCTTTCATTGTCGGTCTATGATACTATTACCTGAGCTAAACATTCAGAGTTTAAAGGCTTTGCATTTGGAATTATTTTCTCTTCAAACTACCTGACAATGCAAGACGGCTATACACATGCAGAAACAGAACACTTAGGGAGACACAGACCTTTTTCTTCAGGCTTCTTTGAAACTCTAATTAAATGAAATGGATCTGTGCCTCATGCTTAGCTCTGATTTTTTTCATACAGCGCATTTGGGAGGCACACCGTGAATATGTATTTGAGTATTTTTGTGGTGCTCATTTGTGATGAGTATGGATAGAAATGGAACTCACTCAGTGTAAAATGTTTACATGCTACAATGAACACGCCTTTGCTGTTTCTGAAAAGAGACAGCAAGCCTTTTTGCTTAGCCTAGCTTCTGAGGGTGACATGTCAGGGAGCTCCTCCTGCCATACAGAAATCATGAATTATACTAGAAAATGGAAATTGTAATTAGGATGGGCAGGACTGAGACCCTGTCTTCCTTCCAGATACGTGCATATCTATTTTAAGATTTCCAAGCTGTATGAAGAATTATTTTAGTCTTCATGTTATTTGATTGATGGTCCTAGAGGATTTTATTTTACTATTTCTAGATTATTCTGAGGAAGGCCCAAGATAGGTCTTGGGTCTTTCAATTCTGGAATTGGAAGGGAATCCAAGGAGATCTATACCAGGCAATGCATTATTTCCTTGAGATTATCCCCTTGACATCCTTACCTGAAAGGAAGAAGACAGACTCTCTCAGCCTTAGGGAACTTCCTTCCTTTCTCAGCATCAGACATTTAAAGAAGTGAAAAAAAAAAAGAAAGCACACTGAAGAAATGGTGCAATGATAGTAGCCTAAAGTACCTTAACCAGGCTGGGCACAATGGCTCATGCCTTTTATCTTAGCATGTTGGGAGGCCAAGGCAAGCAGATTGCTTGAGCCTAGGAGTTTGAGACCAGCCTGGCAACATGGTGGGACTGTGTCTATAAGAAATACAAAAACTAGTTGTGTGCGGTGGTGTGGGCCTGTAGTCCCAGGTACTTGGGAGGCTGAGATGGGTTGATCACCTAAGCCCAGGGATGTTGGGGCTACAGTGAGCTGTGATTACATCCTGCCCACTAGGTATATAGCCATTCATTTTAGAAATATTTCTAGGGGCATAGACAAGGAAAGTACACATTCTTCCATATCATATTGCATACTATGGAGTCCAGAGATGCTTTTGAAAACTCACCTTCCAATTTTTTTCCCCCGAGTGACTTAGTTCTGGGACATTAAACCTGTGGCTGGTCTGCCACCCCAATCATTAAGGATTATTTGAAATGAGAACCAAACCAGACTAGATAACAATGGGGGAAGGAGAAGATTTTTGCATGCTAAAGAAGGAATGATAGAACAAGAGCAGAGAAACACAACATCCTAAAAACAGGATCATCAGGGCAATGGGATAAGTCTCACAAGGGGCAGGGAAAATAATTTGACAAAGGTGGGAGTCAAAATTCACTTCCCTTAATAAAGAGTTGAAGAATTCATTGCCATTAATATTTTCTCCTCTATACAGGATGATCACAGAATGTCCACATGGGTTTATATATTACTAAATCTTTTTGAATTCTTTCACAGGACATAGTTTTGCTTTTAATCACTCATTAGTGAACACTGGAGCAGCAATTTCCTTTTTTCATGACTTCAAATGGTGCATAGTCAGCTCTAAAGAGCCAAATGTATCTATGAGGTTTGTCATTCCTAGACTCTAGGGACAGGAGGAGGTTAGTGACAGAGAGACAGAGGTTAATGAGGAAGGCCTGAAGATGTGGCATATTTGGTTCAGTCAAACGTTTCCATTTTCATATAAATAGAGGATTGCTAAGGGGCAGAGACTAGCTATAGTGTATGTCACCCATAAACTTACTGACCAGGCACCGTCTATTTTTTTATGCCTAACATTGACAACACCTTAGGAAAAAAGGAAGAATATAGCAGATCCTATAGCACTGGAAGAAGCATACCAGGACCATCCAAGATATCTACAAATGAGAAAACCAAGCTTGAGAATAGCCATCATTCACTTGACTTCCTCTAGGGGACATCAGGAAAACACTGTTGTTTTTTCAGTAGGAGCAGACTCTTTCCCTTTATGGCTTCATTCCTTTCCAAGTTTAAGGAAGGACTGAGAAATTTTACTGTATCCTCTTCAAGGAGAAGCACTTCTTAGAGCTAAGAGCTCTGGTTGCACTAAACTATCCCAGGTGTGGTTTGCCACTTCTCCTATGTGTGCTTCTGACTGGGGTGGGCAGGGTAGGGGGTGGGGTAGTGGTGTGCACATTTATTATTTACTCAGCAAATGCAACCCATAAAAACATAGAAACTGAAAAATTAATAATAGCCCTAAAGAGAATTTTACATGTACCCTGATTTGACTATGTAATTAGGCTGAGATAAATGGGCACATATAAATCTCACATTTCTCTGGTTCCCATGAGCCAAACCTAAGTTATGTCTATTCTTTGGAGACCTCACTTGACAATGGCTCTCCTAAGTCAATGACACTAAGCAGTTTTAGATGTAATTTGAATCTGTCTGTTCTACACTGACTACTGCACTATCAGGACATTGATGGACACATTCCTAGCATCTTGCCTAGAGAATCACGGGTGGGGCATAAAAAAACCAAATGTTCCGATGAATTCAGATACAGTTATCTCAGTGCATGAAGCAGCTTCTTTTCTTCTATTCCTGTTTGAACATTCAGAGCTCAGTGGGAGCCCACTGTGCATAATGGGATCAAAATGACATGGATTGTGGGAGCCTGCAACCTCTTTGAGAAGACCTCGGATTCCCATTATGACTTTGAATCTGTTTCATTAATATCCGCCACTCAGAACACTTTCCCCTCTCTTCTTTGATAATGGAAATCCTACTGTCTCCATAAAACCTTCTCTTGCTTCTCTGCCTGACATAGATCTAACTCCCACGTCTTTCAACTGCTTTGGCACCAAAGATCTGGACAGCAACATTTAGGGGTTGCTTATATTCTGGTTTATACTCTGTTTTACGTGAATTCCAATTTCTGTAACTACATTATAAATTTCTTCGGGGTTAGAACCAAATCCTATCTGTTCTTTTAGCTCCTAATATGGAAGACTGGCAGCGATGAATGGATAGCTAGATTGATAAAAACAGCTTAGGAGCTACTAGTAAGAATGAATATGAGAATATAAGTGATATGCTGTTTTTTTCTGATTATATAAAGTCATAAACAGCTGGGGGAAACTCACATTTTCGGTTGGTGAGGAGCACCTATTTTGTTTATTACTGTTTCTTCCAGGAACCCTCTCGCCTTCCCACCTTCCCTGGTTCCTTTTATACACCACACTTAAAATTGGAGGCATAACCTTGTTCAAGCATGTGCAAAACGGGAACATGGTAATGAACTCTTATTGCTGCTATAAACTTGATGAATGGCTTGTGGAGGAAGGGCATTAAATGGCAATCTCAGTCCAGTGATTAGCTCTGCAGCATTCCTCCTTTGGAACTCATGCAGACCAGCACAGATTTCATTCTGCTCTAGGTTTCCTGTGGGCTCCATCAGGTGTGCAGAAATGCTACTGGGCCTTGGCTGGAGGGGAAAGGAGCAAAGAAAGTCTGTTTCCCCCATCCCCCTCCCCCAGCACTCTTACTGCCTGCTTTCATTTCACCTCCCCCAACCTGCTTCACTCACAATTTTAGCTGTGTTTGATCTAGAAGAAACCTTATGTGCTAACTTGCCCTGCACTTTCCCTCTGACTTTTGCCCACCTCAGACTGCCAGGACATAATGGCTATATTTAGACTTGTGCTTCTTCCCTGAGATACAGTTTTTCTGTCACAAGAGGGAGTGCTCAGGCTCAATTAGCCCAGATGAGCCACACAATGGGCTCCTGAAACAGTTGTATGTGAATTGCATTTTTCAGTGTCCAGCTGTGTTTCTAGAGCACCAAGAGAGGGGCTTTTAGAAACTGCAACAGTACTTTTATAAGTGACTAATTGTACTAAAAACTGAGGACCATTTTAACAATTAAATGTGATCTGACAATGACAAAGGGAATATGAAAAGTGTTTTTTTTCCCCATAATCTATCATTTGGCTAATAGCAGTGAATTATGTGTTTGTTATGTGCTTTTCTCTAATTGTTTCCTGTGTATTTTATCAACAACTACACTGAAGCAGAGGCTGTGTGCCATTTCTCTTGTATCCTCTACCACACAGGTCCCAACACAGGAATCGTATTTCATAGACCAGGAGCATTGGCTTCACCTGAGAGCTGGTTTAGGCAGACAAATCTTAGGTCCACCCAGACCTACTCAATCAGACTCTCCACAGTAGTTAGATCCTCAGTGATTTGTATGCACATTAAATTTTGAAGTGCTTTATGTAGGAGACATTGAACAGGAACTCATGAAATGCTCATTGAATTTAACTAAAAGAAAAATCCTCTCTTGCAGAGATGAAATCTTGGCTAAGAGGTTCTGGTTGAATCTACATGTCACTAGAATGTTAATTTCAAGGGAAGGCAGACAGAGGTAGGCAAAAACAAGAAAAAAGAAAGCCAATAAGTCTAGTTGACTTAGGAAATTTTCTTTAAAAAAATGTTTTGCCGGGACAGCTTGGGTCAATTTTTATTAATGGATACACCTTATTTGAGCATTTTCTCTTTGGCGTGGAAAAGGCCAGCTTTGCACTTGGATTTTTACTGCTTGGATTAGACATCCATCCGCTTCTAAAACATCCTTTTTTTCCCCAGTGCCAAGTGCTCAACGCTGAGTGGGAAGTATGAGAAATATTGAGCAAAAACATGTGCATATGAAGGTTACATACTTGGCAGAAATTTAAGGGTTATTGTTTTCTTCAGACTTGGACACACTTACTATTTTGTACTGACATGACTATAAGACTCTCAAGATCTAATTTCTTTTAATAGATGACAGGCAACATGGCACAAAACAAAACACTATATGGAGAAAGTGCACAGGATGTGGTGTCAGAGAAAACTCACCTACATGACTTCTTAGATGTTGATCTCAGGCCAGTTACCAAATTTTTCTGAGCTTCATCTCCTCACCTGTGAGGTAGGAACAAATACTTGTCCCAGCTGCTACTTAAAGGTTGGTGTGGGAGATTAATGAGCTAAGGGGTATATGAGGCATTTTGAAATTATAAAATAGGATAGCCACATGAAGATATTCATACTACTACTACAAATTAAATGGATGATAACTCTGAATTTGTGTTTATGTACGTCCTACTTCTCTCCATTAGGGAGCAAGGTTATCATTGTCCTACATCTTATATTATCTGGGCTACACTTTTGCATTCATAAATATCTCAGAATAGTAGATTAATGCATGAACTTTGGAGTAAGAATGCCTGGATTTAATTCCTGGCTTCATCACTTATCAACTGTGTGCTGATGGGCAAGTCACATAACCACTTTGGCTTCAACGTTCTCACTATAAAATTAGAATGATAGTAAGATTCTTATGATCAGATAAGACAATGCATATAAAGTGGCTTAGCTCAGTTTCTGGCAAAATAATCACACAACAAATGGCAGCTGTGATTAATGTTGTTGTTAAGCAATATGAGAACTCCTTGAGTGCAGGGACTGTGTATCTTCATCTTTATTGCTCACAGCATCTATCAGTGACTACCAGGTAAGTTTCATCAAATCATGTCCTCATCTAATTAGCACACATTTTGTAGCTCAAGAAGAATTTGTTGAATCATTGATTGGTGGACGGATTATGCTTCTCTTAGTTGGCTTGGTCTCTCTTATAGTTGCTCACAAGTAGAACAGAACAAACACAACAGCATATTTGTGAGTCAGAAGGAGGTGTACTCAGCCCAAGGAAGCTCATTAGCTCCACAAGCTTCATCCCACAGACATACAGGGACTGATGGAAGTCACAGTCTTTTACTCTGTGAACCTTGATAAATTTCTTGATGAATTAGCTGGTGTCATTCATCAGCCTGCACTTGTCTCAAGTATTTGACTGAAGTCGATAAATCTCCTCCTTTTAAAAAGCCTTAACCAGTGATCTCAGATTTGGCCTCACATCCTTAAAATTAGAATGGAACTTACTCTATATGTAGGATTTTTTGTTGTTGTTTTGGGACTTGGTGCTGCAGTAAACCACCACCCTTTATCTCCCAAGTCAAATGTCTGCTTTACTAAATGAAAAGTTACATCTCAACTGTCTTAACTTGGTTGGACTGAG
Source organism: Homo sapiens (assembly GCF_000001405.40). Lineage (NCBI taxonomy): Eukaryota > Metazoa > Chordata > Mammalia > Primates > Hominidae > Homo > Homo sapiens. The sequence continues at coordinate 49,047,250 of NC_000002.12, forward strand.
AGGTTATATGTACATGTGGAGAGAAGCAGAAAAGGAAATTTAAGGGAAGATATAAAAGGAGTACATTTTAAACAAATATGTGATGACTGACACCTCAATTTTCAACATTCAGTAAAGAAAAAAAATAATCTGAGTTTTCCACCTGGTCAGAGAGTGAGGAGCCCATCAAAAGACGGGATCTCTAAAGCACTAATGTCAGTGTGCTTACAGCACGATCACCCTGCTCTCAAATTTAAGTGTATGTACACACAGACTTTGTGGTCCAAACAAGCAAGTCAGCCAGGATATGGTTTTTCATGTATTAAAGCAGATGGTCCTTAAGCATATGTTCCACCCTGACTAAAATCCCACCATTAGCAATTCAATCCTTTAGATTGGGCATTACCCACTTTATGATTTTTACAAAAGGCATATTGGGTTGGAGGAGCCAGTTTACAAATTCCTTAGACTTTTGGTGTCAATAAGTTCTTCAGATGCTGTTATCCTTACTGGGAAAGAAGAATTATGAACAAGATTTAAAAACCTGAGAGCTTGACTTAAGAAACATGAGGTGATGGGCATTTTATTAGCTTGATTGTACTATCATTTCACAAATATGTACACATATCAAAACTTCAGGTTGTACAGCTTATTTATTATTATTTTTTGAGATGGAATCTTGCTTTGTTGTCCAGGCTGGAGTGCAATGGCACAATCTCAGCTCACGGCAAACTCCGCCTCCCAGGTTCAAGTGAGTCTCCTGCCTCAGCCTCCCAAGTAATTGGGTTTACAGGTGCCCACCACCATACCCAGCTATTTTATTTTTTCTGAATTTTTAGTAGAGATGGGCTTTCATCATGTTGGCCAGGCTGGTCTCAAACTCCTGACCTCAAGTGATCTGCCAGTCACAGCCTCCCAAAATGCTGGGATTACAGATGTGAGCCATCGTGGCCAGCCTGTATAGCTTAAATTGATACAATTTTTATATGTCAATCATACCTCAAGAAGACTGGAAAGAAAAAGTTGAGGATGATAAAAAAAAAGTAAAATAAATAAAAAGTGGTTTTCTTATAGAAAAAAAACCTGGGGCTCTGAAAAGTTGGGAAAGGAATCAAGAGGTAGAGACTGCAAATTAATAAACATCACCTGCCATTATCATTCCAGTGTGCCTAACTCTGTGCTAGGTGCTTTCGAGGAATATGGGAAGAGGGAAAGGGCAGGATTAGTAGTCAGCGTGTAGTCAGTCAAGCTGAGACACTATAAATGGGAAACAGAGCAAACATGCTGTCCTTATTATTCATACCTTGCATTTGCACTCACTTTTAACTTTTCAAAGCATGCTCACGTCCAAGTGCATATTACGTGTTTATAAAACATTTGGCATAAACAATTGCTATCTCTCTGCCCAGACTCTCTCAGAACCTCAGACCCACTGGGATGGCTAACTTCTGCTTCATTCATTTAGGCTTCTCTAGCATTTACCCCTAGCTCCTGGACTTTTCCTCTCTGCCTGCTTAACTTCTGGAATGGTTATATATAAAAACACATCTTTGGTCATTTGATTGCTGTGTAGGCTGGCCAGGGTGAATCTGAGCACTGCAGGGGAGGTTTATGAAGTGTAAGATTCAGGTAATTTATTTGTTGGAAGGTGGACAGGCAAGAGGGTCCATATTCTATTTGAATCTTTTACTGTTTAAAGCATCTTATTAAGTCATACACAGCCCAGATGGATGTGGTTGTGATGGGCATGGGCTAAATGAGGAAATAAAAATAAATAGTTCATGCATTGATTGCAGCTTACCTTTAGATTGCTTCTTTTTATTTTAACACCATCTATTAAAAAAAAAAGCTAGAAAAATCCCCAGAGCAGAGCCACAAGGATATTTTTAACTCGAGTATTATGCTGCCTTAATTGTATCTTCACTGGATAGACAAAAACATTGAGTTACCAGCAAGGAGGAAAAAAAAAAGGCCAATTCATTTTCTGGTATATCTCTGAGCACTGACAAATATAATTCACTGGAAGGTCTCACACACAGCTTGCTTTGTCAAGGAGAGTCCAAAGGGAAAGTGTTGCTGAAGCAGAAGTTGTAAAAGATAGATAAGATGACCTCACTTGGCTGTTGATTAGAAAATGGAAGAAGATTGCGTTTGATAGCAAGTCAGAAATGCCTTGAGTAACCTCTGTCATATCTTAGCACCTGGAAGTCTTAGTTGCTCAATGAGAGGTACCAAGCAGAAGTCATCAGGACCATGAATGCTTGGAGTATCAAATGGCCAAGAGGGTGGGGGATATTAGAGATGAGAGATGTAAATGAGGGCATATCTGTGCTCTACCAAGCAAGGGAGCATCTATGACATACATCTTTATTACTATAAGCTTATTAGCTCACAGTGGGCCTCCTGCCTGTATTCTTACTGTATTTTCTTCGTTGTAATCCCTTTCAGCCAAGGAAATCCCACTCTAACCTCATGGATAAAGCGTAAGTGACTGAGGTGTGAAGAGTTATTATGAGTATAAGGTTGGGAACATCTATAAAATTACAGATCTCAAGAACTCTGCTTTCTTTATCAGACTCATATAGCCCCTACTCTAATATATATATATATATATATATATATAATAAAAACCAAACCCAAATAAAAGAAAGAAGCAAAAATTCCAAACATATAAATACAAAGCTAATAAATTATTCCCCTTCTGATCTGGGCAGTTCTTAGATACTGTAGAGTTTATTTTAAGGACACACCTAGCAAGTTAAAAATAGGGAGACTTAATGGAAACACTAAAACCACATCAACCCAAAAAGTGACAAGAAAATAGCTTCTTGTGTTCTTGGTTGAAGCAATAAATATAACAAAAATAGTTATTTTCAGAATATTTATGGAGAATAGGAAATGACATAAGGATTTTCACCTTCTAGACACTAACTCACGTTTGACCTGGGTCAATAATAACTGCTTAATTGGCCCAAATCTTATATTTCCCAACTGATGGCTAAGTTAATTTGCAACTTAACAGCAAGCTCAGTTTGCAAACCCTTGTACTAAAGCTACTCTTAGCAGGAGCTTTACCCAGAAATGAGTTTGCAAGCTGAAACTTGAAAGGAAAATAGCTCCAAGAAGAGGTTTCCTTCACTCTGTGACTATAGGAGTAGAGAATCACTCTAGGTTCTGGTTTGTGGCAGTTCCAAGGGCTTAGGCACAGACATCCTCTCCTCTGATAATAAATGTCACCAAAGGAAGCTAATAGCTTTAATTTTCCTGTCAATCCCTCTTTTACCTTAGCAGGAACATGTGGGAAAATGGTAGATTCCAACTAAAAGAAGCCTTGTGTAGCAGAAAGGACCAGACTACCTTGGGTTTAAATCCTAGCTTCACCACATAAGGATACTCTGATGTTGCTTGGTTTCTTACCTTTTGTGAATGTCAGTATCCCTGTCTATACAGTGTGAGTTAACTGAGATGTAGTATTTAAAACACCTGTCCCAGAATAGGTGTGGAATAATTGCTGATTTTAAAAATCAACTTTGTTGAAGTATAATTTGACAAATAATAAAATGCATTCATTTTAACTCTTCCACCTGTTACTACTACCACAATCAAGATATAAAATATCTTCACCACGTTAAAAAAGTTTCCTTGTCTGCCTTCCCAGACAATCCCTAACACCACCCTGGGAACCAGGCAACTAATCTTTCTGTTACCATAGATTAGATTTTCTTCTTTTTTGAGGTTCATATAAATAGAATCATATGGTATACCTTCTGTGTCTGGCTTCTTTGCTTACTATAATGCTTTTGAGAGATTTATCCATGTTGTTTTACATATTAGCAGTGTATTCTTTTTTATTACTGCTTAGTATTAAATTGTGTGGATATCATACCATTTGTTTACCCATTGGCCTGCTGATGGACATTTGAGTGATTTTCTGTTTGGGGCTATTATGAATAAATCTGTTATGAACATTCTTGCAGTCTCTGTGTAGAAATATATGTATTTATTTCTCTTGGGTCAATATAAGAAACTGACAAACTGTTTACCAAAGAGGTTGTACAATTTTAAATTCTCACCAAACATGTAGGAGAGTTCCAGTTGCTTCACAGCCTCACCAGTAACCTACTATTATCAGCTTTTAATTTTGGCCATTTTAATGGGTATGTAATAGTATTTCATTATGGTTTTAAATTGCATTTTGCTAATGACTAATGATGAGCATCTTTTCGTATGCTTATTGCCGATTCGTGTATCTTTTTTTGTGAAGTATCTGTTCAGATATTTTGCCCATTTTAAATTAGATTGTGTGTCTACTTATTTTTTACTTCTTTATATATAGAAAGATATGTTCTTGATACAAGTCCTTTTTCAGATATATGTATTGCAGATATTTTCTCTCATTATGTGATTTGGTTGTCATTTTCTTGATGGTGTCTTTTTTTACTTTTTTTATTGTCTTTTGAAAAGCAGAAGTTTTTTCTTTTAATGAAGTCCAAAATAACACTTTTATTTTATGCTTAATGTGTTCTACTTAAGGAATCTTTGCCTATCCCCTGATTGTAAAATATTTTTCTCCTAACAGTTTTAAAATTTTAGTTTTTGCGTTTAAGTCAATTATCCACTTAAAGTTAAATTTTGTGTATAACATGAGGTAAGGGTTGGGATTTATTGTTTTTCCAATATGGATACAAAGTTGATTCAGCATCATTTGTGGAAAAAAACTATTCTTTCCGTATTGAATTCTAGAAAACAAACACTTTTGGGATATAGATGATGAGAGAACATTTCCCAACTCATTTTATAATACAGGTAGAACAAAATCAAACAAAGAAACGACAAGAAAATAAATATACAGACTAATATTGCTACAAATATAGATAAAACATTTTAAACAAAATATTAGCAAATCAAAATTTGTGTGTATGGACAATTTTTAACAAATGCAAATCAGATTATGTCACTTTGTTGCTCAAAACACCCCATTTAATCCCAATCACACTAAATATGACACCCAAATACATCCCCATGGTCTATCAGGTACTAATATGACCTCACTCCCAGCTTCCTCTTTGATCTTATGTCCTGCCAACCTCCTCTTTGTTTTATTCTTCTTTAGCTACAACATGTAGATGATACACTTTACATACTCATGAATGTTCTTTGTACAAATTGGATTCTGACTAAACTATCATCTACCTCAGTGGCTTTCAATTTTAGATGTACATTAGAATCATCAAGGGAGCTTTAAAAAATGATTAATGCTTAGACCTCGTCCTGGAAAAATGGAATAAAAATATCTGGAAGTGATACTTGGGTGTGTACATTATTTTTAAAGTTCTCCAGGGGATTCTAAAGTGCAGTCTAAGAAGAGAACCACTCAACGTCATTTCCTTGTTATTCCCAGGGACTCAAATCCCCTCTTCCCATTCAGAGATCTAACCAGTCTAACACTGGCCTTTCATTTTTCACCAGGAGCCAGTAGAATCATCAGCCTCTCCTTTTCGCTTTGAGTAAGCGGGACTCAAGGCTGCTTTGACCATTAACTCTCAGAATCACAGAAGGTTGGGTTAGGAAGGAACTTAAGTCATGTAACAAGGGGGTGCTCTGAAGGGCAAAGCTGAGTGGAACCCAAATTTTCTAGCACTGTTGCAGTTACAGTTCTGGTTACCTGATTTACTTCCTTTCCTTTTATCTGTGCTGAGTGAGCCTGAAGAACTGAGAATTGGGAGGATCCTCAACTTTTTTAATGTGTTTGCAACAATTCTCATTCAATAAATCTCTTTCTCTAAAAGTCCCTCTGTTAAGTTAACTTTTCTTTCCCCAGTGATCTGGGGGTGGAGGCTGGAGTGTCAGACTAGTGTTCTCATTTCTATATGCAAATAAATCACTTGATTATATTTTTTGTCCTTATGTTATCATGAATATTTCAAATGAATTTTATGTGGTTCATATTTATGGTTTGGGAGCTATTTCACATTTTGGCTTATTGCCGCCTCATCTGCATATACCATATTTCAGCTGATGTTGATTGGTCTCATTTGCATATTCATCATGCTCCTATTTCCAAAGATATTTTGTTATAAACTAGCTTTCCCCCCACCTCCAGTGTTATAATAACACATAGATGTGTTTTTAAATTGAACTCATTTCCATACATAATTTTTCTGGTTACCATAAATCACCACATTGTCACCTACTCCCCCCACCCTATTCAATGTAATCTTCACACTTTATACCAAGCTGACATATGGCTCCGAAGTAATTAAAGACAATGTAAACAGTTTACAGTGCACTTTGCAAAGCCACTTCATGTTGCAGAGAGTTTAATGATTTCTTTTTTCCCCCCACAAAGTCTCAAAGCAATGAAGAATAGGGAGGTTTGAGATAGTGATGCAGATAAAAGCTAAGGCATGAACAGTGGCCATTTCATTTCTAATGCACAAACTTCTATTCCTGGTTCTTAAAAAAAAGAAAAAAAACAGTCCTTTCCCTGTTGACTTCTGATAGAAGTAGAGGAGGCTGGGTTAAACTGGGATAATAAATGAGGAAGAATCATCAGCAAGGGTTGGGGAATTTTTCCCAATCATTTTAACAAGAGGATGGGAGTAAGAAATAAACTCATCAAATGCCCATGTTGTTTCAGATACTGAGATTGAGTATTAAGGGCCTTGACAACTCTATGACATAGACCTTAGTATTAACATTTTCCAGATTAGGGAGATTAGTATTAGAGAAGTTGAAACACTTGTACAACATAGAGACAGATCTAAAGAGAGAAGAAAATAAAGATGTGTGAACTCAGCATCTCCCCAGATTAGTCTAGTTCCATGTAAGTGAGGTACATTCTGCAATATCTTTTTTCTATTGCTTACCCATTGTGTTACCTTGGACAGAGAATTTGATCTGTTTAAGCCTGTTTTCTTATCTATAACATAGCACTAATGATGTTACCTATCTCCTGTGCAACTGGGGGGATGAAAAAGGGTTGAATGTAGCTCTGTGGGTGGACCCCAGGAGGTATGCCCCCAGGCCAACCTACTAGCTGTGTGCCCATGTCTTGGCCTAAGAAATAGCCCACAGGTTGCTGCTGGCAGACATGCCTCCAAGCTGGCTAAGCAACCTTGCACCCACATCCTGAATCTAAGAAACAGCCCCAGAATCCACCCAAAGAAGACACACGAACCCACATCAGCCAGTAGGCCATCCAACCATGTCCAAGGCCTGCAAAACATCCCTGTGGGCCACCCCAAGCAGACATACCCCCAGGCCAGCCAAGTAGCTATGTGCCTACATCTGGGCCTGAGAGATAGCCCCAGGTAGACATGCTTTCAAGCCAGTGGAGCAACCATGCACCCATGCCTCTGATCAAAGTAATAGCCACATGGCCCCAACCCCAGTGAGCCAGACCCTGAGTTGGCCAACGCACTGTGTGCACACATGTACCTGTGACCTGACAGACAGTCTAGCAAGCCCACCCCTAGTAAAGCCACAGCACAACAACTGCAGACTCTCTCAGCTTAGGCTGCTGAGACACTCGCAAACATTACTAGCATGGATTACAGAAAAAGAAATGACACAGATACTACACTATTGTATCCACCTAGAACAAAAGTCAAAGCACCTCACCAAAACAACACCCCAAGACTCATCCAAATGAATGTCTTTTCTTATAAAACCTACTTCATAAAATTGGAACAGGTGACTGTTTGACCAGATGCATAAAAATCAATGTAGGGATACATCAAAGATGAAAAAGCAAGGAAACATGACACCTTAAAGGAACACAGTGACTCTCCAGTCACAGACCCTAATTATAAAGAAATATATAAAATGCCAGAAAAAGAATTGAAAATAATAATTAAGGAAACTCAGTGAGATACAAGAGAATACAGATAGACAATTTAATCAAATCAGGAAAACAACTCATAACTTGAGTGAGAAAAGTGGCAAAGAGATATCACAAAAAAAGAGCCAAACAGAAATCTTACAGCTTAAAAAATCAATTAATAAAATATAAAAGGAACCAGCTGAGAGCTTCAACAACAGATTGACCAAGCAGAAGAAAAAATACCTGAACTTGAAGACAGGTCTTTTGAAAGAACACAGGCACAATAAATAAATAATAAAAAATAATGAAGAAAGTCTACAAAATTTATGAGGCATAGTTAACCAAATAAATATTCATATTATAGGAATTTCAGAAGGAGAAGAGAAAGGAAAAGGCATAGAAAGCATATTTAATAAAATAATAGCTGAAAATTTCCCAAGTATTGGGAGAGAGATGAACATCCAGATCCAGGAAGCTCAAAAAAAAAAAAAAAAAAAAAAAAAAAAAAAACCCAAATAGGGTCAATCCCAAAAGTTCTTTCCAAGGCACATTACAGTCAAATAGTCAAAAGTCAAAGAAAAAGGCAAACTTCTAAAAACAGGAAGAGAAAAGCCTCAAGTCACATATTAAAAAATCCACATTGGATGAAGAGTAGATTTCTTAGCACAAACATTACAGGCCAGGGGAGAATAGGATGATATATTCAAAGTACTAAAAGAAAAAGCTGCGAGACAAGAATACTATACCCAGCAAAGCTACATTTCAGAAATGAAGGAGAAATATAACATTTCATGGACAAGAAAAAAATAAGGGAATTGATCACAACTAGACCTGCCAAACAAGAAATGCTTAAAGGAGTATTACATCTGGAAGTAAAAAGACTGAAACCAACATCATGACAACATGCAAAACTCTAAAACTCACTGTTAGACTTGATACACAAAGGACAAAGAGAAAGGAATCAAGCCTATCACTACAGAAAACCACCTAATTGCAATAATTAAAAATAAGAGAGGAAGTAAGAAACAAAGGATATACAAAACAAGCAGATAACAATTAATTGCAAGAGTAAGTCCTCACCTATTAATAATAATCTTGAATGTAAATAGATTAAATTTCCCATTTAAAACATATAGACTGGTGAAATAGATTTTTTTAAAAGACCCAAATATATGCTGCCTACAAGAAACTTACTTTACCTGTAAAGACACATAGACTGAAATTGAAAGGATTGAAAAAAGATAATCCTTATAAACAAAACCCTAAAGTGAGCAGGAATAGCTATACTTACATCAGAAAAACAGACTTAAGTTAAAAGATGTAAAAAGAGACACAAATTAACATTATAAAATAATAAAGGGATCAATTCAGCAAGAAATCATTACAATTGGAATATATATATATATATATATATATATATATATATATATATATCCAACACCAGAGCACACAGATATAAAAAGCAAATATTATTAGACCTAAAGGGAGAGATAGACCGCAATACATTAGTAGTTGGAGACTTCAACACCCTACTCTCAGCATTAGACAGATTGTTTAGAGTGAAAATCAACAAAGAAACATTGGATTTAAACTGCACCACAGACCAAACAGACACTTACAGAACATTTCATCCACCAGCTGCAGGATACAAATTCTCATCATCAGCAAATGAAATACTTTTCAGAATTGGCCATATTGTTTCTGTTAGGACAATAAACAAGTCTCAAAAAAATTTTAAAAATATCAAAATTATGTCAAGTACCCTATAATACCATAATGGAATAAACCTAGAAATCAATAACAAGAGAAACATTTGAAAGCATACACTACATGGAAATTAAACAGCACATTTCTGAATAATCAATGGGTAAAGAGGAAATTAAGAATAAAATTTAAATCTTTCTTAAATGAAAATGAAAACACAAAATACCAAAACCTATGGGATGAGCAAAAGCAGAATTAAGAGGCAAGTTTATATCAGTAAACCCCTATATGAAAAAACAAGAAAGATTTCCCAGCCTCAAATAAACCAATTAACACTGCAACTCAAGGAACTAAAAAAGGAAGAACAAACCAAACCAAAAATTAGTAGAAGACAAAAATAATAAATATCAGAGCAGAAATAAATGAAATTAACACTAAAATAATAACACAAGAGATCAATGAAATAAAAAGTTGCTTTTCTGAAATGATAAGCCAAATGAACAAACCATTAGCTAGACTAAGAAAAAATGGGAGAATAACCAAATAAATAAAATCAGAAATGAAAAACATACACAATGACAGTAGCAGTAGTAGTAACATTACAATGTTTACTAAAAAAATACAAAGGATCATTAAAGATTGCTATGAACAAGTATACACCAATAAATTTGAAAACCTGGATAAAGTCCTAGACAAATACAACCCACCAAGATTGAACCAAGAATAAATAGAAAATCTGAATAGACCAATAATAAGTGACAAGTTTGAACAGGTAATTGAAAATCTCCCAACAAAGAAAAGCCCAGGACCAGATGGCTTCACTGCTGAATTCTACAGAACCTTTGAAAAATAATTAATACCAATTCTTCTCAAATGATTCTGAAAATTGAAGCAGAAGGAACTCTTTCTAACTCATTCTCATAGGCCAGCATTGCTCAGATACCAGACAAGGACATAGCAAAAAAAAGAAAACGTAGGCCAATATCCCTGATGAAGATAGTTGCAGAATCCATAATAAAATACTAGCAATCCAAAACCAATAAGACATCAAAGAAATAATATATGAGAATTAAGTGGGATTTATCTGAGAAATGCAAGAATGTTTTAACATATGCAAATTAGTAAACATGATACATTAAAGCAACAGAATGAAGGACAAAATTCATATGACCATGTCAATATAGAAAAAGCATTTGGTAAAATTCAACATGCTTTCATGATAAAAACTCTCAATAAATTAGGTATAGAAGGAAAGTACCGCAACTCAATAAAGGCCATATATGACATACCTTCAGCTAATATCATGTGGATTGAGGAAAAGCTGAAAGCTTTTTCTCTAACAACTGGAATGTTACAATAATTCCCACCATCACCACTCTTATGTAACATAGTATTGAAAGTTCAAACAAGAGCAATTGGGCAAGAGGAAGAAATGAAGGGCATCCAAATTTGAAAAGAGGAAGTCAAATTGTCCCTGTTTTTAAATGACATATTATACATGGAAAAACTGGCCAGGTGCAGTGGCTCATGCCTGTAATCCCAGCACATTGGGAGGCTGAGGCAGGTGGATCACGAGGTCAGGAGATTGAGAACATCCTGGCCAACATGGTGAAACCCTGTCTCTACTAAAATACAAAAAATTAGCCAGGCATGGTGGTGCATGCCTGTAGTCCCAGCTACTTGGGAGGCTGAGGCAGGGGAATCGCTGGAACCGGGAGGCAGAGGTTGCAGTGAGCAGAGATCGAGCCACTGCACTCCAGCTTGGTGACAGAGCAAGACTCTGTTTCAACACCCTCCTCCCCACCTAAAAAAAACCTTTAAGAACTGTTAAACAAATTCAGTAAAGTTGAAAGATACAAAATCAACCAACAAAAATCAGTAGCATTTCTATCCACTAGCAATAAACTACCTGAAAAAAAAATAAAGAAGCCCATTCCATTTACAAAAACTACAAAACAAAACAAAACCCTATGAATAAATTTAACTCAAGTGGAAAAAGGCCTCTACAGGGAAAACCACAAAACACTAATGAGGTAAATTGAAAAGGATACAAACCAATGGAAAAACATCCCAAGCTCATGGATGTGAATAATCAGTATTGTTAAAATGACCTTACTAACTAAAGCAATCTAAAGATTCAATGCAATTACTATCAAAATACCAATGCAGTTCTAGGCACAGTGGCCCACACTTGTAACTCCAGCACTTTGGGTGATTGGGGCAGAATGATCCCTTGAGTCCAGGAGTTCAAGAGCAGCCTGGGCAACATAATCCCCATCTATGCAAGAAAATAAAAAAATAGCTGAGTATGGTGGCACATGCCTGTAGTACTAGCTACTTGGGAGGCTAAGGTAGGAAGATTACTTGAGCCCAGGAGTTTGAGGCTGCAGTGAGCCATAACTGAGCCATGATCACACTCCTGCCTGACTAAGACCTTGTCTCTAAAAATTAAAAAAATAATAATAAAATAAAACAGCCAACAACAATGCCGTCATTCACAGAAGTAGAAAAAAAAATTTAAATTTGTACGGAACCACAAAACATCCTGCATGGCCAAAGTAAGCCTAATCAAAAAAGAACAAAGTTGGCAGCATCAAACTACCAGACTTCAAAATATAATACAAAGTTATAGTAACCAAAACAGCATGGTACTGGGGGAAAAAAAAAACAGACAAATAGACCAATGGAACAGAATAGAGAATCCGTAAATTAATGCACGTATCTATAGCCAACTGATTTTTGACAAAGGTGCCAAGAACATTCACTGGAGAAAGGACGGTTTCATAAATGATGCTGGGAAAACTGGATATCCACATGTAGAAGACTGATACTATTAGGCTGGTGCAAAGGTAACTGTGATTTTTGCTATTAGAAAGTAATGGCAAAAACTGCAATTACTTTTATATCAACCTAACAGATGCCCCCTTTCACCTCTCATTCTATACAAAAATCAACTCAACATGGATCAAATTCCTAAATATACGTCCAAAAATGATAAAACTGCAAGAAGAAAACATGGAGGAAGTGCTTGAGGACTTTGGTTTCGGAAAAGATTTCATGAATAAGACATCAAAAGCACAGGAAACAAAATCAAAAATAAAGGGGATTATATCAAACCAAAAAGCTGCAGAGCCAATGAAACAATCAATATAGTGAAAAGACAACCACAGAATGGGAGAATATGTTTGCCAAGTACTCATTTGACAGGGCATTAATATCCAGAATATATAAGAAACTCAAACAAAAAAATACCAAAAAAATTTGATTAAAATATAAGCAAGTGATCTGAACAGATATTTCTGAAAAGAAGACATATAAATGGCCAACACATATATGGAAAAATGCTCCACATCACTAATCATCAGAGAAATGCAAATCAAACCATAATGAGGTATCATCTCACACCATTTGGGATGGTTATTAAACGAAAAAAATACCGGTGAGGATGCAGAGAAAAAGGTACCCTTACATATTGTTCGTGGGACTATAAACAGTAAAGCCACTATGGAAAACAGTATAAAAAGGTTATTCAAAACACTGCAAATACAACTACCATATGATCCCATTAGGTATTAGCAAAAGGAAAAAAAAACAAAAACAAAAACTCAGTATCCTGGGAAAACATTACCTTGACCACTCAGAGAAGTCATGCCTCTCCAGTGCCTAAGTTGAAACTGTGCCCTGCATCCCAGGAAATGATGCCTTGACCAGCCAGGGTGGTCACACACCCCAGTACCTAAGCTGATGTGACACTCTGCATTCCAGGGAAATGGGGCTTGGGCTGCCTAGAACAGTCACATCCCACAGGCCTGAGCTGAAGTGGCACATTGCCCCTGGGAAGTCAATGCCCTGGCCAAGCTGAACAGCTGCATATTCCAAGGCTGAGCTGTTATAGTATCCTGCCGCCCAGGCAAGAGAGAAGTGGCTGAACTGAAATACTCCACCCTATATGCCAAATACCTCTAGTACCTTGCTTCCCTGGAGCCGGACTAGTTCCCTATTCTGGGCTTCTGAGATACCTCTCTCCCTGGGGAGTGCAGTCATCCATGTACCCACTCCCCCCCGGCCCAAACTAGAGCTGTGCTTTGCCATTCTGGGATACTTGCTGTTGCTACACATGGCTGTAAAGAGTCTAGAATGCTGCTAAGCCCCACCATTCCAGGGTCTATGGTCACTACTGCAAAGTGCCTCATCTCCTGGGAGATGCCACTGGGTATATTTGGCTCAGGTTCTCAAATTGCATCCATACCTTTCTCCCCCTGCCCATACCTCCAGATTACCCCTTCTTCTGAGGGATCAAGGTAGTACTGTACCTTGCTCCTCAGGGGCATAATCACCACTACAACGTGGCACCTTGAACCCAAGCTGCTAGGGGGTGCCTCAGAGTCACAAATCTTGGCTTCATGGGAAACCTACATCTAATCCTGCCAAGGAGAGCAAACTTGCACCTCAAGACCCAGGTGCCATAACAGGTATGCAAGACCATAAGCCTGGGACCCTGCCCCCATAGCTGCTGTGAGCATCTAAGTATATGCTGCTGATATGAAGCACACCTCTCACCTGTAAAGACAAATATAAACTGAAAGTGAAGGGATGGATAAAAGTGATTCTGAGCAAAAGGAAATCAAAACTGACCAGGAGTAGCTATCATGATTACATCAGATAAAGGAAACTATGGGTCAAAAACTGTAAAAAGAGACAAAAAGGGACATTATATAATGATAAAGGGATCAATTCAGGAAGAGGATATGATTCTAAATATATATATATTTAGATATATAAAAATAAATACATATATACATATAAATATACATATTTAGATATATATCTATATATCTAAATGTATATATATTTAGATATATAAAAATACATATATCTATAATATATATAACTATATATAACTATATATTTATAACTATATATAACTATATATTTATATTTATATATATTATATATAACTATATATAAAAATATATAGCTATTTATATATAACTATTTATATATAACTATATATAACTCTATATATTCATATATAACTATATAGTTATATATAGTCATATATAACTATATATGTTTATATAAATATAAATATAAATATAATATATTTATATATATATATTTATCTCCAAACCTGGAGCACTCAGATGCATAAAGCAAATGTTATTAATCCTAAAGGAAGAGATAGCCTCTAATACAGTAATAGTTGGGGACTTCAATGCCCCACTGTCAGCACTGGAGAGATCATCTGGACAGAAAATCAACATTATGAACATTAAATTTAAATTGCAATTCAGACCAAATGGACTTAGCAGACATTTACAGAACGTTTCATCCAACAGCTGCAGAATATACATCTTCAGCAACCCTGAGCAAAAAGAATAAAGCTGAAGGCATCACAGTACAGGACTTAAAAATATACTACAAAGCTATAGTAATCCAAACAACGTGCTATGGTCATAAAAACCAAACCATATGCAGGTGGCACAGAAAAGAAATAAACCTACATATTTATAGTGAAGTGATTTTCAACAAAGACATTGAGAACGTTCATTGGGGAAAGGAAAATCTCTTCAATGAGTTGTGCTGGGACAACTGGATATTCACATGCAGAAAAGGAAACTGGATATCTATATTTCACCATATACAAAAGTCAACTCAAAATGGATTAAAGACTAAAATGTAAGATCTGAAACTATATAAAACTTCTGGAAGAAAACATTGGGAAATTCTTCAGAAAATTGATCTGTGTGAAGATTTTTATGGAGAAGACCTCAAAAGCACAGGAAATAAAAGGAAAAACAGACAAATGGCATTATGTTAAATTAAAAAGCATCTGTAGAGCAAAGGAAACAACCGAGTGAAGAGCCAACCTTCAGAATGGGAGAAAATATTTGGAAACTACTCATCAAAGGATTAGTATCCAGAATATACAAGGAATTCAAACAACTCAACAGCAAAATTAATAATCAAATTTAAAAATGATCATATGGGTCAAATAGACATCTCTCAAAAGAAGACATACAAATGGTCAATAGGCATATGAAAAAACTGTTCAACATCACTAATTATCAGAAAAATGCAAATCAAACCATGATAAGGTCTCATCTTACCCCAGTGAAAATGGATATTATAAAAAAAACAACAGAAACCCACCCAAAACCAAAAACATAAACAAATACTGGCAAGGATGTAGAGATAGGGGAACTCCTCTACACTGTTGGTGGGAATAGAAGTTAGTACAGCCATTATTTAAAATAGTATGAGTATGAGATTCCTCTAAAAACTAAATGTAGAGCTTCCATATGATCCAGCAATTTTACTAATGGGTATGTATTCAAATGCAAGGAGAGGCCCTAAATGCCCAGGAGGTGGTACCAAGAGCTTTCAAAGGGAGGGAGGATTAATTTAAGTGTGGGAGGATTTGCTCTGTCTTCTGCCACTGTACCCTGGCTTGAGAAAATCATATTTTGGAAAAACCCTAAATTAAACCAGCTTAATATGAACTGAGTGTTTGCAGTAACAAAGGATTCTTCTCTTTTCAAAGGAAATCTTCATCAGTGCTGTAAATATGTCAAAGACCTATTTGCACTCTGATGTTTATTGTAGCACTATAAATAGCCAAGGTATAGAACCAACTTACACGTTCACAAATAAAGAAATGAATAAAGAAAATGCTATATATATATATATATGTATGTGACACACACTCACAATGGAATACTATTTAGTGATGAAAGGGAGCAAAATTCTATCATTCACAGCAACATAGATAATCTTGGAGGATATTATGTTAAGTGAAATAAGTTAGGCACAGAAAGGGAAATACTGCATGTTCTCACTCATATGTGGAAGCTAAAAAAGTCTGACTTCAAAGAAGCAGAGAGTAGAATAGTGGTTATTGGAGGCAGGGAAGTCTATGTGGGAGAGAGGATACCAAAAGATTGGTTAATAGATATAAAAGTACAGCAAAATAGGAGGAATAAGTTCTACTGTTCTATAGCACTGTAGGGCAACTATAATTAACAACAATTTGCTGTGTATTTTCAAATATGTAGAAGAGCAGATTTTGAATGTTTCCAAAACAAAGAAATGATAAATATATGAGGTGTGAGATATGTTAATTACCCTGATTTGATCATTACCCAATGTATATATGTATCAAAATAGTACACTATACTCAATTATTTTACAGTTATTATGTGTTACAATTATTATAAATATGCACAATTATGTGTCAATTAAAAAATAATAAAAAAGAAAAAACTGTGGAACAAGAACAAAAAAAGTGGTAAGGCATGAAGAGTTTGTGTGTGTGTGTGTGTGTGTGTGTTTGCACATGCATGGTGGGGCAAATATGGAAGATGACATAATCAGTTATGAATTTAGAAAATATTACTCTATGTTGAAAATGGATGAGGGAGAGGGAAGAGCATGCTGGTAAATGGGGACAGCACAAGTTGAAGGCTGTTGCAGTTACACAAGTGCTCTGGTTTAAATATTTTTTCCTCCCCAAATTTCCTGTTAAAACTCAATCTCCACTCCAACATTGGGAAATGTGGCCTTTTGAGAGTGGTTTAGGGCCCACACCACAAGGGCCCATCCCCATGAAGAGATTAGTGTTGCCATTAAAAAGGGCTTTTGGGAGTGGGTTCTCTCTCTTCTCCTCTTCTGCCACGTAGGGACATGTTTGTCCCCTTTTGCCCTTCCACCTTCCACCATGTGAGGACTCAGCTAGAAAGCCCTCACCAGATGCTGGAGACTTGATTTTGGAGTTTCAAGTCTCCATAACTGTAAGAAAATAAATTTCTGTTCCTTGTAAATTATCTAGTCTGCAGTATTTTGTTATAGCAGCACAAACGGACTAAGATACCAGGGAAAGATTGTGGTAGCTGGAGAAAGAGATGGGTGGATAGGTTAGACGTGTAACGAGGTAAAAACAACAGGACTTGGTGTTGTACTTCAGTACGACGTTTCTACATTGTGATCTTGGCTTTAATGAATAACCAAGGGATCTGAGAAACTGTAAATTCTGAGTACAGTCTGATAAATGTGCTGTTAATATTATGAATACAGGGTTATGGTTTGGAAGAACTTGGAAAGTTCTGGAAAAGTTCTGTAGAAAAGTAAGCATTTCATCTGGTCCCTGAATGGGAAGCAGGATTTTATGAAGTGAAATTTTAGACAGAGGGACAGCATCTACATAAGAACAGTGTGAAAGTATATTTTGTTCATTTGTTTATTTGTTGATTCATTCCCCTGCAATTATTTTTGATCCCTTTATGTGCCAGACATTGTCCAAAGAACAAGCTGTCACATTCTAAATATGCAATATGATGTCTGGTAATAATAGTGCTTGGGGAATAGAAAATTATTCCACCTGGTGAGAGTGTAAGGTACACAGTGCATATGGTGGGAAATAAAGGGTTTTGATTTCTGTGCCAGGAGCTTATGACTTAAGTCTGCAGCGAGGAAGATCCCTAGAAGTTCTTCTGCAAGAGAATTTAAACAGTGCAAGTCTGGCAGCAGAGTGGCAGGAAGATTGGAGCTGGGATAGGCATGGAAGCTTCATACAGTAGGTTATGTAAGTGATGATGAGACTTTGGGTCTAATAGTAACAGGAATGAGAAGAGGACTGGATATCAGAGTACATCTGAGAGGCAGTCAGTAGGACTGGAGGAGCACCTTGGCATAAGGGATAGAGAATGCACCTGAGTCAAGGGAGACTGGATTTTCCTTGTTTGGGAACCTGGGCAGATGGTGACATGATTCACTGGGCAATATGGGAATACGAGAAATTTAAAAATAAAGATAAGCTAGTTCTGAATATGTTGAATTCCAGGTATTTGCAGTTCACTCAGATGTAGATGTTTAGGCATCTTTCCAATTCAAAACAAGAATTATGGCCTCAGGAGAGAGGTGGAGGTTGCAGATGAAAGTTTAGGAACCCTGGTAATAAGACATTATCTGACAACTGGTCATTCAAGGGTGGAGCTAGAAGAAAAGAAAATGGCCAAAAAATAGAACCCTAGAATACCTAAATTTTTGAAGGGCAGTTGAAGAACAAGAGAGATGAAGAGAACTGGATATGGAGCAATCTGGGAGGTTAATAGGGAGGCAGGAGAGTGTGGTATCCCAGAAGTTAAGTGGGGAAAGGGCATTGAGAAGAATGACATTAATGGTTAATGAAATTTAAAGACTACATATAAGGTAAGTAGAAGAGGATAAAGTAGAATTCACTGGATCTTGTAACTGTGGTATTTTTGAGATCTTTGATAGAATAATTTAATAGTGTTGAAGAATTTTTGTCCAAATAGCAAGTGGGCAGGCTAAGAAGCGATTGAAAAGAAAGGATAGAGAGGCAGTGAATGTAGGCAACTCTTTCAACACAGTGGTCTTGATGGGGAAGAGAGAAGAAGGGAGCAGAATAGGAAGGTGGAATTTATACAGAATACTTTTCTTTTATTCTTTCCAACATGGATAGGTGAAAGTTGGTCACATGTGCAGAATGAATGAAAAGGACTTTGTGATTTGTGGAGGGGGAGATACTGAAGAAAAGGCCAATATTTATTAAGTTCAGGAAACTGATTAACAACTGGAAGAACACAAGTGAAGGAGATAGGTCTGGAAAGGAGATGAGAATTTCTTGGTGACCAAGAGTGTAAGGTAAGACAATGGACAAAGGTGAGCACGGAGACTGAGGAATACGCAAGTCTCCTCAGGTTCAGTTCAGTGCTGGGCCCTCTGCTAGAAAATGCTTTGAAGCCTTATGGTATAAAAAGGGTAAAAAAACAAGATCAATTTTATTTTGGTGTATCGCTGTGCCAGTTCAGGATGATTAATGAAGACATGAGGTAAAAATGTACAAGCTGTGTCTGAACAAGTTGAGTTACTGAGCCAGCTGCTGTGGTTCTTGGATTGTTGATATGTCAGCTCAGCTCAACCATTCGTATTGCCACAGGAAGGTTTGCCTGATACTGAATACCCAATGAGGGGTCATTCACACTTGCTGGATTAAACTTGATTAAAGTAGCTTATTTGTGACATCTGAAATGCCTGTCTTTAGAATTCTATGTAATTATAGTGATGTTTAGGGACACAGGGATATCCAGTAGTCATTTAGTCTATGTTAGCTCCAGGCAAGGGAATCGCGAATACATCTTGAGCATAAAGCTCTCCCACTCTACTGTCTCCCTGGTTTCCTTTGTGAACTCTGTTCAGCTTTAGTATCCCCATCTTCTAATCCCTGTGATAGTTGAATGTCCTCAATGAGGTAAACCCGGAAGATTACAGGTCTTAAATCGGGCTCTCCTGCAACATGGAGATAGAAATTGGAAATCACGTAAGCCCCTTTTTAAAACTCCTCTCTTAATACACAGATGAGGAAACCAGGGCCCTGAAAGATAAAATGCTTTAATCGAGGTTATGCAGTAATTTTATATTAAAACTAGCACTGAAACCAGGATTCTGACCACCCTCTTTTAAGCAGGTGGCTTAATTGCTGGAACATAATGACATCTTCTATACTTTGTGATTCTTTTGTTATTGGATTCCTTTCTTGCTTCTTCAGACTTCAGGAAGTACTATTCTTAAAGGGATATAAAAGAACCAAAAAGATAAAGTTAATGACTTCAAGAAAGAAACACATGAACTAAAGGTTTTCTTTCTTGCCTTGCTTTCATTCCCTTCTGTATATACTCTGTCTATTCATTGCTATACTTACTGGCATTAAAGTCCTGAATCCTGGCTGTCTCACTGCAGAGAAGAACATATTTCCCTGGCCCTGAATGCCCAGGAGGTGATACCAAGAGCTTTCAAAGGGAGGGAGGATTACTTTAAGTATAGGAGGATTTGCTCTTTTACTATTGCACCCCACTTTGAGAAAACCATGTCTTGGGAAAACTCTAAATTAGACTAGCGCAATGTGAACTGAATGTTTGCAGTAACAAAAGAGGCTTCTCTTTTCAAAGGAAATCTTAATCAGTGCTGTAAACTTTCCTAGTACTTTGAAATGCTTATATATCAATTACTACTTGCCTGCATGAATACTTTGGAAACAAGAAGTCTAGAGAATCTCTACAGCATAGATGTTAAGTCCTGCTGTCAATTAAAAATTAATCATAAATGGTAGAAAGTATCTCTGAAAGAGAGTGGATGTCTGCAGAAAAGAAGAGGCTTTGGTTTATGAAAATTCCATTCACCGGTACTCTGGGAGCAACCCCTTATTTGAGAAATGATGAAAATTGCTTGGATTGCTCTTTTGCTCATTTCAATGGCCTCAGTGAAAGACTCCACACTATCATTTAGGAACCATGGTAACACAGTAAAATGTGAGGAGATGCAGAAAGTTTGGCTGACCATGTCAGTTCGGCTACTAAGTGCAGATAGTCATACTAGATGTGGTCTGAGGTTGCTCCCTATAGCCCCCTTGAGGCATTCACTCACAGCAGTGCTAGGTACATACATTTTCTCCAGGTCCCCAAATCCTGAAAATGCACCTTTTTGGATGACTCGAAGCTTGGTGAGGACAAACCTCCTGCAAAGAGAGTAGAAATAAAATATCACAACCTATCCATTAATAAGTAATTGAGTTGCTAATGTATTCATATCAGCAAACAGTTACCATATACTAAGTGCTTGCCATAAAGTAATGTTGAAATTGCTTTTACATTCTCTCTTTTCATCCTGTCTACAACTAGTGATACTGAAACTATTAGTCTTTCCATTTTGCATAAGGAAACTAGAGTTTAGGGAGAACAAAAAATTTACCCAGGGTCACATGGCTGATACATGACAGAGATGGAATATGAACCTTGCTTGTTCCCACTACCGTATGTTGCCTTCTGCAGCCCTGTGTGAGGCCTGTTCTCTTCCTCTACTCCAACCCCCATTACCTCTTCCTTTATTGTCATTCTCAGCTGACCTTGCCTTCTATTCCAAGATGAAAATGAAACCAATAGAAGAAAATGTCCTTATACCCTCTCAGGGCTCACTGCCTGATCAACCTGCCTGTACCTGTGCTTTATACACATTGCCTTCTCTCCTGGTACTGTGAGTGAACTCTCCAGGGTCCTAAGAATAGCTTCTCCAATATACACTAGGTCTGTTTCCCTCTCTGCTAGTCCCAGTAACCACTATGACAGTTTTCCACTTTCTTAGACACATTTCATTCACCTTTTTCCCCTTCTTTCCTGGATTCTGCTTACTGATATAAAAGCATGCCATAATGTCTCTCATCTCATCTAAAAAAAGTCTTCTCTTAACCTCAGCTGACTTCAGCTTTTGCCGTTTTCTTCTGCTCGAAATAATTGTCTCACGCTTGCCTCAAAATTCCTTCCAATGGCTCCTCATCTCACTAGGGGAAAAATCAAAGTTGTTTACAAAGGCCTTCAGTGCCCTACAAGAGCTTTCTCTTCTTTATTTCCATAGACCCTGTATTCTCAGTTTTGACAACTACCCTTTGATCATCCTGGTCTTGCCGTGGTATCCTCTAAAAATTCCTCGGACAAGCCAGGTTCCTTCTGGCTTAATGTTTCCACATTTGCGGTTCTCTCTGTTTGGAACATTTCTCTCTCAGATATCCTCATGGCTTGTTATCTCAGACCCCCATTTGCTCAAATGTTACCATTTCAGTGAAGCTTTCGCTAACCATCTATTTAAAATGATAATCTCCCAAACTTGGCCCAGACCCTCTTTCCTGCTGCTTTAATTTTTCTTCATAGCAATTCTGACATGTTATATCTTCATTTATCTATTTGTGTATCCATTTGTTTGTTTCTTCCTCCTAACTAGAATTCAAGTTCCATGAGGGCAAAAATGTTTGCCTGATTTGTTATGATTGTATACCAAATGCCTAGAACAGTGCTTAACATGATAGGTAGTCAATAAATATTTGAATGACTGAATTAAATGGCTTATTGAGCCCTCTGAAAATTCTAGGTTTGAGGTTGAAGTTACAAGTGACCCTTTGAAAATGTTTATAATAAGAATATTATTCTTTCCCCAGCCTTCTTCTCTCTGGCTTTTTCTAGCTTTGTAACTGATTAATAGGGATTTGGTTTTCTTTCATCTTTAACACGTCCTTTTACAAGGCAGTCTGTGAGCAGGAATTGTAATCAAACACCATGGACTTGGATAGTTTCATAAATATTTTATTGCTTTAGCCTTCTGTTATATATTGGTGTTAGTGAAATTTCTGTTTCAGATAGAGCTGCTACTCAGGCAATCAGGTCTTTTCTTTCACCTTGTTTGTGCTTGGCTGCTAGGTGTACCAACCCTGTGGTGATGAATCATGAGAGAGAACCCTGTGTGCTGTTGCTGCCCTGGAGCAGTTTATATACTTGCTGGGAAGGCAATACCAGAAACCTTGAAATTGCCAGGAAACAGTTGAGGGCTATAGTTGTTGTAATAGCAATAAATGCTTTACAAGGATTAAGATGAGAAAGATTCCAAAATACACAAATATATAACAGAAATATTGTCAAGAGTAGATGAGTTTTGAACCCAAGCCTCAAAAATATTAGATCATACTAAAAGCATTGTCTTTATTAAGCCATTTAAATAAAAGGTGATCTAATTTAAGATCAAAGATTATCTACTTCTAGAATATCTATCTAAAATTAATCAAAGTTAGCTCAACACCCTACCTTAATTGTACTCACTTAACCTTAGTTAATACATACAAGTTCCTTTTGTTCCTATTTAACACAAGACAGAAGAATGATGAAAATAAACCAATAAATGAAGATAATAAAATTGTTTTAAACTACGCAACACTCTAAAAGTTTTAAGGAAATTGAAACATTAAAGTAAAATATTAATTAACGAGATGCATGGAGAGTGAGGTCTTGAATAACGAACTCTTCTATTTAATAATGTCAACTACAAAGCATTTTTTGATTCAGCCCCAGTAGTGTGCATGTTTTTCTAAAATTTTCAAGGACTATGTCTGTATTAAGTAGTTCAAACTTATTAACATAATTAAATATTTTTGATGCTTAAAATCTTCACTGACCTCTATTTCCTGAAATGTTATAAACAAGATAATCTGAAGACATTTTCACGAAAAATTACCCAGAAGTCTTCTATAAAACATTACAAATATTATTTTAAATGCATAGTAGAGCTTGCAAGGATATGAGAAATCCCCAGGGGCTCAAAGTAAAGCAGCTGAATACCAGATGGAACCCTGAGCAGTGGTGAATGCAAACCAGAATTCTAAGAGGGTAAACTAAAACCAAGGAACCCTGGGGGAGTTTCTGAACTTGGAGGCTAAGGGATTTACATTTTGGTACGAAACTGGCACATGAGATGAGATGTGGAAGATGGAATGTAAAGATACATTTTCATCTCATACACATTCTAGAAAAGTATAGAATATGGAGAACTGGCAATTTAAATTACAATGAAATAACATCCAGAAATCTTTCATAACTTATAAAAGATATAAATCCTCAGATTCAGAGATCTCAACAAATCCCAGGGAGGAAAACACAAATCCACTTCCAGAAACCTATAAATTAAAACTGTAGAGCCATTAAAGAAGATATTTTAAATGCAAGTGGAGGGAAAAATATAGACTATCTTCAAATAAAAAATAATTAGAAAACCTTGTAAAAATATCTTCAAAATTATTAGAGAAAATAACTGCCAATTTAAAATTCTATAATGTAGAAAATCATTCAAATGTGAGGATAAAATAAAATTACTTCTGAACAAATTTAATTAGCTATGAATAAACTTCTAGAAAAAGAATATCTTTAAAGGATAAGAAAATTTAATCCAGGAGGAAGGCACAAAACACAAGAAGGAATAGTGAATGAAGAAATTAGTGTTTTGTATTGAATAGGTGAATGTTTTAGTTCATTTGTGTTGCTATAAAGGAATACTTGAAACTAAGTAATTTATAAAGAAAAAGTTTATTTCACTCATAGTTCTGCAGGCTGTACAAGAAACACGGCATCAGCATCTGCTTCTGGTGAGGGCCTCAGAAATCTTCCACTCATGGCAGTAGGGGAAGGAGGACAGGCATCACGTGGCAACGGATGAAGGATGAGGAAGGGAAGGGAGATGCTAGGCTCTTTTCAACAATCAGCTCTTGTGAAAACTAATAGAGTGGGAATTCACTCATTACTGCAAGGATGGCACCAAGCTGCTCATGAGGGATCTGCCCCCGTGACACAGTCACCTCCCACTAGGTCACATCTCCAACAATGGATATTTCAATATGAGATTTGCAGGAAGGAAATATAAGTGGGTTGTCATAATGGCTGGAAACCCCACCAAGTCAATAAAGAACACTAAAAACATATTGACCAAGAACTAGGTTACGAAGAAAATTAGTATTAAAAAATTACTTTCTTTGATGATGATGCTATTAAATTACTTAGAAATCAGTAATAAATATAATTAACTCTTCTCCCCCAATACACATAGACCCATGTGGAAAGAACAAAACCAAAAGCAAAGCAAACCAACCAACCAACCAAACAAACAAACAAACAAGCACCCTTTTAAGTCATACATGGGTCAAAGAAGACATCGCAATTATAATTAGGAATTATTTGGATTGACCTATAATGAAAATACAACATGTCAAACTCATTGGATATAGGTAAATTGCTACCTCTAGCAGAAATTTGTAGATTTAAATTATTGTACCAGAAAAGGAAACAAAAAATTAGATTAAAAATTAATGAGCCAAGCTTCCAATACAATAAACTACTAAAAGAAAAATAGAATTGTGGAAACAGAAAATTATGAACCCAATAATTTTTATTCCATTTTTTGCTAGAACTTAAAGTGAAACTTGAAAGTTGTTTAATAAGAAACATTGGTAAAATGAAAGACTGTTGATAGAAATGTTTGAGAAGGTAAACACTAAGGTAGACATTATAATTTCATATTAGATAAAGTTTAATCTACACTAACTTGCAATTTTGCAATTATAAGGTTAAGTTTCTCTTTGAGTTTATTGGTAACATGGGTAAGGAGCTTTCTACTAGTAGCAAAAGGTTTACTAAAATGGTTTCATGGACTCGATTTATAATTTCAACACTGAAAATGATTATTACAGAGAACTACACCTGTTTGAATGTTTACTGAAGAAAGCTGGATTTACCACTTAACATTGTAAACTCTGCTTATTATAGAAGGCTTATTTTAACCACCAACCTTCTGACAATTCATTATGACCTTGTTGATCTAGTTCTAATTAACAAATTCAAAAGGTATGTGCACATTTCCTTTAAATCAGAAATATAGATAAAGGCATTATATTTGATAAATTTTCATTTTAGAAATAAAGTAAGTGAGAATATAATAAAGTTTAGAATATTTTGCATCACAATTAACATCTTATGGATGCTTTCACATTTCCCTCTGAGAACTAGAACACGACAAGGATGCCCACTCTTACCACTTTTATTCATAATTATACTGGAAGCTCTAGCCAGAGCAATTAGGCAAGAGAAAGAAATAAAGGTCATCCAAATTGGAAAAGAGGAAGGCAAATTGTTCCTACTTGCAGATTACATGATCTTATATACAGAAGAACCTAAAGACTCTACCAACAAACTCTTAGAACTGATAAATGAATTAAGTAAAGTTGTGGGATAAATTAATATACAAAATCAGTAGCATTTCAATACATAAACAACATGCTGGCTGAAAGAGAATTCAAGAAGGCAACCTCATTTACAATAGCTACAAAAAAATACCCAGGAATAAATTTAACCAAGGATGTGAAAGACCTTCACAAGGGAAACTACAGAACACTAATAAAAGAAATTAAAGAAGATACAAATGTAAAGACATCCCATGTTCATGGATCAGAATAATTAATATTGTTAAAATGACTATACCACCCAAAGCAATCTACAGATTCAATGCAATCCCTATCAAAATGGCAATGACATTCTTTATAGAAATAAAAAAACTTAAAATTTTGTGGAACCACAAAAGATACTGAATAACCAAAGCATTCTAAGCAAAAAGAACAAAATTATATGCATCACATTCTCAGACTTCAAAATATACTACAAAGCTATAGTAACCAAAACAACAAGGTATTGGCATGAAAATAGAAACATAGACCAGAAGAACAGACTAGAGAACCCAGAAAATAATCCATGTATTGACATTCAACTAATTTTTGACAAAGGTGTCAAGAACACTCACTGGGGAAAGGACAGTCTCTTCAATAAATTCTGCTGGGAAAATTGTAGATCCCTAGGCAGAAGAGTGAAACTATACTTCCACCTCTCATTCTATATAGAAATGACCACAAAATGACTCAGAGACCTAAATATAAGACCTGAAATGATAAAACTACTAGAAGAAAATGTAGAAGTGCTTCAGAGCATTGGTCTGGGAAAAGGTTTTATGAGTAAGACTTCAGAAGCACAGGAAACAAAAGGAAAAATAAACAAATGGGATTATGTCAAACCAAAAAGCTTCTTCACAGCAAAGAAAACAAAAAACAGAATGAAAAGATAACCTATAGAATGGAAGAAAATATTTGCCAACTACCCATTTGACAGAAGATTAACTCAAACATCTCAACAGCAAAAAAACAACAAATCACCACCAACAAAAAAGTTGATTAAGAAAATAAGCAAATGATCTGAACAGACATTTCCCAAAAGAAAACAACAAATACATAAAACAGGTTCCCTGATCATCAGGAAAATTCAAATTAAAACCACAACAAGATATTGTCTCGCCAGTTAGGATGGCTATCCTCAAAAGGACAACAAAATAACAAATGTTGGTGAGGATGAAGAGAAAAGGGAACACATAAATACTGTTGCTGGGAAAATAAACTAGTACAGACACTATAAAAAACAGTATGAAGTTTCATCAGTATGAAGGTTCATCAAAAGGAGCTATCATATGATCCAGCAATCCTACTACTTAGAATTTATCCCAAAGGAAAGGAAATTACTATATCAAAGAGACATCTACACTTCCATGTTTTTATTGCAGCACTACTCCAATAGCTAAGGTATGGAATCAACCTAGTTGTCCAACAGATAAATGGATAAAGCAAATGCGGTATATATACATAATGGAATACTATTTAGCCATAGAATAAAATCCTTAGCCAAAGAATAAAATCCTGTCATTTGCAGCAACATGGGTGGAATTGGAGGACATGATGTTAAATGAAACAAGCTAGGAACAGAAAGTTGAACACTGTATATTATCACTAATATATGGAAGCTAGAAAAAGTTGATCTCATAGACGTAAAAAGTATAACAGAGGATACTAGAGGCTGGGAAGGGTATGGGGACGAGAAGGATAAGGAGAGATTTGTTAAAGGATACAAAATTATAGCTAGATAGGAAGAATAATCTCTAGTGTTCTATATCACTGTAGGATGACTATAGTTAACAATAATATATAGTTGCAAATCATAAAGAAGGATATTGACGTTCCCAACACAAATAAATGGAAAATGTTTGAGATGATGGGTATGCTAATCACTCTGTTCTGATCACTCTGTTCTGATGCATTGAAACATCACTATGCTCCCCATAAATATGTACAATTATTATTTGTAAATTATAAAAAATTAAAATAAAATATCACATTGCAAGATTTAAATTTGCCTTGAGAGAGGAAACCTAAAAGAGTGGAAAGAAAGAATAAAGAGAAGAATAAAAATTCATTAAAAATAACAATAAACAAGATCAACAACAGCAAAAGCTAATTCTTTGGAAGGATTAAGACTAGAAAGAATATTTGTTTATAATCAGCAAAGAATAAAAACTGAGAGAGAAAAAAAGCACCCAAACAATTAGAGGCATGAAAGATGGCACTTAACTACAGATATAACATATTTAAATTAGAGAACTCTACAATTTTATAACATTACTTTTTTTTTTCTTTTGAGACAGTCTTGCTCTGTCACCCAGGCTGGAGTGCAGTGGCATAATCATGGCTTATTGCAGCCTTGACTTCCTGGGCTTAATTGATCCTGCCCCCTCAACCTCTCAAACAGCTGAGACTGCAGGCATGCACCACCACATCTGGCTGACTTTTGTTTTTGTTTGGGTTTTTTTGGGAGAGACAGGGTTTTACCATATTGCCCAGGCTGGTCTTCAACTCCTTGGCTGGAGTGAACCACCTGTCTCTATTTCTCAAAGTGCTGGGATTACAGGCATGAGACACCACAGCTAGACTAACAGTAGATTTGAAAAATCAGAAAACATGGATAATTTTTACAGAAATATATGCTTACAAAAATTGATTCATGAAGATACAGAAAAGTGAATAGACCTATAATTATTAACAAATTGTGTTGGTAATTTAACAGCTGTCCCCTAAAAAAATAAGGTCAGTACCATGTGATGTTAGAAGTAAATTCCACCCCTTCAAAGGAACAAAAAATCCCAATCTTATATAAACTATACCACAGACTAGTGTATTAGTCCATTTTCACACTGCTGATAAAGACATACTCAAGACTGGGCAAATTACAAAAGAAAGAGGTTTAATGGACTTACAGTTCCACGTGGCTGGGGAGGCCTCACAATCATGACAGAAGGCGAGGAGCAAGTCATGTTCTACATGGATGGCAGCAGGCAAAGAAAGAGAGCTTGTGCAGGGGAACTCATCTTTTTAAAATCATCAGATGTCATGAGACTTAGTCACTATCGTGAAAACAGCACGGGAAAAACCCGCCCCCTTGATTCAATTACCTCCCACTGGGTCCTTCCCATAACACATGGGAATTCAAGATAAGAGTTGAGTGGGGACACAGAGCCAAACCATATCATTCTGCCCCTGGCCCCTCCCAAATCTCATGTCCTTACATTTGAAAACTAATTATGCCTTCCCTACAGTCTACCAAAAGTCTTAACTCATTTCAATATTAACTCAAAAATCCACAATCCAGAGTCTCATCTGAGACAAGGCCAGCCCCTTCTGCCTATGAGCCTGTAGAATCAAAAGCATGTTAGTTACTACCTAGATACAATGGGGTAGAGGTATTGGGTAAATACAGCCATTCCAAATGAGAGAAAGTGGCCAAAACAAATTTGGCCAATTTTGGCCAACCGATGCAGGGTTGAAATCCAGTGGGACAGTCAAATCTTTAAAACTCCAAAATGATCTGTTTTGACTCCATTTCTCACATCCAGGTCACAGTAATGTAAGAGGTGGGTTCCATGATCTTGGGCAGCTCTGCCCCTGTGGCTTTGCAGGGTACAGCCTCCCTCCCATGTGTCTTCCAGCCACATGGTGCAAACTGTCGGTGGATCTACCATTCTGGGGTCTGGAGGATGGTGGCCGTCTTCTCACAGCTCCACTGGGCAGTGCTCCAGTAAGGACTCTGTGTCAGGGTCCCACCACATATTTCCCTTCCATACTGCCCTAGCAGAGGCTCTCCACAAGGGCCTCTCCCCTGCAGCAGACTTCTGCCTGGGCATCCAGGTGTTTCCATACATCTTCTGAAATCTAGGTGGAGGTTTCCGAACCTCAATTCTTGACTTTTGTGTATCTTGACTTTTGTGCTCAACATCATGTGGAAGCTGCCAAGGCTTGGGGCTTGCACCCTCTGAAGCTATGGCCCGAGCTCTATGTTGGCTCCTTTCAGCCACAGCTGGAGCAGCTGGAACACAGGGCGCTAAGTCCCTAGGCTGCACACAGTATGGGGACCTTGTTCCTGGCCCTTGAAACCACTTTTTCCTTCTAGACCTCTGGGTCTGTGATGAGAGCAGCTGCTGTGAAGATCTCTAACGTGCCCTGGAGACATTTCCCCATGTTGTCTTGGGTATTAACATTCAGCTGCTTGTTACTTACGCAAATTTACGCAGCCAGCTTGACTATTTCCTCAGAAATTGGGATTTTCTTTTCTATTGCATTGTCAGGCTGCAAATTTTCTGAACTTTTGGCTCTGATTATTTTATAAAACTGAATGTCTTCAACAGCACCCAAGTCAAGTCTTGAGTGCTTTGCTGCTTAGAAATTTCTTCCACCAGATACCCTACATCATCTCTCAAGTTGAAAGTCCCACAAATCTCTAGGGCAGGGGCAAAATGCCACCAGTCTTTTTGCTAAAACATAACAATAGTCACCTTTGTTCCAGTTACCAACAAGTTCCTCATCTCCATCTGAGACCACCTCAGTCTAAACGTTATTGTTCATATCACTATCAGCATTTTTGTCAAAGCCATTCAACAAGTCTTTAGGAAGTTCCAAACTTTCCCACATTTTCCTGTCTTCTGCCTGTTTCCAACCTCTGCCTGTTACCCAGTTCCAAAGTCACTTCCACATTTTCAGGTGTGTTTTCAGCAATGCCCCACTCTACTGGTACAAATTTACTGTTTTAGTCCACTTTCATGCTGCTGATAAAGACATTTCTGAGACTGGGCAATTTACAAAAGAAAGAGATTTAATGGACTTACAGTTCCATGTGGCTGAGGAGGCCTCACAATCATGGTGGAAAGCAAGGAGGAGCAAGTCACATCTTAAATGGATGGTGGCAGGCAAAGAGAGAGCTTGTGCAGGGGAACTCCTCTTTTTAAAACCATCCGATCTCGTGAGACTTATTCACTATCATGAGAACAGCACGGGAAAGACCTGCCCTCATGATTCAATTACCTCCCACCAGGTCCCTGCCATACTAGCCAAACCATATCAGCTAGTAAAAGAAGTAATGCTCTCCAACCCTTTTTATGTGGTTAGTGTAACATTGGTAACAAAAGTAGACAGGGACAATAAAAGGAAATAATATAGGGACAATGTGCATTTAGCAGAGTCTAAATAAATAATACATTATTATCAGCTTGAATGTGTCACAGAATTCAAGAGTTGCTAAATATTAGACAACTCTTTCAAAGAAAATTTTCATATAAATAAATTAAAAGAGAAAAAGCCACATGATTTTCTTAATAAACATAGAAAATGTATTTGATAAAAATGGAAATCTATCACAATAAAAGTTTTTAAGAAAAAAATTCTTAATCTGATAAGGGGTAATTCGATTAAACACTAAAATAAATATACTGAATGGAGAAATTTTAGACACATTCCGCTTAAAATTGGAATGAGACAATGATGCTGTTACCTCCTCTATTTGATATTGTGCTGGATACCCTGGCCTACACAATAAGAATAGAGAAAGAAAAAGATACGTCATAATTACTACGCAATAAGAATAGAAAATGAAAAAGATATGTCAGAATTACTGATGAAAAACTATCATTACCCACAGAAAACATCATTGTTTACACACACACACAAAGCCTACTCTGTAACCAGTCTACGACATCACTATGACAGCTGATAAGAAAGTCTAGTTAGATAGCTGGGTGTATGATTAGTGGACAAAAATAACCCCCCCATATTATTTTAAACTATATCAATTACAGTGACCACAAAAGTTATACCATATCAAGAAATTAGTCTAAGAAAAAAACAGGCTCCAGGATTTAGGAGAAGTAATCAAATACTTAATTGAAAAAAAATAAAAACCCTAAACAAACAGAAATAAGCACATTTATAAGTGGTAAGTTTCAATGTTGTGAAGATAATCAGTTTAATCCACATCAGTATATAAATTGAAGGCAAAACCCATCTAAAGCACAGTTGTTTTTTTGTTTGTTTTTGTATGGGTATGTGGAAATTAACTGGCTGATTAATAGTTATATGGAAGAGCAAGTTTTAAAGAAAAGCTAAAGCAATTTTAAAGAAGTAGATCAAGATTGAGGGGATTGGCATACCAGGAAATATGATTTTTCTAAAGTTAGAGTGATTAAAATATTATGATATCGACAGGGATTTAAAAAAATAGACCAATGGAAGAAAATAAAGAGCACGGAAATAAACCACAAACAAAGGAATATGATAAATGACAGTGTATCATCAAAAATCAGTGGTGGACAATATGGACTAATCAATAAAGGATGCTAAGACTATTGATTTTCCTTGTGGAGTAACCTAAGACCTTTGCTTATTACCACATTAAATCTCAATTCCAATTTTACTAAAGATATAAATAGGAAAAATTAAGACTTTAAAACTTTTAAATAAAATGTCTGTTCAGAAGACTTTTTTAAAAAAACACACAAAAATCCCGCACTAAAATTGAAAAATTAATAAATTTAAGTACACTAAACTTAAAATTTCTGTAAAACAAAGATACATAAACTGAACTGTAGTTTATGTGTAAGCGTTAGACTGGAGAAAGATATTTGCAACACATGCCAGTAAAGTATATAAAGAAATTTGCTAAATAATAAGAGAAATACAAACAACCCAGTAGAAAAATTGGCAAAAGATATGAACAGGCAATTTATAGAAGATAAAATGCAAACGATCAATAAACATGTAAAAAAAAGAAGATGTTCATCTTCAGTAGTAATCAAGAAGTGTAAACAATACTTTGACACCTTTATTCACCATTATATTGGTGAACATTGAAAGGAAAATCCCACAGTATCCATGCTGGTGAGGCAGTGGAACAGTAGGATATTTTCTACAGTCTTGATGGAAGGATAATTTGCTACAACTGCTTTCAAGAGTCATTTGTTAATATTCATTAAAGTAGAAGATACAAAATGCCCTTGGACCCAGTTATTCCATGTCCTTCTCTCTGCCACATGTACACCTGGGGTCAGACAAAACATTAATTACGGAAGCATCATTACTAAACCAAAAAACTGGAAACAACTTAAGTACCCTCAAGTATGAACATAAATACAATTAATGCACTGTGGTATATTTACACAATGCCAAATTTTAAAATGAAAAAAGGAGTAAACTGAGCTGCATGCAACCAGCTGGAAAAATTTCCAAAGTATAATGTTGAGAGCAAAAACCAAAAAGTTGATAAGATGTATGTAAACATGAACAGAATGATATTTTTATAAAGGTTAACAACATGCAAAATAATATAGTATGTTGTTTTGTATTCATGTCTTTTTATTGTGTATTTTTGATGCTTTGACATCTTCTGGCTTTGCTGACCCTGAAGAAACTGCCCCTCCCAGTGGTGGTGGCTAATGCCCAGAGACAGCAAACAACTGGTCTGTGAATGCACCTTTCATATGCAAACCAACTAATCCAAAGTCCATACTCCCAGCCATCTCCTTTACAGGGTTCTTAACACTCTGGGCCATTATTCCCCTACTCTAATTACCTAGGTCCAGGTATCTGACAACTAGGGACATCCACTACACTGCAGAGTTTGCCGAGAAGTTATTCAAACTAGCCAATCTTAAGCTGTTTACCTGGTCTCTGGCTGCCCGTTCCTATGGAAAGACAATAAGAGTTTTATCCACATTTCCCCCTTACTTTCTCTGCCTTCTGATTGACCCTACTGTTTCTTTGTGTTCCTCCTCCTGCCCCAGGGTGTGATTCCTTTCTCTTGGGTTCTGTGAGTATAACAAATTATCTTTTCAATGGTAGTTGTCTCTTGATCTGTTGGCCTCACCATTAAACAGGAATAGTAATAAAGACTAAATTTTAAAACAGGATTAAAGATGCATATATATCTCTTAAAAAATTCTGGAGATGATCAACACCAAAATCAGTATAGTCACTTCTGTGACAAGAAGTACATAATTGTATCTAAAGTATCTTATATTAAAAAAAAACAAAACTAAGCAATTATGACCAAGTGTTAAGATTTGGCAAAGCTAAGTGGTGTCTTATGGGCATTTATTATAATATTCTCTATACTTCATGCTTGAAATATTTCATAATTAATTTTCAAGATTGAAATTCTCACCAGGGCATATCCCAAGCATCATTTATTAACTCACTATTAATTCATTTGTTTTTAAACAGCTATTTAAAAGTATCATCACACCATTCTTGTCAGATAGTACCTTTACCTCCCCATAAAGTGCCTGAATGATTTCTGTAAAGATTAAATAATTCACCACTATGACACTAAAAAAAATTTTTTTGTCACTATACTGCAGGTTACTTAATGTTTCTTACATGATAAATGGGGTGGGTGGAATTTATGTTTTCTTCCCTGAAATTGGGAAGCTTTATGATTCTCTTAAACTCTGTCTCTGTTAGAAATATTTCATACTTTGGGCAGTCCATTCACACTTGGCCAAATTTAATTTCCCTTTGTGGCTTAAAGGAGAACGGTTTAAAAGATTCCATAGAAAGCTTTCTGGCAGTCTGGAAGACAGCCAATATTCTTTTTGAGAAAGCTGCCTTTTTATGATGGCCCAAGTGTAAATGATACTGGGTTCTGTGTTCTTTGAATTTCACACAAGTTTAAAAGTTAAAGTTAGGCGGAGGAGCCAAGATGGCCGAATAGGAACAGCTCCAGTCTACAGCTCCCAGCGTGAGCGACACAGAAGATGGGTGATTTCTGCATTTCCATCTGAGCTTTGAAGAGAGCAGTGGTTCTCCCAGCACGCAGCTGGAGATCTGAGAACAGCCAGACTGCCTCCTCAAGTGGGTCCCTGACCCCTGAGCAGCCTAACTGGGAGGCACCCCCCAGCAGGGGCAGACTGACACCTCACACAGCCGGGTACTCCAACAGACCTGCAGCTGAGGGTCCTGTCTGTTAGAAGGAAAACTAACAAACAGAAAGGACATCCACATCAAAAACCCATCTGTACATCACCATCATCAAAGACCAAAAGTAGATAAAACCACAAAGATGGGGAAAAAACAGAGCAGAAAAACTGGAAACTCTAAAAAGCAGAGCGACTCTCCTCCTCCAAAGGAACGCAGTTCCTCACCAGCAACGGAACAAAGCTGGACGGAGAATGAATTTGACGAGCTGAGAGAAGAATGCTTCAGACGATCAAATTACTCCGAGATACGGGAGGACGTTCAAACCAAAGGCAAAGAAGTTGAAAACTTTGAAAAAAATTTAGAAGAATGTATAACTAGATAACCAATACAGAGAAGTGCTTAAAGGAGCTGATGGAGCTGAAAACCAAGGCTCAAGAACTACGTGAAGAATGCAGAAGCCTCAGGAGCCGATGCGATCAACTGGAAGAAAGGGTATCAGCGATGGAAGATGAAATGAATGAAATGAAGCGAGGAGGGAAGTTTAGAGAAAAAAGAATAAAAAGAAACGAGCAAAGCCTCCAAGAAATATGGGACTATGTGAAAACACCAAATCTACGTCTGATTGGTGTACCTGAAAGTGACGGGGAGAATGGAACCAAGTTGGAAAACACTCTGCAGGATATTATCCAGGAGAACTTCCCCAATCGAGCAAGGCAGGCCAACATTCAGATTCAGGAAATACAGAGAACGCCACAAAGATACTCCTCGAGAAGAGCAACTCCAAGATACATAATTGTCAGATTCACCAAAGTTGAAATGAAGGAAAAAATGTTAAGGGCAGCCAGAGAGAAAGGTCGGGTTACCCTCAAAGGGAAGCCCATCAGACTAACAGCAGATCTCTCGGCAGAAACTCTACAAGCCAGAAGAGAGTGGGGGCCAATATTCCACATTCTTAAAGAAAAGAATTTTCAACCCAGAATTTCATATCCAGCCAAACTAAGCTTCATAAGTGAAGGAGAAATAAAATACTTTACAGACAAGCAAATGCTGAGAGATTTTGTCACCACCAGGCCTGCCCTAAAAGAGCTCCTGAAGGAAGCGCTAAACATGGAAAGGAACAACCGGTACCAGCCACTGCAAAATCATGCCAAATGTAAAGACCATCGAGACTAGGAAGAAACTGCATCAACTGATGAGCAAAATAACCAGCTAACATCATAATGACAGGATCAAATTCACACATAACAATATTAACTTTAAATGTAAATGGACTAAATGCTCCAATTAAAAGACACAGACTGGCAAATTGGATAAAGAGTCAAGACCCATCAGTGTGCTGTATTCAGGAAACCCATCTCACGTGCAGAGACACACATAGGCTCAAAATAAAAGGATGGAGGAAGCTCTACCAAGCAAATGAAAAACAAAAAAAGGCAGGGGTTGCAATCCTAGTCTCTGATAAAACAGACTTCAAACCAACAAAGATCAAAAGAGACAAAGAAGGCCATTACATAATGGTAAAGGGATCAATTCAACAAGAAGAGCTAACTATCCTAAATATATATGCACCCAATACAGGAGCACCCAGATGCATAAAGCAAGTCCTGAGTGACCTACAAAGAGACTTAGACTCCCACACATTAATAATGGGAGACTTTAACATCCCACTGTCAACATTAGACAGATCAACGAGACAGAAAGTCAAAAAGGATACCCAGGAATTGAACTCAGCTCTGCACCAAGCAGACCTAATAGACATCTACAGAACTCTCCACCCCAAATCAACAGAATATACATTTTTTTCAGCACCACACCACACCTATTCCAAAATTGACCACATACTTGGAAGTAAAGCTCTCCTCAGCAAATGTAGAAGAACAGAAATTGTAACAAACTATCTCTCAGACCACAGTGCAATCAAACTAGAACTCAGCATTAAGAATCTCACTCAAAACCGCTCAACTACATGGAAACTGAACAACCTGCCCCTGAATGACTACTGGGTACATAACGAAATGAAGGCAGAAATAAAGATGTTCTTTGAAACCAACGAGAACAAAGACACAACATACCAGAATCTCTGGGACGCATTCAAAGCAGTGTGTAGAGGGAAATTTATAGCACTAAATGCCCACAAGAGAAAGTAGGAAAGATTCACAGTTGACACCCTAACATCACAATTAAAGGAACTAGAAAAGCAAGAGCAAACACATTCAAAAGCTAGCAGAAGGCAAGAAATAACTAAAATCAGAGCAGAACTGAAGGAAATAGAGACAAAAAAACCTTTCAAAAAATTAATGAATCCAGGAGCTGGTTTTCTGAAAGGATCAACAAAATTGATAGACCGCTAGCAAGACTAATAAAGAAAAAAAGAGAGAAGAATTCAGTAGACGCAATAAAAAATGATAAAGGGGATATCATCACCGATCCCACAGAAATACAAACTACCATCAGAGAATACTACAAACACCTCTATGCAAATAAACTAGAAAATCTAGAAGAAATGGATAAATTTCTGGACACATACACTCTCCCAAGACTAAACCAGGAAGAAGTTGAATCTCTGAATAGACCAATAACAGGATCTGAAATTGTGGCAATAATCAATAGCTTACCAACCAAAAAGAGTCCAGGACCAGATGGATTCACAGCTGAATTCTACCAGAGGTACAAGGAGGAACTGGTACCATTCCTTCTGAAACTATTCCAATCAATAGAAAAAGACGGAATCCTCCCTAACTCATTTTATGAGGCCAGCATCATCCTGATACCAAAGCCTGGTAGAGACACAACAAAAAAAGAGAATTTTAGACCAATATCTTTGATGAACATTGATGCAAAAATCCTCAATAAAATACTGGCAAACTGAATCCAGCAGCACATCAAAAAGCTTATCCACCATGATCAAGTGGGCTTCATCCCTGGGATGCAAGGCTGGTTCAATATATGCAAATCAATAAATGTAATCCAGCATATAAACAGAACCAAAGACAAAACCCACATGATTATCTCGATAGATGCAGAAAAGGCCTTTGACAAAATTCAACAACCTTCATGCTAAAAACTCTCAATAAATTAGGTATTGATGGGACGTATCTCAAAATAATAAGAGCTATCTATGACAAACCCACAGCCAATATCATACTGAATGGGCAAAAACTGGAAGCATTCCCTTTGAAAACTGGCACAACGAAGGGATGCCCTCTCTCACCACTACTATTCAACATAGTGTTGGAAGTTCTGGCCAGGGCAATTAGGCAGAGCTTTACTTCCAACTATGTGGTCAATTTTGGAATAGGTGTGGTGTGGTGATTCCTCAGGGATCTAGAACTAGAAATACCATTTGACCCAGCCATCCCATTACTGGGTATATACCCAAAGGACTATAAATCATGCTGCTATAAAGACACATGCACACGTATGTTTATTGGGGCACTATTCACAATAGCAAAGACTTGGAACCAACCCAAATGTCCAACAATGATAGACTGGATTAAGAAAATGTGGCACATATACACCATGGAATACTATGCAGCCATAAAAAAGGATGAGTTCATGTCCTTTGTAGGGACATGGATAAAGCTGGAAACCATCATTCTCAGCAAACTATCCCAAGGACAAAAAACCAAACACCGCGTGTTCTCGCTCATAGGTGGGAATTGAACAATGAGAACACATGGACACAGGGAGGGGAACATCACACACTGGGGCCTGTTGTGGGGGGGGGGAGTGGGGAGGGATAGCATTAGGAGATATACCTAATGCTAAATGACGAGTTAATGGGTGCAGCACACCAACATGGCACATGTATACATATGTAACTAACCTGCACATTGTGCACATGTACCCTAAAACTTAAAGTATAATAATAAAAATATAGAAAGGTTTTCTTAGGATATGGGAGAGCAGTTGTTATAAAGTAAAAACTACAAATGATTGGCCCATGAATGTAATCCAGCCCAAGATATGCTTTTATTTCAGCCCATACTACATTATAGAGAAATTTGAATAGGTGCCAGCACTTTACATTGTGAGAGTTCATCTAAAATTGCAGATTTATGGCTTCTCTTCAAGACAGAAAAGATGTAGCAACCCTGAGCTACACTCTCACATAATCACAATTAGCTATAATTGAGTGATGGGTGACACCTTATAAATGGCATAAGTTGTCAGTGAGTCAGAGTCCTTGCTGATTTGTTCTTCTGTCTTGTAACTTAAGACTTTGAGATTTCTGGTACCTGAAAAGCTGCAGTCCGAGTGGGCTTCAGA
Organism: Homo sapiens; assembly: GCF_000001405.40. NCBI lineage: Eukaryota > Metazoa > Chordata > Mammalia > Primates > Hominidae > Homo > Homo sapiens. The sequence continues at coordinate 49,086,516 of NC_000002.12, forward strand.
ACTCAGTGATTCTCACATCTGGCTTCATTTTATAATCACCTGCGGAAGATTTTTCATACTATAAATGCCTGAGCCTCTCTCCTGGAGGTGGGTGTGCTATCAGGCATCCTTATTTTATTTCTTATTTTTTAATTTGTGTTTTTGAGATGAAGTCTTGCTCTTTTGCCGAGGCTGGAGTGCAGTGGTGCAATCTTGGCTCATTGCAAACTCCACATGCCAGGTTCAAGTGATTCTCCCACCTCAGCCTCCCAGGTAGCTGGGATTACAGGTGCCCGCCATCATGTCTGGCTAATTTTCTTAGTTTCACCGTGTTGGCCATGGTTGGCCAGGCTGGTCTCAAACTCCTGATCTCAGGTGATCTGCCTGCCTTGGCCTCCCAAAGTGGTGGGATTACAGGTGTGAGGCAGCGTGCCTGGCCCAGGCATCCTTATTTTAAAAGATACTCATGTGATTTTCACGTGTGGTCAATACTGAGAACACCTGCTTTAGTAGAATAGCATAAAGAGCCAGCAGCAAGTTGCTCTGCTCAGTAGTTGAGGGACCCTGTGGGCAGGGTTTTTTTTTTTTTTTTTTTTTTTTTTTTACAAAGCTACTTCTATCCCATATCTCTCTCCTTTCAGTCACAGGTCAAGGCATTGGAATAACAACACAAATAAACAGGATATATACACTTTCCATTGGAGATCCTCTTCTTTGTTCAATGGAGGTTAGGCTTTTTGGTAACTGGGGCCAGATCAGGGTGGAAAGGACTCTTCTACCTCAGGTGTACACAGTACATAAATGAGGGTAGTGTATATAACAGTAAAGAAGAAGAGCATTGGATGGAAGGGAAACAAGAAAGCCAGAGAGGGGAGTCCAAGATGAAGAATCAGAAGCAGATATTGAAAGAGCCAGAGAGCATTCACTTGTTCTTTTGACAAATATTCACTGTGTTCCTATTCATATGTCTGACACTGCGCTAGGCCCTGAGGACATATGATAAAAAAGACGAAGTATCTGCCCTAATTAGCTTATGTTCTAGCCAGAGAAATAGGCAATCAGAAATAGTTTGAAAAAATAAAAGCATGTATAGTCATGAGGCAATTACTTGGAATGAAAACAGGATCAATCATGCATAAAGTAATAGAGGTAAAAAAGAAACAGTCCTTTAAAAATTACATACATATGCATAGTTGGGTGGTAGATGGATGGATGGAGACAGAGGGAGGGAGCAAGGGAAGGCGAAAGATGTGGGAGAGGACTAATATATCCTGTTATGCATTTTCAAATTATTTATTGAACATCTACGTGACACACATTATCTAAGTTTCTTAGGAAAAAAACAGTGATAAGACAGACACATTTCCTTCTCTACCAATTTTAATTATATTGAGAGAGAGATATGTGTAGTCTAATAACTATAGTATAGAGTGTGTGGTGATGATGACAGTGGTGGCATTTAGCACTAGCTGTATCAGGCACTGTGCTAAATATTTCATTTGCAGTATCTAATATAATCTTCAAAATCATCTTGTGAAATAGGTAACTATCCATACTTGTGTCCACTTATAGATGAGGGCCCTGAGCTGAGCATGGTTTATTTACTTGATCAAGGACACAGTTAGAAAGTGGCAGATGTAGTTCTGAAGCCTGTCTGGTCCCAAAGCCCATGCGCACAAGTCTGCGTGTGTATGTGGTGCAGAGGGATAAGAGAATGGGACCCAGGGCTGGTAAAGTTTTAATGAGGGCGAGGAGAATGAGTGATAACAAAACAGTTCTGGAGCTTAGATGTTTCTTTAAAAAGTAGGACCAGGTAAGAAAATTTAAAAAAAGACAGCAGTCATGCGAGGTTGTGCTGGGACTTTGAGGAAACACAAAGATGCCCCAAGAAGGGGAAAGAAGAAATTTTACCAGAAATTCTTCAGAAAGACAGTCTGGTATAAAATTAATTCAGAATTGAACTTTTGTTACTCTAGATTCTGCACCCCGGTTGGGATAATTCAGTGATGCCCTTACTTTTGCTCTGTCAGTGTGGGTAAACAGAATTCGACTTTAATGATTCACTGTAGTTTCAGGCAGAATGACAAACGCATTGTGCCTCTAAAGCAGTTCTTTAGGTGCCCTCAGTTAATATCCACCTGATTTAACTGTGAATTTTATTGACAATATTTAGCTCAAGATGCAATAATGTGAGGTGACTGTCACATAAAGGTTGGTTTGGGGCTACTTCTGCTTAGATATAGGAGGATTAACTAGGGATAAACTTCCTTTTAGAGTCCATGAACTCTGGCTGACTGACAGTCACTGAGAATGAAGTCACAAGGAAAGCTGATCACTACTCCATGAACCAAAAAGATAAATTTAGGTCTTTCATAATGCACTTAAAACTAATTTCTGTATTCTATTTAAAAGTTTCACACATTTAATCAGAAAACATATGCATTGAGTAATTATATTTTACTGACTGTGTAAAATGCAAATGTCGAACGTTCAAATGAACTGTTAGAAATAAGAACCTATGCATAAAACTATAATAGATTCAGAGAAAAGTGAAGAAGACTTAGTGCTCAGAATGCAATTGTGTATCCAAATTCACTTCTAATATAATATAATATAATATTTATTTATATGAGTTTGAGGAATGATTTATTTAATTATTTAATCTTCGTGGTGATAACCGGATTATATCTACACCTATTCCTTAAGAACAACATGTATTTCGACAGGGAGAAAGATTCCCTGAAAAATTTAATTTCCTCTGTAGGGATGGAATGAAAGCATTTTCTTTTCAGCATTGTTTCTTTCAAATATGAACCAGAGATTTTTACCAGAAATCAAGATAAATAACTGTTTTGCATCAGAAGAACGTAAAATAATATCAAGGATACATTCTGCTTCTTTAGATACTATTAGAACAGAGCAAGTCCTGAATAAATAGCATACATGTTGAAATAGAGGAAAGGCAGTTTGGCTTTTATAATACTTACTTGGTAAAAATAAATAGCATTGGCCAACAGAAACACAGAGACTCTTCATTAAAAAATACTGAAATCTATAAATGCTCATCTCCAGAGTAACCGCGTGTAACAAAACAACAGCTCATCCAGGCTGCAATGCAACAATGATATAATAGGATCAAAACCTTGCATTTAACAAAGAAAGTATGTCTCCAATTTCTGGAAAACAGTGATATATTTCATGTTACTCTAAGAATGAGATATGTGTCTTGATTTTTGACAGTTCCTAATTTGACAGTAGCTATTGATCTAAAAAATAAATATTCCTGTTAAAAGGGGTCTTTGCACTAATGTAAGCCTGAAAAATGATAGTGGAGAGCTGAGTCACTGCTAGTGATGATGCAGATTTACATAGTCTGCACCAGGCTTTTCTAATCCCGAACTGTGTGTGCAAAGCGTGTACATTCTAGCTAGCAGGGACGCTGACCACTCGAAAAAGACTTACCAGTGGCTAAAAGGCAAAAAGACCAGGAAAAATGAACTAACATTTATTGAAGCCCTATCATGTACAGGCATTTTCCAGGGTTGTTTATCACATGATCTTGCTTTTAGTTCTCACTACAGTGAAACAAAGCAAGTTTTTTCTTTTTTAACTAACATACAGTAAAATCGAGTGTGTGTGTGTGTGTGTGTGTGTGTGTGCATGTGTGTGTGTAAAATTCTATGAGTTTGAACATGTGCATAGATTCATGTAACCACCACAATCGGGATATGGAACAGCTCCATCACCACAAAACTCCCTTGGACTGACATTTTGAGGAAACACTGTCCCTCCACTTTTAACTGCTAGTAATGACCAATCTGTTCTCTGTTACTATAACTTTGTCTTTTCTAAAATGTCATATAAATGCTATCATACAGTATATAACATGTGAGACTGGCTTCTTTCAGTTCACTTGAGATTCATCTGTTTAGTTGTATAGGTCAATAAGTAGTTTGTTCCTTTTTGCTGCTGAGTAGTATTCCACTGTATGAATATACCACAGTTTGTTTACCTATTCACCTGTTGAAGTACCTTTGGGTTGTTCTTGTTTGGGGATGATTATGAATAGAGCTGCTATAAACACTTATGTGGAGGTTTCTTATGAATAGAACTTTTCATTTTTCATGATAAATATATAGTAGTGAAATTACTGGGTCACATGATAAATATGTTTGACTACATAAAAAGTTGCTAAGTTGTTTTCCAGAGCAGCTGTACCACATTGGGTTCTCAGGAGGTATTTATGAGAGTTCCAGGTGCTCTACATCCTTGTCAGCATGCAGTAGTCAGTTTTGTTTTGAGCTGTTCTGATAGCTATAAAGTTTTATCACACTGTGGTTTTAATTAGTTACGTAATGGCTACATTGTTTCCTTAGTGCTGAGCATGTTTTGTTGTGCTTATTTGTCATTCTTATATTTTTTTTGGTGAAGTGACTGATTCTTTCCCATGATTAAAAAAATTTTTTTTCTTGTTTTCTTTCTGGAGTTTTGAGAATTCTCTATATATACTAGATAGAAGTCCTTTTTTAGACATAGGGTTTACAAATATTATCTCCCTATCTGTAGTTTGTCCTTCATTCTCTTGATAGTAGCTTACATAGAACAAAAGTTTTACATTTCGATGAAGTCCAACTTACCATTTTTTTTTTAATGGATTGTGTTTTTGATGTCATGTTTTAAAACTCTTTGCCTAAAATCATGGAGATTTTCTCTAGTGTTTTTGTCTAAGTTTTTTATAGCTTTTATGTTTTATATTTAGATTTATGATACAATTTGGGAGAATTTTTGTGTACGGTATGAGGTTTAGAACATTAAAAAAAAATTTTTGAGACATGGTCTTGTTCTGTCACTCAGGCTGGAGTGCAGTAGCATCATCACGGCTCTCTGCAGTCTTGACCTCCCAAGTTCAAGTGATCCTTTCCCCTCAGCCTCTTTAGTAGCTGGGACTACAGGTGTGTGTCACCATGCCTGGCTATATTTTTTGTAGAGATGGGGTCTCACCATGTTGCCCAGTCTGGTCTTCAACTCCTGACCTCAAGTGATCTGCCCAACTTGGCCTCCCAAAGTGCTGGGATTACAGGCATGAGCCATCATGCCCAGCCAATAACAATTTTTTTAAAAACATATGCTCCAGTGCTATTTGTTTAAAAATACTATCCTTTTGCTGATGAATTACGTTAGATTTCTGTCAAAAATTAATTAGCTATAATTTTGTGGGTCTGTTCTGCTAAATGGATAGATCTATGAGTCTTTTTGCCAATGTTATGTTTTCTTGATTATTGCAGTTTTATAGTAAGTCTTTAAATTGGTTAACATGAGTTCTCTGATTTGGTTCTTCTTTGTCAAAATTATTTTGACTGTTTTAATCCCTTTACCTTTTCATATAAATTTTAGAATCAGCTAATCTGTATCTACAAAAAATCCTTCAGGGATTTTGTTTGTAATTATGTTAACCTACAGATCAGTTTGAGGAGAATTAACTATAGTGAATTTTCTGATTATGAACACAACACAGTATGGCTTTCCATTAATTAGGTCTTATTTGATTTCTTTCATCAGCATTTTGTAGCTTTCAGGATACAGATCCTGTATCTATTTTATTAGGTTTACAACTAAGTATTTCAATTTTTTGAGCAACTGTAAGTGATGTTAGATTTTATTTTTGGTTTCTAATTGTTCGCTGCTAAATTACAAATAAAAAGAATTTTTACATGTTGACTTTGCATCCTATGAATTTGTTAAACTCACTTTGTAGTTATAAGAGCGTTTTTTTGGAGACCCATTGCGTGGTTTTTCTATGTAGACAATCAGGTAATTTATGAACAGAGACAATTTTGTTCCTGTGTTTCCAATCTGAATGCCTTTTATTTTTCTTTCTTGCCTTATTACCCTAGCAAAGGCTTCTAGTACTATGTGAATAGAAGTTGTGAAAGTGGACATTCTTGCTTTTTATGTTTCACAATTAAGTATGGTGTTTGTGGTAAATGCTCTTTATCAAGCTAATAAAGTTTGCTTCTATCTCTAGTCTGCTGAATGTTTAACCAAGAATAGATATTGGATTATTTTCAAATGTTTTATCTTCTTTAATTGATTTAATCTTTTTTCTTTAGTCTTTTAATTACATTGTATAAATTATAGTGTTTGCTTTTGAATTTCTTTATTTTATTATTTTATTTTTATTTTCATTTTTGAGACGGAGTCTCCCTCTGTCACACAGGCTGGAGTGCAGTGGGTGATCTCGGCTCACTGCAACCTTCACCTCCCGGGTTCAAGTGATTCTCCTGCCTCAGCCTCCCAAATAGCTGGGATTACAGATGCGCACCACCATGCGCAGCTATTTTTTCTATTTTTAGTAGAGATGGGGTTTCACCATGTTGGGCAGGCTGGTCTCGAACTCCTGACCTTAACTAATCCACCTGCCTCAGACTCCCAAAGTGCTCGGATTACAGGCATGAGCCACCACACCCAGCTTTGGTTTTGAATTTCAACACAGTCTTGCATTCTTGGAATAAACCCCATTTGATCATTGTGAATAATTCTTAGTTTATGTTGCTGGATTGCCTTCAATCTTGCTAATAAGATTTCAGTGATTTTTCATCCATATTCATGAAGGAATATTTGTCCATAGTTTTCCTCTGTTTTACTATTTCTGTCTAATTTTGATATCAGAGTAATGCCGGCTTTGTAACATGAACTGGGAAATATCAATTAGATTTAGTTGGCTGGTAATGTGATTCATTCTTCTGTATCCTTACTGACTTTGTCTACTTGTTCATTTGATTGCTGAGATAGGAGTGTTAAAACGTCCAAATAGAGGTGTACATGTGTCTATTCCTCATTTCAGTTGTATCAGTTTGTGATTCATGTATATCGAAGAAATGTTGTTAGGTGCATACACATTTAAATCATTGTCTTCTTGACCTTTTTGTCATTCTGCAATGTCCCTCTTTTTTCATGGTAATTTTTCCTTGCTCTGAAGTCTGTGTTATCTGATATTAATATAGCCACTACAGCTATCTTTTGATTTGTGTTTACATGGCATGGCATAGTCTCTCTTTTTTCATCCTTTTATTCCAGCCTTTCTAAAACATTATATTTATCTTTTTTTTTTTTTTTTTGAGACGGAGTCTTGCTCTGTCTCCCAGGCTGGAGTTCATTGGTACGATCGCAGCTCGCTGCAACCTCTGCCTCCCGGGTTCAAGCGATCCTCCCGCCTCAGCCACCCAAGCAGCTAGGATTACAGGCGTGCACCACCACGCCTGGCTAATTTTTAAATATTTTTAGTAGAGACCGAGTTTCACCATGTTGGCCAGGCTGGTCTCGAACTCCTGACCTCAGATGATCCATCCACCTTGGCCTTCCAAATTGCTAGGATTATAGGCATGAGCCACTGTGCCTGGCTAAAGCTTTCTAAAACATTATATTTAAAATGGATTTATTTTACATAGCACATAGTTGAATATCTTTGTTGTAACTGGTGTCTTCAGATCATTTACACATAATTATTAATATCTTTAGATTTAGGTCTATCGCTTTCTAATTTGTTTCCTGTTTGTTTACTCTATATTTCATTAGTTTCCTCCTTTCTTCCTTCTTTTGGATTATTTAAATATATTTCTCTCAAATTGTATTTGACTACATATCTTCAAATAAATTTTTAAGTAGTTGCTCTAGGGATTAAACTTTTAGAATCCACTTAGAATTAATATTTTATTACTTCAATGGTAATACAGAAACCTTGCCACCACCATTAAGCTCCTCCCTCCATGTTGTAATTGTCATAGGCATTTTATTTGCAAACATTAAAAATTGCATCAGATAAGGTTATTCTTTTTGCTTTCAACTGCCAAATACATATTTAAATAATTTAAGAGGGGAGAAGAATAGTTTACTGTCTTTACGCAGATATTGTAGACATTTTGCCATTTCTGTTGCATTTCCTTTATTATTTATGTTCTGTTTCCTTTTTGTAAAATTTTTCTTCAGGATTTCCCAGCTAACAAATTATTAGTTTTCATTATTTTGAGAAAGCCTTATTTTACCTCTATTTTTGAAGTCTATTTTCACAGGACATAGAATTTGGAGTCAAAATATCTTTTCATTTAGAACTTTAAAATGTTGTTCCATGAATGGAAACAAAAACACAACATCCTGACTTATGGGATTCAGAGAGAGCAGTGCTTTGAGGAAAATGTATAGCTACAAATGCCTACGTTAAAAAAGAAGAAAAATCTCCAGTCAGTAACTTAAACTTTAAGAAATTAGAGAAACAGAAGAAATAACAATAAACAATAAAGATTAGAAGAGAAATAAAATAGAGAATAGAAAAACAATATAAAAAATCAATAAAACCAAAAGGTGGTTCTTTAAAAAATCATTATTATTGGACACTTTGATAAAACTAGCTAGAATGACTAAGAAATGAAGAGAGAAGACCCAAATTACTAAAATCAGGAATAAAAGATGGGATATTATCCCTTATAGAACAAAAAGGATTATGTGAATACTATGTAGTATTGTATGCCAACAAACTAGATAACCTAGATGAAATGGACAAATTCCCAGAAAGAATTTAATACAATTTCTATCAAAACGCTAGCTGCTTTTATTTTTCTTGGCAGAAATTGAGAAGTTGATTCTAAAATTTACAAAAATATGCAAGAAACCCATAATGGTCAAAATAATTTTGAAAAAGAGCAAAGTTGAGGACTCATACTTCATGATTTCAAAATTCACTACAGAGCTACAGTAATAAGATGTGGTAGCAGTGGCACAAAGACAAACATATAAGTCAATGGAATAGAATTGAGAGTCCGGAAATAAGCCCATCCACTTATGGGTAACTGATTTTTGACAAGGGTGATGACATTTTAATAGGGGAAAGAATAGTCTTTTGAATAAATGGTGCTGGGACAACTAAATAGGCACATTCAGAAGAAGGAAATTGAATCCCTACCTCACATCGTTTGTAAATATTAACTCGAAATTGATTAAAGATCAAATTGTAAGAGCTAAAACTATAAAACTTTTTGAAGAAAATATGAAAGTAAATATATGTGACCTTGGATTAGTCAATTGTTTCTTAAATATGATGCCCAAAGCATAAACAAAAGAAAAAGTAGATACATTGGACTTAATCAAAATTAAAAATATTTGTGCATCAAAAGACACTACCAAGAAAGCAAAAAGACAACCCACAAAATAAAATATTTGCAAATCATGTATCTGAGAAAGGTCTTTTATCAAGAATATATGAAGAACTGGTACAACCCAACAACAAAGGGACAACCCAGTTTTAAAATGGGTGAAGATTTGAAAATATATTTCTCCAGTAAAGATATACAAATAGCCAATAGACATATGAAAAGATGCTCAATATCATTAGTCATTAGGGAAATGCAGATAAAATAATCACAATGAAATGCCACTTTACATTCACTAGGATGACTGTAATTAAAAAGACAGACAATATTAAGTGTTGATGAGGATGAAGATAAATTGGAATGCTCTCACATTGGTAGTAGAAATGTAAATTAATGTAGCTGCATTAGCAAACACTTTGATAGTTCCTCAAAAAGTTAAACATTGAGTTCCCATATAATCCAGAAATACTACTCATATGTATTTATTCAAGAGTATTAAAAACATGCATCCATACAAAAATGGATATTCATAGAAGCATCATTCACAATAGTCAAAATTTGAAAACACCCAAATATTCATCAATGAATGAATGAATAAACATAATGTAGTACGGTCATACAATGGAATACCACTTGGCCATTAAAAGGAATGAAGTCCTGATAAATGATATAACATAGATGAAACTTGAAGACATTATGCTAAGTGAAAAACAGAGGTAATAGAACATATTGTATATGATTATTTTACATGAAATGCCCAGAATGGGCAAATATATAGAAACAAAAGGTAAATTACTGGTTGCCATTGGCTAGGGGGAGAAGGAAATAGGCATTGATTGCCAACGATATGGGGTTTCTTTTCAGGGTGATGAAAATATTTTGGGATTAGATAATAGAGATGGTTGCAAAACCTAGCAAATGCACTAAGAATCACTTAATTGTTCACTTAAAAAGAGTGAATTTTATGGTATATGAATATCTCCAGTAAAATATTACAACTACTGCTAATACTAAAATGTTCAATTTATTTCTGGCAACCATGGTGATATAGTTTATGTATTTTTCCTTACCAAAATCTCATGTTGAATTGTAATCCCCAGTATTGGAGATGGGGCCTGGTGGGAGGTACCTGGATCACTGGTGAATTTCTTATGAATGGTTTAGCACCATCCCCTTAGTGCTGTCCTTGTGATAGTGAGTAAGTTCTCATGAGATCTGACTGTCTAAAGGTGGGTGGCACCACTTTCTTGCTCCTGCTCTGGCCATGTGATATGCCTACTCCCACTTTACCTTCTGCCATGATTATAAGTTTCCCAAGGTCTCCCCAGCCCCAGAAGCCAAGCAATAGCCAGCACTGTGCCTCTTGTAAAGCCTGCAGAACTATGAGCCAATTAAATCTCTTTTCTTTATAAATTATCCAGTCTCAGTTATTGCTTTATAGCAATGCAAGAATGACCTAATTCACATGATTTCTGATGAGGAATCCATGGTCATTTGCTTTATTGTTTTCTTATATAAAATGTTCTGCTTTTCTGCTTTCAGTAAATTCTTTTTTTCTGTTCAGTTTCCATCAGTTTGATTGTGTTGTACTGGGCATAGATTTCTTTGAATTTTTTTTCATTTGAGATTTTCTAAGCTGTAGGTGAATCTGTGGGTCTATGTCTTTCATTAGATATGAGAATTGTAGAATTTCTAGTGATACATCTTCAAGTTCACTGACCTTTTTTCTGTCATGTTTATTATTCTGTTGAGCCCACTAGGGAACTTCACAATTTTGGCTTTTGTATTTTTCAGTGCAAGGCCAAGATGAAAGGTTTCCACAGCAGAGAACAAGAAATGAATTATCTCATTCAAGGATGAGAGGAGAACATAATTTATCTTGGATGAACTACTGTGCTAGAGAGCTAAGAAGGAATGAAGTGAAGATTTTCAAACCCCTGAGGGAGGGCTGTGCATTGCCTGAATGAAGAACCAACTTGGAAAATGTATCTCTGAGCAAGGGCTGGAATAGAATAACGTTAGGACAGAGAAAAAAGTTCTGAGGCAGATCACCCCTGCACTGTGAGAGGTACTGGTTTCTGAAGTTTAACATCGGTCCTGAAGGGGAAAGGAAAGAAGGAAACTAGAAAAGTAAGTTTTAAACTTAATTTTAAATTTTAATTGATAAACTGCTGGATTGATCTAAGTTAGTGTTTTGTTGTTAGATTTAATTCATAATAGAGAAGAAATTTAGTTTTAAGAAAAATTTGAAGTCTTTTTATTTGCACACATGGATTTTTATCTTATAAATTTATACTCTCTGCCCAAATTTTTATTAAGTTTTAAAAATATTTGGTATCTACCATTATATATCTATATTATCATTCATTCATCCAATAAACATTTATAGAAATGCAAGTTTTGACAACTATATGGCTAGTAGGGTTACGAAATAAAATAAAGATTATCCCAAATAATTTATTTTAGTTTAAGTGTGCACAGATATTTAATGGGGCATACTTACATTAAAAATGATTCCTGATTGGTTTGAAATTTAAATTTGTAATTGGGTGTACTTTTTTTATTTGCTAAATCTGGCAAGTACTAAAATACAAAGAAAAACAAGCTGTATTCTCTGTCCTTAATGGATTCACAGGCTAGTGGAGTAAACATGCATAAAAATAATTATAAAGGCACATGATAAATTTAGTGATAGAGATAAGTAAAGATATAGAAAAACTGAAGGCTGGACACTTGATTCAATCTTAGAGGATAGAATGGGGTGATATAGAGATAGTTTCCTAGAAGAAGTGATGCTTGGATTAAATCATAAAGTGTAAATAGAATTTGACCATGTGAAAGGGAGGAATGAAAAAAGACATTTAAAGTTAAGGGAACTATCTGTGGGAGGTGGCAGCCACTATATTGTCTTCAGTGAAAGATAGGTACCAGATTTTGGAGAATCTCTATGCCAGGTTACAGAGATTTGATCTTGCTACTTGAATGGAGAGGAAGGCCTGAGGTAGCAGAGAAAGAACATATTAAGAAAAGGGAATAATGTGTGTATGTGTGTGTATGTGTACATATATCTATATATATTATCCATATATTACCCATATATACTTATATATATTATTATATAATAATATGTATTTATATTATATACTTATAATAATATATATTTATAATATGTATACTTATATATTATTATATATTATATATTATATTATATATACTTTATATATAATATATACTTATATTATCCATATATTATACTTATATAAGTGTATGTATGTATACATATATATCTGCAACACACAAACACACACACACACACACATCCCACACATACACACATTAGAACTAGCAGGACTTGGCGATTCATTTGAATATGGTAAGTGTGGAAGAAAGAAGAATCACACATCTCCAGTATCATATGTAAGGTACCTCTGTGAGATCTGTGATGGGTGTCTGTGGTAGGGTGAATTGTATTTTTCCCCCAAAATATGTTGAAGTCTTTGACATGGTTTAAATGTGTTCCTACCCAAATCTCATCTTGAATTGCAGCTCCCACAATTCCCACATGTTGTGGGAGAGACCCAGTGGAAGATAATTGAATCATGGGGGTGGTTTCCCCATACTGTTCTCACAGTATTGAATAGGTCTCATGAGATCTGGTGGTTTTATAAAGGGTTTCCTCTTTTGCTTGGCTCTCATTCTCTCTCTTGCTGCTGCCATGTAAGACATGCCTTTTCCCTTCCGCCATGATCGTGAGGCCTCCCCAGCCATGTGGAACTGTAAGTCCATTAAACCTCTTTTTCTTTATAAATTACCCAGTCTCAGGTATGTCTTTATTAGCAGTGTGAGAACAGATTAATACAGTTCTAAGCTCCCATACCTGTGAACATGACCTTATTTGAAAATAGGGTGTTTGCAAATATTATAAAGTTAAGATTATGTCATACTTGATTAGGGTGGGCCCTAATCCAATATGACTGATGTCTATATAAAAATAGAAAATAGACATACAGGGAAAAGAATGCCATGTGAAGACACAGAGACACAAAGAAAGACGGCCATATGGAAATGGAAGAGATTGGAGTGATGCGTCTGTAAAACATGGAATGCCAAAGATTGCTGGCCATCACCAGAAGCTAAGAAAGAGGCATGGAACTGTTGTTCCCTTAGAACCGTCAGGAGGAATCTATGCTAACCCTAAGTTTAGCGTTCTAACCTCCAGAACTGTGAGAGAATACATTTCTGTTGTTTTAATCCACCCAGTTTGTGGTACTTTATTGTGGCATCTCTAGGCTATTAATATAATGTATAATGAGCAGTTGGCTGTATAAATCCAAAGCTAAGGAAGGGAAATGAGCTATAAATGCATATTTGTGAGCACTAATAATAATAATGGTAATAGCTCACTTTCGTAGAGCTTACTCCATTGCAGGCTCTTTTACACGTATTAACTCATGTAATCTTCACAACAAACCTATTACATAGGTACTATAATCATTCCAAGTTTCTAGATGAGGAGGCCTAAGCACAGAGCACTGAAATGACTTGTGTAAAGTTGCATAGCTATATAGAAGGTGGTAGTGCCATAATTCAGTTCTAGGAACATGCTTGCTCTAGCATCCATGCTCTTGGCATTTTGCTTTCCTGCTTGTAAGTGTGAACTGGTACCAAAAAGAAGGTGGGATTATACCCAGAGGTAGATAATGAGTATTAGCTAGTCAAACTCCAGAAATTCACAGTACTTTCTCCTTTGATTTCTTCAATTTAAATAAAATAAAATACTCAACTGTTCAGTCATCCTTGCAGCTCAGATGGCCATGTGAGACATTTCTTATGGAAAGCCTTGGAAAAGAATTTTCATTCTGGAAAAAAGGAAAGTCTCAAGACTAGAAAGTCTTTGTGTTTCTCCCAAAACCCTTACCCAATCTTCCTACCTGGATGAGATGCATGCATGCAGCACCCATCCTGTGGTCGTGAAGATGGAAGACAAATACTAAGTAAAAGTGGAGCAGAGAGAGGGATAGATCCCAGATCCCTGATCAGATCCTTAAATAGTTAGCTCTGGCTGTCTACAGCCGGGCCTTTTGTTATGTAAGAAGAATGTAGCACTATCAATCTAAATCATTATTATTCTAGGTTTCTATCACTTGTACCTGAAGGCAATTCCAACTGATACATTGAGAGAGTATTTATAGTGAAAGAAGCACTGAGGAAAGCTGACCCAAAGGAAGGGACCAGGGAAGAAAACCAGGGAAGGAGATTGAGAAAGAATGATCAGGGAGCTTCAAGGAGAACTGGAAAGTGTTGTGTTAAGAAATCAAAGGAAGTAGAGAATTTTTAAAAGCCTAGTGATAAAAATGGCAAGTGCATCAAAGAGATGTAATAAGATAAAAACTGAAACATATGCAATGGTGTAATCATTGAGAGGTCATTGGTGACTTTATTAGAAAAAATTTCTGTGCATTGTTGGGGAAGACATTTGATTGCACTGTATTGAGGAAAGATGTGGAAAAGTTAAGGAAATAAAAACAGCAAATGTAAAATAACCTTCCAAAAATTTTGGATGAACCAGGGAAGAGATGTTGGAGGGTAGCTAGAGGGAGAGAAAGTCAAAGAAAAACTTTATTTCCTGCCCAGTTGTGAGAGACTCAAACATGTTTATAGGCTGGGAAAGAAAGAGCAAGTTAGGAGAGTAGGGAAGTATAATAGGGTGGAGTCCCTCCAGAACTGGGAGTAGATGGGGTTAAGGAGATTAGAAGAGACACTAATCTTGAACAGGACTGAAAGACTCTTGTCCACTGAGACTAGAGAAAATTAAATAGACAAGGGTACGATTATAGCTAATTCTAATGATAAGAAAGCAGAAAATGAAGAGAGAAAGATTATGTCAAAGGGCACAATTTTCTAAATTACAAAGAAGGCAAGAACATTTACTCCAAGTGTGGGGGTATGGTTCAGAATAACATATGAGGAGAGTAGTAGGGATTTAGCTCCTAGTTGAAGGGGGTCTTTGTCCATTGTCTGTTGCTTATAACAGAATATCTGAACCAAATATCTGAAACTTTTCTTTATAGGTTTCAGGAATCTGAAAAATCCATAAACAATCTGAAGGAATCAGAAATCTATAAAGAAAAGAAATTTACTTCTTACATTTATGGGGTCTGAGAAGTCCAAGGTCAAGGGGCCACATCTGATGAGGGCCTTCTTGCTGGTGGGGACTCTGTAGAGTCCGAAGGTGGCACAGGGTATTATATGGCAATAGGACTGAGTGTGCTAGCTCAGGTGTCTCTTCCTCTTCTTCTAAAGTCATCAGTCCCATTGAAGCTCCCATCAGAGCCCTCATGACCTAGTCACCTTTTAAAGGCCCTACTTCTCAATACTACCACATTGGGGATTAAATTTCAGCATGAGTTTTGGAGGGGACAGATATTCAAAATAGCAAAGGGAATCAACAAAGAAGCTAATCAAGGGAAGCTAAGCATGATGGGCAGTGCAGAGGGCCACATATAGTCCAGGATTATACATACCTTTTTATATTTCTGGCTATTTGCCCAGATGTGTGCATTTCTACCAGCAGTGAATAGTGACCTGGGCATGAGGAGAAGAAGTTGAGCTGTGGCAATGATCTATAGTCATCCTCCTTTGGGACTTTGCTGGGAAGGTGTGGGGGCAGCACAGAAATACAAAAAATTTGATAATGCTGATGAGACAATAAAGCAGAAGTTCATCAAGGGAGTCTAAATCTATAAAAGGGAGGAAGGCCAAGAGGCATGTGACAGCCTGGAAGACAACTAAGACACTATGGGGTTGGAGTTCAGCCAGGAGGTCAAAATCAAGACGTATGGTGTTTACAAAAATGTGAGACTTGGTAAGTTAGGAGGTGCAGATCATAGAACAGACAAGTGCAGTCAAATGCTCACTAGGGTGGACCAGTACTGGGCAATAAATAGAATGATGTGCTCTGAAAGTGAGTGCTGAAGTTCAGTAAAGTGATAGTCTTTAATAGAGTTAACATAGTCCAGTAAATAGAAAGTCAATTTTTGAATGGATTAGCTTCATGGACATTGAAATCTAGGATGATGTATAATCTGGGATAGTACATAATCTATTATTGAGTTGTATCCGAAATAATAAAATATTATAGATTTGTTTCTTTAATTCCAACATGTAAATATTTCTACCAAAATCTCCATGATTTTCAGGATTTCTGCCACGGTTTGTTATTCTTTGGCATAAAGGTAGAGTGAGATCAAGGATGGAAAGGCATCCTTGAAATCGGATTGTAAAAGCTTTTATTCTATCTCAGTGTTTCTCGATTTTTTTCTCCCATTATTGCTTCCCTAAGGCACTTTTTAGATAGACATTTTTTCTCTAATCTTCCCCGCCTTCCCCCATGAAAATTTAATACCACAGTTATATTGTATATCTGTTTATGTATTGTATGTATATCTGTTCTTTATAATAAAAGGAGTAAGAACTGTCTTATCTCTCCTCCCCTCCCCAAAACAATTTTTGCCTCCTTGGGAGCAGTATTGCTCTATTGAGAAGAAACGTCCTAGGTTTGGACATTACTTGGAAGGAAATAGGAGCCCCTGAGGATATCTAGGAAGGGACTGATACAGAAATGCTGGTGTGGCTCCTCTTATAATTTGAAAGATCCTCTCTTCTGTAGAAATTAAAGGATTGTAAATAAACTCAGGCTCACATCAAAAAGTGGCACTGGCAAATCTCTCACAACACAGTCAGTCATAAGACAAGATTTAGAAACAAACGTAAGGCCTATTTCAGGTAGAACTACAGAGGCCTCCTCTGCTTGTCTTCTTCCAAGCCAAGAACTCAGAATTTGCCTTGCAGAACCCCTTGTGCATAGTTGTGATCCTCAGCACAGATCTAGGGGCAGGGGGCAGCCAATAACTGACATCCAAGGATGTCAAAGGGCACATTCTGAGATGGCATCCCTACAGAACCGATGGCCTGCCTCTAACGGCTGGCTCATTGGTACAGTGAGGACCTATCCCTATCTTTTAAATTGAGGGCAAAAATGGCAGGAAAGAGAGGGGAAAAGTCTCTAAAGAGTGTATCTGATTCTCTTGGCCTTACTGGAATAACCTACATAAGGGTCAGGGTTTTCCTCTCATGATGTTCAGGGATAAGAAAGACTACAGTCATGACTCTATCTATGCCCTGGATGAAATTTGGGATAAAGACAGATCATTTTATTGCATTGTGAATAGAGGACAACAGGTGCTTTGTTTGGTTTTCTTTTAGTGTGCCTTGCTGCCCCATTGGTTTTCCCCAAAGCTCAAATGTCATGGATTATTGTGACTAGGTGGGCTATGTTTTTTTTTTTTATCCTCTAAAAAGACATTGAAAGAATTCACTATTATCACTGCAATTTCAGTTTGTAAAGGCTTGGGGGAGATGATAGTATCAGTAATCATGCCAGTAAGAGTATAGGAAAGGTCATTATCTAGCAAACTCTTACCTGGAGGAAGATTAGAGTAGATTTAATCTTTGCGAAATGCTGACCCCAGGCCCAATGGCCTTGGGAAGAAAACGGGTAATCCTTGAAGCTGGCAAGTTGCTTTTCTTCAGCCTCTCAGCAGTCTGATTAGATTAAAAGGCACACCTTGACTTTCTGGTCAGCCATTGCCACTTCCTCAGCACAGGTGGAGGATTGCTATGTGTTGGGTGGAAATAGGTGATGCCACAGAGAGGCCCCCTGAACCCGAACTCTTTGTGAAGGGGGAAGAGTTTCCTTTGTTCGGTCAGAGTTCAAAACAATTCACCATGGAAAGTTGTTCGGAGAGCCATTCTGTTTCCTTTCTGTTTTATGTCCATCAAGGCTTTTCTTTTAGATAGAAAGAAAAGCTTAAGAAAATGTTCTTGTTCAGTCTTTTCTTTGCATTCTAGTCAAGCTGTATTCTTGACAGAATCAGGTTGACTTGCGAAATTAAGTGAAAAATGGTTTGCAGAAAGATATCGTGTTCCAAAGGGCATGTAGAGTGGCATGAGAAAGAGATTGGAAGATGACAAGAATGTAAAGAGGACCGAAGTTGCTTCAGCTGGGTGTTGTTTTTTGGTTCTTCTCTATCTCTGATTGCCATCCTCAATACAGCAGGGTAGAGAGAGAAGGGAGTAGTCAGCCCCATCCCAGCCCAGTATTTCCACCAGTTCTGCTTAGCCCCAGTGCCCCCTCTTGGTATGGGGTGGGAAAGAGATGGGGGGAGGGGGGGCGGGCACAGAACTCACCTGTGACAGAGAGGAGACCACCCTTCTAAAAACTTTTGAGGGCATGTAGAGAATGAGAAGGGCTTGGCAATGGAGACTTGTGAATTAAAGGTAAGAATATCCAGGCAACGAAAATAACTCTTTTGAGTTGAGAAATCCGTAGATATCAAAACTTTGGGGGAAGGGGCTCATACCATCAATTCTGGACAGGGTGAGGGCAGGGAGTGGGTACTGAGACCAATCACACTTTGTACTTTTCAAACAAACACAAACACAAATCACAAAGTTTAAGTGTGTTTTCACCAGTGTAATCTAGGTTATCTGAATATTAGGAACAGCCTTGAAAAGTGAGAAAGGGAGCCTATGTTGAAAACAAGGGGCAGTTTTCTCCCCTTTGCCTTGGTGTGCTTGGGGAGTGCTGCTTGCATTGGTATATCTCAATCATGTTGCACTGATAAACTCCCCTCCTTAGTTTTCTCCACCACCTGCTGCCTCACCAGTTTCTCCTGAGCCTGGATACCTGTTTCTTCAGTTCAAGGGCAAGGTGAGGGTTCCAAGGAAGCTTACTTTAAGTTTCTTAATGCCTTAGAAAGTCAGGCCCCTCCCCTTTTGTGCTTAAAAAACAAAGGTTGGCAATTAAACTTCAAGAGTCGTGAGGCTGGGCAAAAATAAATGGAAAAGATTTAAATGAGAAAAACAACTAAGTTTCTGCTTTCTCAGAAAGATCAGGCTCTGCAAGCTGATTCTCATCAATGTGCCCTGTTGGCTCTCATTTCCCAAAGGCCCATCCCAGTCTCCACATTGATACATTCAGTCTTTCAGGACAAAGCAGTGCTGTCTTTGTGAGCCGTGCTCTACTGCCAGCTGCCTGCAAGCTGCCCCACTCAAGGCCACTGAGCAGACAAACAAAGCTTTAGGAAGAGGTGCATCTGGATGTTTTGACCTCTCTCCACCATGTGAGGCTGGCTGTATGTTCCAAGTTGATGGAAGTTGAAGAACACTGACTCAGACAAGAGTTTCATGGCAAGGTGAGGGTTCTCCTCATCCCTCCCAATCAGCAAGCTAGACCTTACTCCCAAAAGCAAACTGGGCAGTCATAAGAAAATCACTCAATCCCTCTGGATCTCAGTTTTCTCCTCTGTAAAATGGGCATATGACTATCTGCTCTGCCTTCTGAGCAGCTTATTAGGAAGGCCAAAGGAGGGAATATTTAAGAGGTATTAGGGACAACTTTCAAGTGCAATGTCAGGAGTATGAAGAGAAGACTCTCTACCTGCCTATCTCTCCTTCCTGAGACCTCAGGCCTGAAATACCTTTAAAAGGAGGCAAGCCTTAATGCTTAACAACAAGATGACATTTGAAGTGCAAACACTGCAGGGAGAAGATATGCAAGGGCACACTTATACCTAGGAGTGAGTGACTATATCAGCGATGTCTCTGGTAGCCAAGTTTGATGGAGGAAGGAGAGAGAGAGATAGAAAGAAAGAAAAAGAGAGAGAGAGAAAGAGAGCTCCTGCAGTTGGCCAACAGATAGAGGATATGAGTGCATGGGGGAAGGCAATGATAGGGAAAAGCTTAAATTCCAGAATAACCTTCAATAATTTTACAGTTTGGCTGGAGATGGTTCCTGCCATTCAGGGATTTTCTTCAGAGGTACAGATTGAAATCAATTAAGCGAGAAGAAAGACATATTTTACCCTATTCTGTTCTTTACTTTTATACCATGTAAAGAGACAGCTTATTAAATTCAACCAAACTGCAGGCTCATGAGCATGGAGCAATGTTCTTGACACCGAATCTGTGTCACTGGCTGTTACCTACATTTTGCTCTTTAGGACTCATCCAGACAAATAAATTCAGTGTGGTTAAGTCTTCAAAGCATTGCTTGCCTGATGGTTGTGGTTCCCTCTAATCCAGAGCTTCCTAACCCCTGTACCGCTTCACAATGGTGGTCTGCGAGAAGGCTACATATGTGCAAGATGGCAAGTCCCTCAGCTCTCTGCAGCTCTGTGGGGTCTGGAGCAGCCTCTCGCCTTAAGCATCCTATTACTGACCATAATGAGCCATACCTTTATTATACTAATTTACTTGTGCCATTGTGTGAAAAAATAAGTTGGAAAGCATTATTGTAATTTGTTTTCTACAATATCTAAAGACAACTTTCTAAATGAAAATCACATTTCATCATTACCTTTCAATGACTCCTTATCACCTGTAGAATAAAATTCAAACTCCTCGCCATTTATGAACAATTCCTGTATGATCTGGCTCCTGCTTTAGCCCCTAGTCCTGTCTTCTGATCACCTTAAGCTACTTGCTGTTTCTTGATTGCACTATTTTATTCTTAGTTCCACTTTTTTTTTACATGCTGTTCCCTCTCCTTGAAATGGCCTTTTTTTCCTAGTTCTCATGGGGATTTCCTCTCTTCTTTTGAAATTTGTCTTCCATATGATCTCCTCTGGGCAAGTGCCTCAGACCTGCTTAGGCTCTGCTAAGATCACCATGCTGTCTTGCACACACCTATCTTATAGCACTTATCTTACTACTGTGACTCTAGGCTGACCTGGCTGTTTCACTCTGTTATAATTAGCCCCAGGAAAGCAGGCTCTATATTTCACTCATCTTGTGTCTTAAAAATTACAGGTGTTTAATGAGTACTTACTGGAAAATAATTAATCCATCTATGATGGTAAAGAGAAACAATTTGGTTATAGAATGAAAACTGATTAACAATGGTTAATCACAAAATTAATATTAATAGCCATTACCTTTTATTGGTAATCTACCCCTTGGCAAAAACTATTGGTAGGCTTTATATTCTTATGTTGTAGTCCTTTTGATAACACTACAAAGTAAGAACTACTATTCCCAATTTTATAGGTGAGGAAAATGAGGTTGAAAGAGACCTGGTGACTTTCACAAATTCACACAATTTCTTAACAGCAGAGATGAAGTTTGGACAAAGTATTCCTGACTCTAATGCTAGATCTCTTTCTCCTCCCAACCCATGGCTTTCAAATGAATATTGAAATATATTTTGAGTACACATTCCTTACCTGGACACATCAATAGTATGATCATGAAGGTTTTCTGTCAACCAAGAGATGCCCAGTGCAAACATTGTTTCTGGGTGTTTCTGTGAGGATGTTTCTGGATAAGACTAACATTGGACTCAGTGGGTTCAGTAGATTGCCTTCTCTAACGTGAATGGGCATCATCTAATCTGTCGAGGTCCTGAATAGAACAAAAATGTTGAGGAGGATAAATTCATCCCTTTTGCTTCCTGCCTGCCTGCTTAAGCTGAGACACTGGTCTTCTCTTAACTTTTAACTGAGATTTACACCATCGAATCCCCTGCTTCTCAGGTCTTCAGATTCAAACTGGAACTGCACTACTGGCTTTCCTGGGTCTCCAGCTGGCAGATTGTAGATTGTGAGACTTCTCAGCCTCCATGATCATGTGAGCTAATTTCTTACAATACATCTCTTCCTATATGTATATTCTATTGCTTTGGTTTCTCTGGAGAACCCTGACCTAATACAGATACATATCCATACCTGGGTTTATTTGCCCTCTGTCTCTAGCGTGTCTTTTGCCCCTCTCACTCCTTATTTTTCCCTACTCTGGCCAACCAAGCTCAGCTTAGAGTTCTGCTACCTTTGGATCTGGCTGCAAACTAGGCAGAAGGCTGAGGGCCCACTGAGTTCTCGATTGTTTCACCTATAATTCTCCTGCCAAGAGCCTCTCATGGAAAAACTGAGCATGGGAGTTTTCAAAAATGGAAGCAAAGCAGAACAAGGCATGTTTGTAAAGGGAGAATAAAGAGACTTGCATTAGTGCAGGGTGGCTTTTGAGAACATTTAGACTGAGCAGGAGAGGAGGGGTGAATTGTGGCCTGGAGGCAACGAAAATGAATGGGGATGAGAGGATATGTTTGAGGGATAGTTAAAAATGAGTCAAAAGTTTTAGATATCTAATTAGGTACGAGGCTTTAAAGAATCCTTTATATATTCATTCTCTAAAATATATAACCTAATATGTGTCATGAAGGGAACAAAGGGACAGTTAGGACCAAAATCCTGCCTTTTTGGTGCTCATAGTTCAGAAAAGCAGATGGCATTAAGCACGCCTGCTGGGCTTAAAATGTCAGAGGAGATGTCTTCACCGGGGAGAGCAGAGGAAGCAAATCTGCCTGGGATTCTGGGAATGAGACAGGAAAAGGTATGCAGGGAATATCTTGGAGATCTCCACAGATAAATTTGAGTATATTTGGCTGTGCATAAAAGGATGAGCAGAAATTCCCTATCCAGAAAGATGAGCAGTGTGTTCTAGGCCAAGGGCAAAGTTAAGAACTTTGATGAGACTGGGAAGAGTGAGCGGCTTGGTGTTGCAGGAGCAGAGTGGGTGGGGGACAGAGGAAAGAGACACTTGAGAGGGGAGTTGGTGTGAAGAGCTGCCTTTTATGCCCATCGAAAAATGTGGAGAAATGCCATGAGAGATGAAGTCTCATTTAAGTGTTTTATCTGGGTTGGGGAGAGAGGAGGTGCCATGGCCAGATTTATGCTCTTTCATACAGATAATTCTGACTACAATGTAGAGATAGACTGTAGTGGGCAAAGTTGAATGGTGAGAGAGCCTCCCCTGAGGTCAAGCGCATGGAGGACATAGTGGTTGTTCTGTTCATAGAAAGGGGAGTGGACTGGGGGGACAGTGTGGTGAAACAGGGCATCTCCTGTTTTAGCTATGTGGACCAGACATACTGAGAGCTGGTCAAATAAAGAGGCAGCCACCTGCCATGGAACTTTTCCTGCATCTACCACAAGCCTGCATAGTTCAACATCACATCTTCTAAAAATCTTCTCCAGTATCTCAGAAATTGCTTTTTCCTTTATGCCATTATGATGGGGAGATGGGAAGCAACTCTGCTAAATTAGGAACGTGAAAATAAAATTTTAAATTAGGAAAAGGATAAGATATCCTTCTGTAAAAAAGGGTAAATTCTTTCCACTTCTAAGAAATCAAGACAAATCTGTTTTGATGGGACTAGAGATAAAGAGTAAGAAAAATGCCATCCAGAATGAGAGTTGGGGCTATGCAGGTGTCAGATAATGTGAGAGCACCTGAGAGGCAGGGTCAGAACAGTTGCATGAGGAGGCCAAGAAGAGTGCATTTGGGAGCAGGGTTTGCATGTTGATATTTTGTAAACTGAGTCATGCAGGAATTCTCATGTTTTTATGTTGCTTATGCCCTTCATATTTAATATGTCATTACCCAGTGACAACAGCCAACATTAACATGGTGCTTCCTATATGCCAAGCATGGTACTAAGTGTTTTTACCTTTATTAGCTTATTTAATCCTCTCAGTATTCCATGAAGTAGGAACAATCTCCATCCACATTTTATAAGTACAAAAACTGAGGCCCATAGCAGATAAATCCTGGGAAGTGGTGGTCTCAAGATTTAAACATGGGCTGTCTGGCCCTAATGCTGACTCTTTTAACTACTTAATATACTGTCTCTGCATACTAAAGTTCAGTAAGACTTTATGTGAAGAACACTTGAATTGTAAATCATTTATTTCTAGGTGGGGATACTACATCCACCGATATTCCATAAAAGTAAATCAACTGGCACAGTTCAGGGAAAAGGAAGGGATGGAGTTTCAACATCTAGTTGTTAGTTGACTACATATTTGTCACCCTCATCATGTTTTCAGCCTCTTGAGGATCAAGGATCCTATTTCTTCTGTTTCCCTGTGACAGCTGGTAAAGGATTTTGCAAAAAGTAGGTGCCTTATAAATGCCTGTTAGTCAATTTTTCACAATTTCCCACTCTTGTCAGACTCAGCAAGCTGCAATTCCTCCCATGGTGTGGAGTTGCTGCTGGGGAATAGCTGCCCAGCCAAGGACAACATTTCCAGCCCCCTTGTTCCTGCTGGGGCTGTTCAGAACTCTGGCAATGGAATTGGGTCGAAGAGTCACCCAGACAAATAGAGATTTTTTTGGAAGGAAAATTAATTTTTGTTACATGATGCTACTGTAATTTAAGGGGACTGATTCTTACAGCAGCTAGCCTACCCTTATTAACACACAGTGGTTAATAAGGTTCTTCAAATGGAACCTTATTAATGGAATCAGTTCTTTAAATGGAAAACTGGAGTCCTGCTTTATGTATGGCCTGTGGCCATGTGGCTTGACTGGAGGCAGAAACCCCTCTGGGGACTTGTCTTTGTCTGGATTAGTTCAGTTGTCACTATCTTGTCCTTATTAAGCCATTAGGACATATGAGAGCCATGTTCTATATGTTGGAGAGAATGGCAGCCCCAGACCCCTTCTTTGACAGACAAAGGGCCATTGTATAACCAGGCATTACTTTATTCCTTCCCAGTAACTGTTCTGCCTCCTGAGCTCTTTTTTGGCCTGCCCTGTGAGGGAAACAGGTGAGGGAAATTTTTGTTTTAATCCACTGTCCATTCTTCTCCCCAGGTGTTTTCGCCTTTAAAATGCTTTTGGTCTTTGAATTCAGACCGATTATAGTTTTTGCCAAAAGAATAATCATCTACTTGCAGCTCAGCTGGTCACTTCATTTCTCCAGCGGGCCGAGGAAAGTATTATTATTAGACAATTTTTCTTCTCTCTAAGGGGAAAGAGCAGTGATTTGTTCCTCTGTTCAGGTCTCAAAAGAAGGTGAAAAATATACTTTTCCTGGTGGCTTTTGTCTGAACAGTCTGCACAGTGCTGGAAGGAGCCGTTGTTGCCTGGACGGCGGGTTTATTGATTGAGATCATATATGACGGGGCCTCTCTTGACATAGCTCTGCAGCTGGTGCTCCCCACGGCTCCTCAGCAAGTGTCTATTATGAGTTTTCACAGAAGGCTCTGGGAACCATAATGGCTTAGTTGGCAGGGAAAATCTCCATATTCTTTATACTTTCCTACTGAGCTCTGCTTCTGCAATGTATCTTTATCACCCCTCAGTAATTATTTCTTACTCTCAAACAGTACATTGTCTTTACAAAGTGATTCCATGTGGATCATCCCATGGGATTCTCACAAAATCTTGGTGAAGGAAGTAGGGCTGACAATATTGCCCGTAATTTATAGAAGAGGGAACTGAGGAAAAATAAAATAATTTACTCAAGGTAACACAGCTTCCAAGCTGCAGAGTAGCAACTAGGATCTCTTACACATTTTTTTTCACCTCATGGTGTCACTTCTTATGGAATACGAAATTAATGCTTCGGTTATGTATGTGAACTTCCTTTAATTGGAGTCCTAAAACTCAGCAAAGAGAAAAATCCCAGCCTAACTATTACATTTCCATTCACAAAACTGCAACTAGGTGTGACCAAAGTGCTTCAGGGTAATGTATATGCATTATTATAAGACAGTGAAGTTGTGTAAGGGAAATGCCATTTTTTTCCCTAGTAGAATACACAAATATAACACACACAATAGAATACACACACAATAGAACACGGAAATATTTATGATGAAACAATAATGTCTAGGACTTGTTTTAAAATAATGCAGTAGAGGAGGATTTGGGGAAAGTTGGTAAACCTAGATGAAACAAGTTTAACCATTTACTGATAATTATTGAAGCTGGGTCTTAGGTACATTGGGGTTATTATGTTATTTGCTGTACATTTTTTAATATGTTAAAAATTTCAAAACAAAATGCTAAACCTATAAAGATGCATTGATAGGTAGAGAAACCCATGTCTTTGAAGTCTTTAAGCAGAAGTAGCAGATCACTTTGTGAGTATATTAAAGAGAGTGTTAGATGTGAAGATCCCTGCAACCACTTGAACCATTGCTGACTGCTATTTAATTTTTATTTTGGAGAGAAAAATTTCCTAATAGTTAACTAAGTAACAAAGACAGTAAGACCATCTTGCCCCTATAAACTTTTGTGAACAATGCTTTATTAAGTTTTTAAGTTGCACCAAGATATTTTTATGAGCTGGCCATGCTGCGTATTTGAAAGTTACATTAGTGCAAAATGGGCCATTAGAGATCCAGTCCTGAGAACTTTTATTCCTGACACAAGTCCCAAATGCCCAGGTGGGAGGAAGCAACTGGAGGGAAAAGAAAAGCCTCCATGAATGTGGAAGGGAAAAGAAAAGCCTCCATGAGTGTGGAAGGGAAAGAAAACGGGCCACTTAATAGACCATGTATGAGGAACAGGCAGGATGGGAGCCAGGGCAGCGCTCTAGAGGTTATGACTAAAGAGGTGAAGATGGAGACAATGTGGTAAGGGTACTCTTCACTACCAGCCTTGACTACCAGTGACCTTGAGCAGATGGCACAGCACCTCCAGACATGTGGGGCTCCAAGTCCCCAGAGCTAGTTCTGCCAGACAGGGCTGAACCATTTTAACACATTGCTTATCTCATCGCCAAAACAGGGATTGGAAATCTCTGGCAGATGGCTGTATGCAGCTCTGTGCAAGTGTGGTAGGCACCAGGGGTGAGAGGCTGAGCCCTAAAAAAGCTAAATTCTAAGCTCCTATGAGTTCTTAGATCCTTGGTGCAGGAATTTAAAAGGATGATTATTTATGAAAATTGTTAATCCAGCCACATACTCACCTTATGTTCTAGGAAGCTGTGCATTTGCACAGTCAAGAAGAGAGCTAAGGTTAGCTCAGCAGGTTAGGAAACAAGATTTAAATAAAAAACCATTCAAATCTTTTTTGTTTTTGTTTTTTCTTTTGCCCAAATGCATTTTTCTCTTTTACTTTAACCCGTGAGAACAACATTTTCTTCATTTTTTATTTTCCCCCTAAACAATTAGTTTTAATTGAATTGAATAATCCTATTAGAGACGTAGCATCTGGTTTTCTATTTTGACAGTGACTTTTGTAGACAGTGGTTTCTGAATTTAAACTGTGCCAAAAAGGACACTTGTGGGGAGGTCTTGGCACCCAGGTACATAGATCCCCACAGATGCCAGATATGTTGGCAGTAAACTCTCCCCCTCTATTGATTATAAGAAAAGCTCCTTAAATGTTTTCATGCCCATTGCCTCCTGTCATCCTCAAGAGACTTCAGAGTTGTCTCAAGTGAGCCTTGTCACCCCCATTAAGAACATGGAATAATCAAGGCTTAGAGAAGTGGCAGTTTATCAAGAGCTCATTTTTCCAGCTTCCAGGTCACACCAGCAAAGCATGCTCCTTCTCCACCTGGCAGGATGGTTATACTCCCAGCCTCTCTCACTGAAGACTTGCTTCCCAGAAAATCCATCATCTTACTCCCCTCCTTCGTTACCACAGGATGACACAGAGACCACTGTGCAAACAAATAACTTTGGCACCCCAGCATCACCACATCGCCAGTACAATCACCTGCACTTAGGGAGCCTTTGCTGGCTTTCACACCACAGGGCTGAGCATTATCCAAATGCTGAACATGGTGACTGGGGGCTGATCACCTCTACATCCTGGGGAGCTTCTGTGGATGCACACATTCATTCTAGACCAAAGCAATACTCTCCCAATGCATTGCTTTTACATAACATGTCAGAACCAGCTTGCCATGATTTCCTTTGTTTATAAACCACAGTCTTGGCCATTGTGGAAGTGCTTCAGAGAAAAAAAGAATGAATGAGAAGGTTTTCACATTAACTGGAAGTTCCATCTTCAGACTGGCTGTAATACTAAACAGCCATATAACCTTGAGTAAGTGAACTACTGTTTCTGAATCTTAGTTGCCTCAACTATGAAAAATAAAAAGAGTAAGAACCCTCGTAGCATTACTGTGGTACTCAAAAGGGACAATATGTGTGAAAATACCTTGGAGAGTGTAGTAAAGACAATAGCAACAATCACAGTACTTTTATACTATTGAAGATGCCAGAAGTTGGGATGGTTTCTCTCTCACTCTGCCTTAGGGAAACTGAGGCACCCAGAATTCAAATAAAGCAGAAATTGTTGGGGGAGGGGACAATAAAAGCTTACTGGGCTCAGAGATGAATATTGTTACAATGATCATACAACCTTTGTGGTAGAATCAATGTGGTATGAGGAAATGAGGATCCTTTGAAAGGTAAGAAGATATACAGAAAAAGCAATCATTGCCCAGTGCTAAAACCAAAATGCTAGAATTTGGTTTAAACCATTTGGTTGAAAAGTTTGTTTGGCCCCATTCCTGCCCTTAGAACATGATCCAATGAAAGCCCAGTTGTGGTGGACAAGATGTGCATGGAAAGGAGCTGGCTCACTTAAACCTTAGAGTGGTATGTGGAGAAAACCTGGCATACAAGATGAAGGGGAGAAAGAAGGACTTGGCCACTGTATGACCCTTTACAGGATCCAACCAGGCCACCTGGAGGCACCGGAGCAGAGAGAGATTGTCGCATTTGGACACACTACCTTAATACCTCTGGAAATGTTTGGAACACAAACTCCGAACACAGCATTTTTTAGATGTGAAACATGTCCTTGTGATGCTTACTATTATCTCACACCAAGGTCAAGGTCATTCAACACATGTTTATTGAACACCTTCTATGGAGCAGACACTATTCTAGCTTTGTGGAAAGATGGAAAAACGGCCAGTGTGGTCATGATTTTTATAGACTGTGTAATCTCGTAAACCAATAGTTGTTAATTCGGAATAAGTGCTAGGGTAAAAACAAATATGGAGCTGTTTGTGAGAAGAGGAGGAAACTGTAAGGAAAAGTTTCTCTTGGATGTGGCTTATTTTAGGTAATTTTTTTAGTGATGGAGCTGGGATTTGAACCTAGGTGCCACATGCTGCTAGAGACAGTCTTCTTAAATCATGCTCTATTGTATCATGACAAGGGTAAAGAAATCATGCTGTCATGATCTACTGGCTCTGTTGCATCATTAGTAAGAATCAGCTGTAGTGCCAAGGTGTCTTCATTCATTTTGCTGACTGATGAAGGTCCAGTTATAGTGCAAAGTGCTGGAGCTAAAATGATGAATATGATATAAATGTTACTGTCAAGGACCTCAATCTAGGGGCAAGAGGGAATACTGCAATTTGGTGTGATATGTGCATGACATAAGTGAAGGGTGGGTTATTGAAACCCAGCAAAAGGGCCTTGTGGGGACTTGAAGCTTTCTGAGAGGAGGTGGCTCTATGGGGAATCCTAATCCTGCGTTTGATTCAGAATGAAACATGTCATCAGGGCAGAGAAGAGAGCGAGGAGACTATTTTGGGTAAGCAAACCTGCAAGTAAGCAAGATCTTGGCATTTTTTTTAGTAATTGTAGCAGAGTCATCATGGGTAGAGCAGAGGGGTGAGGAATTTGTGACAACTGAATCTGATATGTGAGCAGGAGTCAAATCAGGAAGGCTTTTATTAAGCCATATTGGGAAATTTGGACTTTGTCCTGGAGGAAAATAGGGAACCCTGAGAGGTTTTAAGCAAGGGACTAAAGTCATCAAACTTGAGTGTCTGAAGTTTTCTCCACTGCCATATGGTGGGGATGAGATAACGGCTGACCTAGGAGTTTGAAGGCTCTGACACTTGCGTTACTTAGAGGCAAGGGGGTAAGGTGGAGGATGTGGGCTTCAGCCTTAGGCAGATGAGAGTTTTAGTCTTTGTTAGGCTACTTGTAAGCTATGTGTTCTCTGAACCTTAGTTTTCTCCCCTGTAAAATGAGAATAAAAATAGGACTTCCTAATAAAGCTGTTGTGAGGATTAAATGAGGTAATGTAAATGCACATACAGTTCTCAGCACTGTGCCTAACACATGGCTAAGTACTTGATAAATGATAGTTGAAGATGTCAGCTAGAATGTTTCTTAACCTCCATGTATGTAGCCAATAGCTTTTTATGTACCCACAGTTTGCTACCATTATTCTTTAAATTTTTTCAGATTTAAATTTTATTTTTAATTGACAAATAATGGGGTACAATATGATAGTTTGATGCACATGTACATTGTAGAATGGTCAAATCAGGGTTCTTAGTGTAACTCTGTTATTTCAAGATTCTGGTCTCTTTTCCCAACATTCTGCTTTGTTGGCTCAATTAGAAGGCAAAACGAAAATAAAGGAGCATTTACTTCCTACCCCATTCTATTTCTGTTTGAGACTTTGATATGAATGGAAACATTTTCAATCCAGCTAGCTCTAAGAGGAAAAACCAAGCTTGGGAGAGGGAAGCATTCTTCCCCTTCTTTGCCTACCATTGTGTAAAACATGGCCCCAGCACTTTGTGAGCCCAGTTAGTGTTAGCTAGAATTGTTATAGGCCTGGTTAGAGTTTGGCCATCTCAAGAGCAGGTCAAGAAAAAAAGGTTCACAGGAGAAGTCTACTTCTGTTTTAGATTACAAAACAAATCACTGAGGACAACTACGGAATATCTAGCTTCTGTGTTTAATATTCACCCTTCCAGACTTCTCAGCTGCACTTTCCAAATCAAAGCAATCCTTGCCCTGACTGCCACACACATCTTTGCATCTCTGGTATGTCATCGGTGTCATTAGGGGGAACCTCTCTAGTGAATGGGACATATCATACATATTTAATGTGATAGAGCTTGCTTTGGCTCTACTATCAGGATAATAATAGTGTACTGATGAAAAGTTGGACACAAAGAAAAGTTAGTTTCTAAGTGGATAGTCATTTTATCTTTTGCTTTTCTGGAATTCAATCTGACTCATAAAAATTAGCAGCTGCTCCTGTTTATGCTGAGGAGCTATAAGAGTTCCGAAGACTGGGGTTTTATTCCAGGTAAATGGAGTGTCCTTTTTGGAAGCACTGTGCAATGAAGCTGAAGGAGAATAAAAAAGGGTCAATGATATCAAAAGCCCAGTAACTGTGTACCAATAAGTTAGGTTAAGTATAGCAGGACCAAGGAGAAATATTTTAACCTCTTCACTCCTGCCTCGCTTTCCGTTTTTCAAATTTCTTTTCTATGTGCTCTTTGCTGTTTAATTTGCTTGACCATTCTTGAAAGGGAATTATTTCAATTGTTTCACTGAGATCATGTTATCATTTGTATGTACCTCCATAAGCTCGATTTTGCGTGACAGTGATGCTCACCCATTGTAGCAAAGGGATAGAAAACCCAACATAAAGGAGAATTATAGAATTATTTTAGGGAATTATAAAGGAGCTCCACAGTTTAATCACTTAGCAAATATTGCTGAGCCCTGAACTACAAACTGGTGTATGGGATTCAGATGATTTAAAGGTGTCTGGGCCTACCTGATGAGTAGGTGTAGCCGATGGCTCTGAGGCATCTCTTTGAAAATGTTAATTTGATGGATGGTTGGGGGGAAAGAGTAAAAGCTAAAAAGGTATCTATCCACTCCAAGGTGGTGGACTTGTGCCTGAGCATTCTGCAAGAGGGGCTCCCAGCAGGAGTTGAGAGATGTATTCCCAAGGAGGAAAGGAGGAAAGGAGCAAGGAGGGGGAGGGAGCACAGAGGTTTCAGAGACACAGCCAAGGCAAGAGGCTTCTGTGAGTGGATGGCTGAATGGGGCCAAAGGGGAGAAAAGATGCTTTCTCCCCCTCCTCAACTCAACTAGTGAGCTCATTCACAAAGGGGTGCCGGCACTAGTTGCACCTTGAGAAACAGTGGCTTTTGGACCCCTGTGGCTTTCACATGGCAGCAGTGGGACCGGAGAGGTGTCATGTGAAGTGGCTTCATGTGAGACAGGAATAATACAGGGTGGTCATGGGAGAATAGAAAATTCCAGGCAGCAGTTTCAAATGACCAGCAAAAAAGAAACTGCTGAAATAGTTGCATAAGCTAGAGGCTGATAAGACCCTGAAAACCAGGATGTGGGTCACATTGGCCAAGAACAACTAGACCCAATGTGATACTAGATTTGACTTAGGTTTCACCTAGGACCTCATTATATGCTCATTAACATACCCAATCACACACCCACCAGCACCATATCCGTTCCAGGAACACCCATATTTGGTGTAAAAGTGGGTGGCACCACAGTTCCAAGAAATCTTCACCTTTTTCCAGAAATCTTTATAAATATTCCACCCCTTGGTTTTAAAGAAACCCATAAAGAGCCAAAAACCTTTGCATGGGATCCTCTCTTGAGTATACCTGCACTCCCCTTTCTTGACTATGTACTTTTTGCTTTGCAATAACTGTCTGTACTTTCACTATTTTCCCACTTGTCCTTGCATTCCTTCTTGTGATGGTGTCAAGAGCCTAGACACCAACAGGATCCAGGTCCTACCAGCGTTTGGGGACCTCCACGTTACATGGGCAGTGGACATCAGTGAGTAGGATAAGACTACTTATGGACACATGACGTGGACCCCGGAAATTTCCAGTGTAATTCAGAGATCCTTTAAGAATGAAGACTGATATTATTGGGGAATGTGATAGTGGGGCAATATCCCCAAAGGCAAGAAGCTAGAGCCTTTGTATTTCACTGTTACTTCAAAGTGATTTTTTGTTACTGTGCTTGTGAGTGTGGGCAAATTTCGGTTACATATATTGGTAAGCAGTGTTCGATAGGCAAACAATACATACTTTGGCCAAATGCTGAGACAAGAAGGATCATCTTTGTTTTTTTTTTGTTTTTGTTTTTGTTTTTTCATCCTAGTCATTTTTTCCTCTCTAGAAAGTTACATGCTGGAAACCTAAAATATTTTCTTAATTTCCCTTTTAAGCCCATCAATTCAATTTATCCAGCACCTGAAAAATTTTTTTCTTTCCTTTTTTGCAATGGCGCATTTTAGATCCTTGGTTTGTTTCGCTTTCTTTGACAAAATCTGTTATCACTGAATTATCTTGCAGGATTTTTGTACCAATATTATACAAACACTTAGAACAGATTACCACTGAAATCCCAGGTAACATATATCACCCTTGGACACGCTCCCTTTGCAGTGGTTATGATTGCAATTTTCAACATAAAACAAGTGGACAGAAATACAAAAACGAACAAAGGAATCCAGACTCAGAGTTTGTGTCTGATTTCACACTTAGAGCTGTGTGAGCCAGCATGTTGCACAACCTGGCTGAACCTCAGTTTGCCCATCTGCAAACTGGGACTAATAATAGTCTCTACATTGTAGGGTTACCGTGAGAAATCAATGAGAGAATGTGAGTACAGCAAGTGGCAGTGGCAGGCACATAGTGGGCTCTATGACGGCTCTTTAAAGTGGGAGGAGGCTGGGCATCGTGGCTCACACCTGTAATCCCAGCACTTTGGGAGGCCAGGGCAGGTGGATCACTTGAGGTTAGGAGTACCAGACCCACCTGGCCAACATGGTGACGCCCCATCTCTACTAAAAATACAAAAAATTATCTGGGCATGGTGGTGCCTGCCTGTAATCTCAGCTACTCAGGAGGCTGAGGCAGGAGAATCGCCGGGGCCAGAGAGGCGAAGGTTGCAGTGAGCTGAGATCATGCCACTGCACTCCAGCCTGGGCAAGAGAGTGAGACTCCATCTCAGACAAAAAAACAAAAAGGAAAGGAAACTGTTGCAACCTTATGCTTTAGGTACAGAATTTCATCTCCTAAGTCAGGATGGTAGTGAAATTCATTATAAATCAAAATTTGAGGAAAATGTGTTATGTTTCCCTGTGGATAATACTGATGAATTCTGCTTTCTGTTGCTGGACAGGATGGTCTTTTGTAGTTGGATGACACTTTAAAATAAGTCAGGGAAGAATCTAGCACTTCGAATTGTATTGATACAGTGATATAATATTATGTCCTTGAAAGAGCTGGAATTTGTTGGTGTAAGTTGCACTCCATAGCACTCTAGCAATCTCTAGAATCAAGAGATATTGTGCTCTAGTTGAAATAGGGCAGACCTGGAGCTAGACACACTTTCTGGGTTCAAATCCTGGCTCATTATCATACCAATTATACTTTGGACATATTATACAACCTCTCTGGCCTCACTCTCTTCCAGGAAAAGAGGCTACAAGGCCAGCTCTTTGAAAAGTTGTTTTAAAAGAGCTTACCACATTTGCTGACCTGTAGTAGATGCTGAGTATATCTCTGCTTCTTTTCCACTTTGCTTTCATATTTTTAGGTGTAAACCAATATTATATCCGTACAGGTTGAACAAATATTAGAATATGAGAGTAAGATGCATTGTGATATACCAGGAGAACACTAGTGATTTGGGGTTTTTCTTCATAGCTTAATAAATTATCAGGAATTAGAAGTCCTGTAGAGACTTTCAGATAGCAAGTGATGATAAACCAAATTATTCACCTAACATGGTCATCCTTTGAAAGAAAAATTGCTAAACCACGTGACAAGCTGTTTTGGATAATATGTGGTCAGTGAAGTTATTGTGTGTTAGGGAATAATGTGCTGCCACTTATTGAGCAGCTTCTATGTGCCAGACACTGCTGAGTGATTTCCATAACCTACCTTTGGGCTTCAAAGTTTGACAACTTTGGATCAGAATCTATTTCATTATTTATGAAGTGCATACATTTGGGCAAGTCATTTAACCTCCCTGACCTTCAGTGTTCTCTTCAGTACAAAATAATAACCTCTATTTTCCTTTGTGGAACCAAATAAGATAATGCCAAAGTGTTTTGTAAACTGTAAAGTACCCTGTAAATGGTAGCTATTATGAATTAAAAGAGCTCTCAGGAACAGAAATCTGGCCTGTATTGATGTCTCTAAAAGTCCCTAGTCCTGTGCATCTCTAGAGTTGAAAGCAGTGTGGGAAGTGGGTTAATTGTTTATTAGGTGTCTACTAGATTCCAGGTATTCTTTAGGGGCTTTCCCATACCTAGCTGAGGTTCTGTGTATCAGTGACAGACTTCTATATGACTTAATGACTTCCTTTGCCTTGCAGTTGTCATTCTGGATACCTTGGTGCTTATATAGACAGCAGCTCAAGGAAGAGCTGTGTGCATAGCAACCTTAACTCCAACATCGGAGTTTGTCACCCAAAAACTGGTTGCCACCGCATCAAAGTCCCTGAGTCTTTCATTTTTAATAGCAAAGATTTTTTTTTTTCCTTAAGAAAAATATCCATAAGGTAGTGTTTCTTCTCTGCCTCATCCTTTCGTGATCTGTATCTTCAGGACAAAAATAAACAAACACCCTTTCTTTTGACAGGATGTTTTTCCAGTTATTTATTTATTTGAGAAAATTGTCATCCAAAGCACTTCAATAAAATCTCCTTTTGTATTTACCTCCTGATAACCGCTCAGTCAGGCAACATGCATGCCACTACAAATTGCTCATAACTAAAGAATCAGAGCCCTTGCTGTAGCTTATTTTCTTTTATCCACTTTTTGGTGCTTTCCAAATCCTGGCATTGGTGGTGAGAGAGGTGAACTTTTCCTTTCTCAACTTTAGGATAAAATATGCTTTGCCTAAAGCATGTTCTGAGCATTTTCCTTTGTACTTTCATGATGGAAAGAAAGAGCTGAAAACAGACTGAC
Organism: Homo sapiens; assembly: GCF_000001405.40. NCBI lineage: Eukaryota > Metazoa > Chordata > Mammalia > Primates > Hominidae > Homo > Homo sapiens. The sequence goes on from NC_000002.12 coordinate 49,122,239, forward strand.
AGACCTACACGGGCATATTCTTGGCTTACACGGGAATGAGCTGGAGCCTTACTGATTTTGCTGACAGAACTGTCATCTTCCTAATGCATAGAGGGGGGATGGCTCTAGCCTTCTCTATGAATGGATTCACGGAGTGACAACAAGCTTATGAAACAGTGAACCAGCTTCCATGGTTACTACAGTCGGGGTCTTCTTACACTTGTCTCTTGCTCTCAATTCTCATTACCCAAAAGTCTGATCACTTCTTCCTTGAAATTGTGTCTTGGATACACTCTTTCTTCCTCATTTCTAGTTTTATCCTGGCTGAGAGTGTTGTATACCTCATGACTAACCATAATGGCCTGCATTCTGTCTCCTCCCTGTTACAAGTCTCTCCCTTTTCCAATTTGTCTTGGACACTTACCTTCAAGAGAACACTCCAGAAACATGATTTCCAACTCCTACTCCAGGGTGTGCAATAGCTTTCCATTGTCTATTATATGGAAGCTATTATTCTCTGCCTCACTTTTAAAGTCCCTCCTGGTGAAGAGGGCTGGCTCACTTCTGCTAAGATTAACACCCAGGATCTTGGGTTCCATTCTTGGCCTTGCCAAATCCTGACTCTGTCTTTGGGAAGGTCATGTCACCTTTCTAAATCTCAACTTCTACATTTATTAAATGAAGGGTGTCTTATGGTTATGAAGATATACTGGAGTCTATCTGCCTAGCCCTCTATCATCCTCTTCTCCAAGAACTGTAGTGTTCCTCTTCCCTTGCTTTCCTCCCTCCCTCCTTTCCTTTATCCTTCCTCGCCTCCTTCCTTCCTTTCCTCCACATTTTGGTTTGAGATGAGAAACATCCAAGGCATAAAGAATTTAAGAGACTTATATACCTGAGTCATATAGAGTCTATTTTCCCTATCAGGTCTATAAACTCTGTTTTAAAAGGAATCATGATTTCATGTCTCAAAATAGCTAAAAGTGAGAATTTAAAATGTTTTCAGCCAGGCGCGGTGGTTCACATCTATAATCCTAGCACTTTGGGAGGCTGAGGCGGGCAGATTGCTCGAGACCAGTCTGGGCAACATGGCAAAACCCTGTCTCTACAAGAAATGCAATAATTAGCCAGGCACGGTGGCTCACGCTGGTAGTACCAGCTACTAGGGAGGCTGAGGTAGGAGTATCGCTTGAGCCCAGGAGGTTCAGGTTGCAGTGAGCCATGATCGCATCACTGCACTCCAGCCTGGATGACAGGGTGAGACCCTGTCTCAAATTTTAAAAAAATAATCAAATGTTCTCATCACAAAGAAATGGCAAATATTTGAGGTGATGAATATGTTAATTAGCTTGATTTGATAATTCCACAGTGTATACATGTATTGAAGCCTCACATTGTTCCCCATACATTTATATAATGATTGTTTGTCAATTAAAAATAAAATACAACTTTAAAATAAAAGGAATCATGCCCTTCATGCAAGATTCAGATAACAGAGACTTCCATTCAGTGTTTCTCCCCAGGGGAGAGAGAGAGAAGGGATTCAGTAGAAGCACTGGGAGAGGACAAAGCAAGGAAGAACAATGCAGAATGTTGACAATCAAATGAGTAGTTATCATCAGGGGAGGGAGGGTTCTCTTTGCGTCTTCACTAGACATACTAGGGTATGTGGCTTAAGTCTGTAGCTGTAGGGATCTTGCTTAGCTATTAGGAGGGTTTTTTAAAGCTATTACTGAGGTATAATGTAACTCTTCAAGAGCTCTTGAGTTTTTCTTTCTTTTTTTTTTTGAGACGGAATTTCGCTCTATCACCCAGGCTGGAGTGCAGTGGCATGATCTCGGCTCACTGCATCCTCCACCTCCTGCACCTCCCGGGTTTAGGCAATTCTCTGTCTCAGCCTCCCGAGTAGCTGGGATTACAGGCACCCACCACCACGTCCGGCTAATTTTTTTTTTTTTTTTAAGTAGAGAAGGGGTTTCACTATCTTGGCCAGGCTGATCTTGAACTCCTGACCTCGTGATCCACCCACCTCGGCCTCTCAAAGTGCTGGGATTACAGCCATGAGCCACCACACCCGGCCGAGTTTTCTTTAAGTGTAAGTTTTTAGTGTAGTATTCTAAGGGCAAGGGATGGGCAAAAGTTTATCCTAGGTGGTATCAGAAAACAAAAATATAATTAATATTACATTCATATCCAAATCACAATCTTTAGGCTATAGAATTATTTTTAAAAGTATAAAGAGCTGTCTTTCCTAGTTTTACGCCTATCTCATGATCTTCATCCTCCCTGCCTTGTTTCTCCTGTGTTCTTTTCTCAACCTGGGAAACTGTAGCTCCATTTTTTTTTCAATTGTTCAGGTTTATAACCCTATAACAATTTTGACACTATTTTCTCTCATGTCCCCAATTAGACTTGTCAGTAGTCTTGTTGTCACAACCTTCAAACTATGCCCAGAATCCGACCCCTTCTCATCACCTTCTCTGTTACCACATGTATGTGATCCATCAACTCCTCTCAAATGGATTATTTTAATAGTCTCCTAAATCATCTTCCTGTTTCTCCTTTGACCTCCTTTAGTCAACAGTAATTTTCTTAAAGCTTTAATCAGATCACATCCTTTCAATTGCTTCTTGCCTCATCCTGAAAGAAAACTGGTGTCCTTACAGGGGTCCACTGGCCCCTCATTACATGCAACCTTCTCTGTTACTCTCTGACCTTATCTTACACTAATCCCTGTCCACTCATCCATTCCTGTCACCTGTCACTAACTTGTTTGTTGTTCCTTGTACAAACAGATGTGTTCCTGTCCCAGAGTCACTGCTCTTGCTTGTTTGTCATCCCTCGGATACCCACATGGTTTGGTCCTTCAACATATATAGTCTTTACTCAATTGGTTCTTTTTCTGATGGGCTTCCTGGACAGTGTATCTACCATGTCTGATCCTCCCTATTGCCTTTCTTTGTTTCGTTACTTTTTTAGTAGCATACATCATCATCTAGCATAGGGATGCTCAATCTTTTGGCTTTCTTGGATTGCATTGGAACAAGAGGAATTGTCTTGGGCCACACGTAAACTACACTAACATTAACAATAGCTGGTGAGCTAAAAAAAAAATCACAAAAAAATCTCATAATGTTTTAAGAAAGTTTACAAGTTTGTGTTGGGCTGCATTCAAAGCCATCCTGGGCCTCATGCAGCCTGTGAGCTGCAGGTTGAACACTTGATCTAGCATATTATATATCTTATTACCTATTTTTTGTGTTCATTATCAGTCATCTGCTATAGAATATAAAGTCCATGAGAGCTGATCACCTCTTCCTGCAGTCAGTTCTGTTCTCTGCTGCATCTCCAGCATATAGAGCACTGTCTCGCACACAGTAGGCAATCAATAAGTATTTGTTGAATTCACGAATGAATTGATGATATACAGTCTCTGCTTTCTTCTTGCCTTAGGAAATAACATCCAATTACCTGAGGAATCTAAAATCCATCACTGCCTCGAATTTGCAGGACTGTTGTTGTTTGTAAATATTGGACTTAGATAAGGAAAGCCAGGACCAGCTATACACTTAAATTTGAGGTGTTCCTAACTCCACAGTCTTGCCACTAGCTGTCGTGGTACAGATGAAATGTCAGTTGCTAACAGACCTAAAGACTAGGAAACTGTGGATGGCTGATGAGTTCAGTGAACCTCTGCTATTTCTCCTCCTGGAGCAGGGTCTAGAGGGCAAACTGTCCATAAATAGACACTGGGTCTTCTAGCTTACTCCTGCTGCCGCTTAATCATAACAAGCCAGAAGAAAGAGTCTGGTAGGAGAAGCAGAATTTCCACTACCCATGTGGGATTCCTAGAATCACAAATGACAAAGCAGTAAAGGATCCGTGGAATGGTAAGTTGGGAAGGTGTCTTAATCTCTTTTGTGGTGTTATAACAGAATATCTGAGACTGGGTAATTTAAAAAGAACAGAGGTTTATTTGTTACAGTTTTGGAAGCTGAAAAGTCCAAGAGTGAGGGTCCCATGTCTGTCAAGGGCCTTTGTGCTTCCTTATCCCATGGGGGAGGGTGGAAAGGCAAGAGAGCACATGCGCGTGCACACACAAAAGGAAGAGGGGGGGAGAGAGAGAGGGGGCAAGAAGGGATTGAACTCACTTTGATAACAAACACCATTCCTGCAATAATGCATAATATAACAATATTAATCCATTTATGAGGGTTCTCTGCCCTCATGACCTAGACACTTCCCATTAGGCCCCACTTTATACCATTGTTGCACTGGGGATTAAGTTTCCAACACATAAACTTTGGGGGACATATTCAAGTAATAGCAAGAGAAGAGTAAACTAGACATGAAGCTGATGGTAATATCAAATGGTTGAATGACCTCAGTTATAGTAATTTTCAGGGCTCAAGTTTTCCTTCTGTTTAGTGGGATTGGAAGGGACTGGGGATCACTATGTTCAATTCTGTCACTGTATAGAGGAATAAACTGAAGCCCAGAGAATTAGATGCTTTTCTTAGGTTATGTAATGATGTGCTCTTCGTACTGCAACCACAGCCCAGGTCTTTTCACTTCTAATCTTGGGCTCACTCCTTGTCCTAGGACACACCTCTCAAGATAGAATGTGAAAGTTACAGAGATGGTTTGCAGGCCTCCCTCACAAGGAACCATCCATGCAATATCTCTGCTTCCTAAATTCATCAGACAGAAAGAGTATTCACTTCTGTAAGCTGGTAGAGAAAGAGTGGGCAACCAAGGAGGGATTTGGGAAAACTCAGTGGAAAGAAAGGGAGGCATGTGGGAAAGATAGAATAATAACCTTGGATGAAAGACTCAGGTGCAGTGGCTCATGCCTGAAATCCCAGCCGTTTGGGAGACCGAGGCTGGTGGATCACCTGAGGTCAGGAGTTTGAGACCGGCCTGGCCAACATGGCGAAACCCCGTCTCTACTAAAAATACAAAAATTAGCTGGGCGTGGTGGTGTGCACCTGTAATCCCAGCTACTTGGGAGGCTGAGGCAGGAGAATCGCTTGAACCTGGGAGGCAGAGATTGCAGTGAACTGAGATTGTACCACTGCACTCCACCCTGGACAACAGAGCAAGACTTTGTCTAAGAAAAAAAAAAAAAGAAAAACAGAAAAAGATTCTTCCAGTAGCAAAATAAGTGAAATATCTGAGCATATAAAAGAGTAGATGAGAAGTAGCAAGAAAAGTGCATCATGGAGAAAAAGGAAAAAGAAATTGAACGTGTCCTTTCTTTCCTTCTTCTGAAATACCCTGTTTCTTTCTCAATGACCACCACAATACACACACACACACACACACACACACACCCCATGTACACACAAATACATCTCTTCCCTTATCTAAATCATCCAAGGCACAGGTCTACTGACATCCGCACGATGAAGCTTTCCTTCTCTGATACACACTCTCATCTTGCCAATCCTGCCTCTGCTACCTGTCTTGTCTGAATTCCCCTAAGACTTGTGTATCTCTTGTGGCACATTGATTTGTGCATGATTTCTTCTTCTTCTTTCTTCTTCTTCTTCTTCTTCTTCTTCTTCTTCTTCTTCTTCTTCTTCTTCTTCTTCTTCTTCTTCTTCTTCTTCTTCCTCTTCTTCTTCTTCTTCTTCTTCTTCTTCTTCTTCTTCTTCTTCTTCTTCTTCTTCTTCTTCTTCTTCTTTTTTTTTTTTGAGACGGAGTCTTACTCTGTTCCCTAGGCTGGAGTGCAGTGGCGCAATCTCCACTCACCGCAACCTCTGCTTCCCAGGTTCAAGCAATTCTCAGGCCTCAGCCTCCCAAGTAGCTGGGATTACATGATACCTGGCTAATTTTTCTATTTTTAGTAGAGATGGGGTTTCACCATGTTGGCCAGGCTGGTCTTGAACTCCTGATCTGAAGTGATCCACCTGCCTCAGCCTCCCAAGTGCTAGGATTGCAGGCATGATCCACCGTGCCCAGCCAATTTATGCTTGAACTCAAATCTCTGTCTGGTTAGTTTTTCTGTGCTTCACAGTGACTGCCTCAGTGCATACTGAACAGACACTTGTTGAATAAATGAGTGAATGAATGGGAGGATTTTCTTAAACTAATAAAGTAAAATTATAAGCATTTATAACTGATATCACACACACAAATTGAGCAATACTGAGAAAAAAGCTTGAAAAAGATTTTACTAAGAAAGCTATACCATGCACAAAATAAAGGAACATAATATTAAGAGTAAAGACAAAAGAGTAACAGGAACCTAAACCTTACAGTGAGCTGTGGCCTGGAAAAAAAAAAATGCTAACACCTACAAAGCTGACTTTTCATCTTTATTCAGGTCAAGAAGAAAAGCAAGGGATGATCAGCCTGCTGCTACTGTAACACTCACAGATAACAACACTAAAGTACCTGTCTTCTGTTTGACTTCTACCTTCTTAAGCAGGGAGAATTGTCCAGGAAGGTGTTGAATAGTCTTTTTTTTTTTTCTATAAAAATGAAGTTCAATATGTGGGAGAAGAGAGGACAGAAACAGCTAGCTGCTTTAAATGAGTCTCTGATTCAGACACAGATGAGTGGCATCTCAAAGCTCTGGAAAAACTCGGACATGTGGATAGGAAACTCCTTAATCTTTGAAGAATGACGAAAAATAGAACTGATATCAGAAGACAGGAGAATAACATGTAATGGTTCAATTTTTCAGAAGGTAGAAAACAGATTTTAGAAATTTTAGACCAGAAAATTTAACATCACTCTATTATTTTCTCACAATCCTAATTTCACATCCTCATCTTTGAAGGTCGTTAAAGCATATGAATCATCCAGATTGTTTATCTGTTTTCTTGTTTTTTTTTTTTTCAGTTATATGTTTCAAATTCATTTAAAATTTATGTCCCAAATGGTACTTTTGTTTTCACTATCTCTTTCCCCTGCCTGTCTTGCTCCTCACACAGCCCAGTAAATACCACTGCCTTCCACTGAATTGCTCATGTCACAGTTGGGTGTTTTCCTTGAAGCTGCCCTGTTCCTCACACCTCACGTCACCCATCAACACCTATTGATTCTGAGTCATCCCTTGCCTCCCTGCCCTCACAGCCAGGCCAGATAGCCTGATTTCTATTTAGTTTCTAGTCAGTAGGGGCTGCTAATTAACCCATCCACAGGATGACTTCCATGTGCTCAGAACTCTATGGAATGCAGATCTTCAGTACTAGAATAGTCAATAATCAGAATCATTTGTGTATTTCTGATTCTGATAGGATGATAAGTGCTTCTCTGTGTGCAGGGCTATTGGAAGCACTCAATCAGTCCTCACTGATGTGAGCAGCAGATCCAGAGACAGATGGGCCTTTTTGTGTACAAGACAGGGAAATAACACAGTGTTAGGATTCCTGGTCATTCTGGAGCTGAAGATGTAGCATGGTGTCCATCACTGACTGGGGGCTCCAAATCTCAAGATACTAACTGAACATTTTCAACATTATAGAGCTGTGTTTTCAAATATAAAGGATACATAAATATAAATATGAGATAATGTGTTATCTCAAAAACCTTTAGTTTATATAGTATTCTCATAAATTAGAATCCTGACGCGCCTTCAAAATTCTGTACCATATGGTCTGGCAGACCCTACTGAGGTTGAACTTCAGGAAACTTAGAGTTGTAAAACTTGATTATTTTAAAATGTTTGAGTTCAGGAAATTAGGACAATTTATAATTTCAGGTTTTTCAGAGGGAGAAAATTTTTCTATTTCTCAATTTCCTTAACATGTTTTATTTTGTTTTGTTTTAAATCTTATTTGTGCTATGTTATAAACTCTCTTTCTCAAAGGACTGTGACGTCTTTAAATGGATATGATAAATGTCTTGAGATCTTACTTCCTGGGTTCAAATCCTGGATGTACCACTTAGGCAAGTTACTTAATTACTTTGTGCCTCAGTAGCTTTTTCTGAGAAAGAGGATAATAGAGGGGTCTGCCCTGATGTTTTGCTAGGAGGAATAAATAAGGTAGTACAAGAAAGCACTTAGAGCTGTGCCTGACACACAGTACATACTTAACATGGGTGAGCCCAGTTATTTGCCTGTATTGTTATCATGTGTGGAATCTCTGCTCTGCTCCCATTTTGCTATCTGTCCTGGGGTAAATCGCTTAATCTCAGTGTCCTCAATAGCCAGGAAGGCCTGGACTCCCTGATCATTCCAAGTTCTGGCCTTGATTATCTGGTGAATGGAATACTCTGGCCTTCATTCTGCTCTCATGATAGCCATTCTGTCAGCCTAGAGAAGTAAATTTAATTTAGTTCAATACAATCCAATTCAGTTCAACTCATCTATTGAATTTAGTGCAAGTCATTAATTTCATTTATTCAAAGATATCTCTTGAGGTTTAAGACATGCATAACAGTTTCAGACCTATGCTCCTACAAATCTGAATGACTTTTGTAGCTTTACATCTTTCTTAGTGGAGAGAAAATAAGATACTTTATCCCTCAGGGGCTTAAGGGTCTCCTCCTTTAAACAATCTTTAGGAAAATGACATTCACCCAGTTGCTCTGAAATGTACTTCTGATTTCTAAATGGTTCTAATTATTCCCTACTGGTGAGGGACATTCCTCGAGGCTGGCCAACCTTCCCTGGAGGGTGTAGGAGACAAGCTACTCAACTTAGGTAAAAACAAGAAGGGGGCTGTTATAGAGTTCAAACTACAGCAAAATAAACAAAGCCCCAATTATGATTCCGGGGAGGTAAATGGGCTTCTCTATTTAGTACAAAAAAATTGATAAATTGATTTCTCTGGGAGTGTTACTTATACCATAATGATTATTGGAAGGAAGACAGCTTAACAGAGTGATGCAAAAATAAAATTAGATGAGCCATGTATCAGTAGCTGGTGGACTGCTCACCTTAAATGAAGAGTTAGAAAAATACAATAAATGGGGAGATAGGTTATTTAAAACATTTTGGTAATATTTATTATTTATACTCAGTCCTTTATTCATTTGCTATTTTCTTTCTTTAAAAGAAAGACGAGTTGAAGACCAACAAACAAGATGATAAATTCAAGTTAATTCTAGGAAAAGTTATTTATATCTAATTGGAGCCTATTTGCTTTTATGCATAAAAGACTAAGTTAACACCATGTTTAAGTAAGTCAGAAACATAGGATGTTGAATCCAAAGACCCTCTAAGCATAGTGTGATCTGAGCTAGTCCATACTGCAGGCAATAAAAACAAATAAATAAATAATCAATTATTTGCTGAAATACATTATTTCTCAATTGCAAACTAAGGCAGAGTCTATATTCAGTTTACGGAGATTTGAGAAGCCGTTTATTTTACGTCACTAAGTTTCTCTGTACCACATTTTGTTTCTTTCTACCTAAACCTCCACAAATTTTTAAAAGAACTGCATTATTTCTTGCTGTATTATCTTGAATGTAAAGATCTGACATGGAAATGCTTCAACTACCCTCTCCCCTACTCAAGCACTGTACTTGGCACATTTCTAGAAATAAAATAGATAATTCAGAGAAAATATTATTTCCTTCAGGAACAAGAACAATTTCTTTGATTTGCTCCTGTTTGACTAGTTCTCCAGAAGTTCTTTCTACCAACTATGGCTTCTCTCTTACTACCATATATTTAAATCCTTTTTTATACCCAGCACATGCCTCACCCTTTAAAGGAAGTTCCCCATCCTTTGTTTATTCAAGTGTAGTTACCTCTTCTTTTAAAGAACTTCTGAGGACTCAAATATTGCTCTGCCCATCCTATCCTTATGTTATCACGTGACAACTTGAAAAGCCTTATTCTATTTTTCTGTGTTTGTGCATGTGTGTCTTTAGCTGCATTAAAAGAGTCTATGTGTCAGGGCTGCATCCTTGGCTCTTAAATCCCAGCAAGTGGCTGTATACACTGTTTAAGTGTTTAGTAAAGATGTGTTGCCTGTAGTTACATGTTCTGGATGATGTACTGCTTTGTTTAGGGTCTCAGTGATTTGCTGTGAAGATGCTGAACTCAGGACTTTGATATAACTTTTGGCTTGTTTTCCGTTTGGCACAACTGCATGCACTCTGTTGGTGAAATTACTTCAGTCAATGTTCAGGACTGTAAATACTCAGGGAAAAGGTCATTTTTGTTTCTATCCTGCTCAGAAGAAAATAAATCTCTTCTTTCCCTTTAATCTAATAAATCAAAGGAGCACTGGAAAGCATCTTTTCAGTTGTAATTTTATTTCGATGTTTTGCTCACCATGTCACACTGTTTAAGAAACTGTTATGTCTGCCAAAAAGAACAGTTATTGGCCTTATTTTGCAGGTGATAGAGCCATTACCATTCACCAGACCAGTATTTAGGACATGCATACTGAATTATTTAACACTAATAATGCACATGGGACACATTAAAGTAAAAAATGGGATAAGTAACTTCATTGCAATAACATTTATTTCCTCCTGGCTTGCCCAACTGTTCTCTTTTGTTCAAGGGCACACCAAGAACTTCAAAGATGATAATCCTGGGTACCTAACTGCTTTGCTTCTTTCAACCACAACCCACTTACTCTCTGCTTTGCCTGGTCAAAAACATAGTTGTGGAATTGACTTCCAGCATGACAGTTTAAGGAGCTCTGCTGTCCTGTTCCACGGTGAAACTGATAAAAATTATAAAAACCAAACAAAAACTATTCAGAGTTTCTTGAAATGGTCCTAAGGGCAAAAGAGTAAATAAGAACACATTTATTCAAGAACATTTATTAAAACTCAGTAAAAAAAAAAAAAAAAAAAAAAAAAAAGGCAAGTTTGTGGTATTTGAACCAAGACCGCTTGCTCCCTCTCCTCTCATCTCAGAGCGGGTGGAGACCCCACTCCAGACTGCTGCAGTAAAGAACACAGAGTTCCCTCTTCCCTAGCTCCTAACTATAGGACTTTCTTCCCAAGATAAGGAGGACTTCAGCATTTCTCATCCTTATCCCAGCTGCCCGTTGCTGAGGCTAAGTCCTGTGCAACAGCATTTAACAGGTTGGGGTCCCCTTCTTCTGACCAAGCCACAGTTGTGCAAGCAAGGCTCTACCTTGACCATGACCTGTTGAGAATATGGGTCTCTGATAGCTCTTGTCCCAGTTCATGAGGCAGTGAATCCATGTCAGGAGAGTGAAGTTATAAGATCTCAAGCTACAAACCACTTAACTACAAACCACTGCTCAACGAAATAAAGAGGACACAAACAAATGGAAGAACATTCCATGCTCATACATAGAAAGAATCAATATCATCAAAATGGCCATGCTGCCCGAGGTAATTTATAGATTCAATGCCATCCCCATCAAGCTACCAATGACTTTCTTCACAGAATTGGAAAAAACTACTTTAAAGTTCATATGGAACCAAAAAAGAGCCCTCATTGCCAAAACAATCCTAAGCAAAAGGAACAAAGCTGGAGGCATCACACTACCTGACTTCAAACTATACTATAAGGCTACAATAACCAAAACAGCACGGTACTGATACCAAAACAGAGATATAGACCAATGGAACATAACAGAGCCCTCAGAAATAATACCATACATCTACAACCATCTGATCTTTGACAAACCTGACAAAAAAAAGCAATGGGGAAAGGATTCCCTATTTAATAAATGGTACTGGGAAAATTGGCTAGCCATATGTAGAAAGCTGAAACTGGATTCCTTCCTTACACCTTATACAAAAGTTAATTCAAGATGGATTAAAGGCTTAAATGTTAGATGTAAAACCTAAAAACCCTAGAAGGAAACCTAGGCAATACCATTAAGACCACAGGCATGGGCAAGGGCTTCATGACTAAAACACCAAAAGCGATGGCAACAAAAGCCAAAATTGACAAATGGGATCTAATTAGACTAAAGAGCTTCTGCATAGCAAAAGAAACTACCATCAGAGTGAACAGGCAACCTACAGAATGGGAGAAAATTTTTACAATCTACCCATCTGATAAAGTGCTAATATCCAGAATCTACCAAGAACTTAAACAAATTTACAAGAAAAAATCAACCCCATCAAAAAGTGGGCAAAGGATATGAACAGACACTTCTCAAAAGAAGACATTTATGCAGCCAACAGACACAAGAAGAAATGCTCATCATCACTGGCCATCAGAGAAATGCAAATCGAAACCACAATGAGATACCATCTCACACCAGTTAAAATGGCGATCATTAAAAAGTCAGGAAACAACAGGTGCTGGAGAGGATGTGGAGAAATAGGAATGCTTTTACACTGTTGGTGGGACTGTAAACTAGTTCAACCATTGTGGAAGACAGTGTGGTGATTCCTCAGGGATCTAGAACTAGAAATACCATTTGACCCAGCCATCTCATTACTGGGTATATACCCAAAGGATTATAAATCATACTGCTATCAAGACACATGCACACATATGTTTATTGTGGCACTATTCACAATAGCAAAGACTTGGAACCAACCCAAATGTCCATCAGTGATAGACTGGATTAAGAAAATGTGACACATATACACCATGGAATACTATGCAGACATAAAAAATGATGCGTTCATGTCCTTTGTATGGACATGGATGAAATTGGAAACCATCATTCTCAGTAAACTATCGCAAGAACAAAAAACCAAACACCGCATATTCTCACTCATAGGTGGGAATTGAACAATGAGATCACATGGACACAGGAAGGGGAACATCACACTCTGGGGACTGTTGTGGGGTGGGAGGATGGGGGAGGGATAGCATTGGGAGATATACCTAATGCTAGATGACGAGTTAGTGGGTGCAGCACAGCAGCATGGCACATGTATACATATGTAACTAACCTGCACAATGTGCACATGTACCCTAAACTATCAATCTAGACAGAATATCAAGTATATAAAAGACTTGAGCAATGTTATAAATCAACTAGACCTAACAGACATGTATATAGAAGAGTTAATTCAACAATAGGAGATACACATTCTTCTTAAGTTCACATGGAACATTCTCCAGGATAGACCATATGCTAAGCCATTAAAAAAAAACTTCAATATTTTTGATTGAATAGAAATAATACAAAGTATGTGTTCCAACTACAATGAAATGGAATGAAAAATAAATATTAGGAAAAAATTTGGGAACTCACAAATATGTCAAAATTAACCAGCACAATACTCAATAACAAATGGATACATTTTTTAAAAAAGGAAAACAGAAAACACTTTGAGATGAATGAAAATTAAGACATAACATACTAAACTTATGGAATCCAGCTAAGGTCATGCTTATAGAAAAGTTTATAGCTATAAATAGCTGTATTTGAAAAAAATATTTCAAATTAATAACCCAACCTTCATCATAAGATCCTGGGAAAAGAAGAGCAAATTAAATCTAAAGCAAGCTGAAGGAAGGAAATAGTAAAGATTGTAGTTGACCCTTGAACAATGTGGAGGTTAGGTTTACCAACCCCCATGCAATAAAAAAATTCACGCATAACTTCGAATCCTCTAAAACTTAACTACTAATAGCCTACTGTCAACCAAAAGCCTTACTAATAACATAAACAATTAACACATTCTGTATGTGTATTGTATACTGTATTCTTACAATAAAGTAAGCTAGAGAAAATAAAATATTATTGAAAACTTTTAAGAAAGATGGGATATGTTTACTATTTATTAAGTGAAATGGATCATCATAAAGGTCTTTATCCTTGTCATCTTCACATTGAGTAGGCTGAGGGGAGGAGGAAGACAAGGGGTTGTCTTGGGGGGCTGGCAGAGGTGGAAGAAAATCTACATAAAAGTCGCCCCACATAGTTTAATCCATGTTGTTCTATGGTCAAGTGTCAACAGAAATTAATAAAATAAGGAATAAAAAAAAGACTCCCAAAGCTAGTTCTTTGAAAAGATTAAAAAAAGAAGACAAACTTTAGATAGAATGACCAAGAAGAAAAGATAGTAGACTCAAATTAGTAGAATCAGAAATGCAAGATATGGTATTACTACTCACCTTAAAGAAAGAAAAATAAAGGAATATTTTTACAAATGCACACCAATAAGTTAGATAATTTATAACTTAGATAAATTTGGAAAATCACTGGAAAGACACAAACCACTGAAACTGACTCAAGAAGAAATATATAATATAAATAGATTGTGTCAACTGGAGAGATTAGAATTAGAAGCCAAAAAACTACTTGCAAAGAAAATGCCAGACCCAGATGGCTTCACTGTTGAATTCTACCAAATATTTAATGAAGAATAAATACCAATTATTCACAAACTCTTCCCAAAAGTAAAAAGAAAATACTTTTGCACTCATTCTATGAGGCCAGTGTTACTCAGATACCAAAAGCAGACAAAACATCACAAGCAAGTAAAACTACAGACTAGTATCTCTTATGAATGTAAATTCAAAAGTCCTCAATAAAATGCTTGAAAACTGAATCTAGCAACATATAAAAATAATTATATATCATGTTTAATTAATTGAGTTTTATTCCAGGGGTGGCAAAGTTGGTTTAATATCCAAAAATCAATTAATGTAATATATTACATCAATATAAATAAAAACAAAAATCACATAATTGTCTCAATTGACACATGTAAAGCTTCTGACAAAACCTAACACCTTTTCTTGGTAAGAATACTTAACAAAAATAGAAGGAAACTTCCGCAGTCTGATAAAAAGTCATCAATGAAAAAACCACCACTAACATCACACGTATTGGTGAGAGACTGGATGATTTTCCTTAAGATCAGGACCAAGACAACGATGTGCACTCCCACTACTTCCATTCAACACTGTACTGAAGGTTCTGGCTAAAGTAATTAGACAAGAAAAAGTAATAAAAGGCATACAGACTAGAAAGAAGTTAAAGTAATTCTATTCACAGATGATATATTCCTGTATATGGAAAGTCCTATGGAATCCACTAAAAAATTATTAGAACTAATAAATGAGTTCAGCAAGTCTCCAGAATACAAAATCAATATACCAAAATCAATTGTAGTTCTCTGTACTTGCAATGAACAAATTAAAAATAAGAGAAAAATTTCATTCATGATAGTATTATAAAAAATGAACTTAGGAATAGATTTAACAAAAGGAGTACAAAACTTATGTCTTGAAAACTATAAAATAATTATTGAAAGAAAATTAAAATAGATGGGAAAGTATTACATATTCATAGGTCAGAAGACTTAATATTGTTAAGATGGCAATACTCCCTAAACTAGTCTATAGGTTGAGTGCAATCCCTGTTAGTATCCCAGCTGATTTCTTTGAAGAAATTGACAGGCTGATTCTAAAATATATATGGAATTGCAAGAGACTCTAAATAGCTACCATCCTGAAGGAGAACAAAGTTGGAGGATTGTACTTCTGACTTCAAAACTTAGTAGAAAGAAATAGTAATGAAGAAAGTGTGATACTGACACAAGGATAGATATATAAGTAAATGGAACAGAAACAATGAGAGTCCAGAAATAAACCTATATATCTATCTTCAACTGATTTTCAATATGGTCCCAATTGTTTAGTAAGGGACAATTAAATATTCACATGCAAGATTGAAGTTGGATACTTATCAAGCATCATATACAAGAATTAACTAAAAATGGATAAAAACCCACAGGTAAGAGCTAAAATTATAAAACTCTCAGAAGAATGCATAAAGATATAAATCTTCTTAATCTTGGATTTGGCAAAGGATTATTGGATATGACACCAAAAGCACAAAAAAAGAATAAAAAAATACTTTGAATGTTATCAAAATTTAAAACCTTTATGCTTCAAAGGACACCTTCAAAAAAGTGAAAAGGCTCACATAATGGGACAAAAATATTTGTAAATTATACATGTGATAAGGGATTTATATCTAATAGAAATTTAGGGGAGAGATATAAATGTCCAATAAGCCCATGAAAGATGCTTGGCATCATTAGCCATCAGGGAAAGGCAAATAAAAACCACAATGAAATAGCACTTTATACTCAAGAGGATTGCTGGAATCAAGAAGTCAGATATTAAGCAATTACAATGATGTGAAAAAATAGTAAACCTCATACACTGTTCGTGGGAATGTAAAATGGCTCAGCCACTTTGGAAAAATAGTCTGGTGATACCCTAAAGGATTAAACACGACTCAGCTATTGCACTCCTAGGTATACACCAAGAAAACTGAAAACATATGTCAGCACTAAAACTTGTACACAAATGTTTAAAACAGCATCATTCATCATAGCCCAAAAGTGAAAACAACCCAAATGTCCATCAACAGATGAATGGATAAACGAAATGTGGCATATCCATACAATTAAATATTTTTCGACCCTTAAAATAATAGAGTACTGATACATTATAATTTGAATTAACCTTGAAAATATTATCCTAAGTGAAAGAATACAGTAACAAAAGACTTCATATTGTATGATCCCACTCATAAGAAAGTCCAGAATAGAGAAATCTATAGAGACAGAAAGTAGATTAGTGCTTGCTCAGGGATGAATGGAGGATGATAGCTAACATGTATGAGTTTTTCTTTTCAGATGATAAAAATGTTTTAAAATTGACGGTGATGGTTGCACATATCTGTGAATATACTAAAAGCCATTCAAATGCACACTTCAAATGAGAAGATTGTATTGTATGTGAGTTATAGCTCAAAGCTGTTTTTTTTTAATAATGCAAAAGTAAAAATACCAGTGGAATTCTAATGCTCGTAATTTCTGGAAGGTGTTCCCTTGGGTGTGTGGGGTATGAGATAAAGGTGGTAGTGGGAGGTCGTCTGTGCAATAGCAAGCTTAAAATTGTAGGCTTTGTCAATAACGGACAAACAATACATTTAACTACCCACATGATCTTAGACAAATCATTTCATTTCACTGGGCTTCATTTTACATTTCTAAAACAAGGGGAAGGAGGTAGTATATACTGTCTCAAGCTCATCTGGCAATGTTTTCTAATTTGAAGAACAATGCAGGTTTTCACAGGAGACTTGGCCCACATAGAACTTTAAAAAGGGATTTTGGTGTCTACCATCTATTTTGGGTTGTACATAGTACCTTTCTCAACCCTTCAGTTCCTTTGGGTGTATATGGAGACCCATTTGCCAAAGCCTATTTTCAGTTAGCTACATTTTACTAAATGAGAGTTTCCTGAAGTGTGGAAGGTAGAATACTTATGAGTTATACAAAATTGGACTGCCTCTGAGAGCCTTTATTATGTATATGCATGTGAATCTCTAGAATGAGGGTATAGCACGCAGCATTTTCCAAACCAAGCTGACCATGGAAGACCTTTTAAAAATTTACTTTTTATGGAGTGTCATGAAATTAGGGTTGTGAGGCATATACTTGGAGAAATGCTAAAGTGCCAGCCTTTAAAGGTAAAGATTTTTAACTTCCAAGAATTTTTTTTTTTTTTTTTGAGATGGAGTCTCACTCTGTCGCCCAGGCTGGAGTGCAGTGGCATGATCACGGCTCACTGCAAGCTCCGTCTCCTGGGTTCACGCCATTCTCCTGCCTCAGCCTCCTGAGTAGCTGGGACTACAGGCACCCCTGACCATGCCCGGCTAACTTTTTGTATTTTTTAGTAGAGACAGGTTTCCACCATGTTAGCCAGGGTGGTCTTGATCTCCTGACCTCGTGATCAGCCTGCCTCGGCCTCCCAAAGTGCTGAGATTACAGGCGTGAGCCACCGCACCCAGCCCCAAGAAATTTTATGTTTCAAATGCAGAGTATTTGAAATTAGGGCAATCTTTAAGGCTCCAAGAATTGATTTATTAATGGTGGTATTGTGACAAGTAGCAGAGGATATATCTGGGGGCAACTGAGCCAGCTTAGTGCTTCTCAGATTGTATTACTTAGGGAACTATGGATTTGTTAGGGCAGCTTTGGCCTAAATAGGACATCACATCTGACGTAGTTTGGACATTTGTCCACACCCAACGCTCATGTTAAAATATAATCCCCAATTTTGGAGCTAGGGCCTGGTGGGAGGTGTTTGGGTCATGGGGGTGGATCCCTCATGAATGGCTTGGTCATCCCCTTGGTGATAAGTGAGCTGTTGGCTTGAGTTCACACAAATCTGGTCGTTTGAAAGTGTGTGGCATTGCCCCCGCACCACCCCCCACCCATTCTCTCTCTTGCTCCTGCTTTTGCCATGTGATGTACAAGCTCCCACTTTGTTTTCTGTCATGAGTAAAAGCTCCCTGAGGTCTCCCCAGAAACTGAGTGATATCAGCTCTATGCTTTCTGCACAGCCTGCTGAACTATGAGCCAATTAAACCTCTTTTCATCATAAATTACCCAGTCTCAGGTATTTATTTATAGTACTGCAAGAATGGCCTAACACTACAAAAATTAGCCAGGCATGATGGTGCGTGCCTGTAATCCCAGCTACTCTAGAGGCTGAGGCAGGAGAATCACTTGAACCCAAGAGGCAGAGGTTGCAGTGAGCTGAGATTGCACCATTGCACTCCATCCAGCCTGGGCGACAGAGTGAGACTCCATCTCAAAAAAAGAGAGAAAAAAAAAAAGGTACAGTTCCCCACATCTAGAAATAAATCTTAGAAAAGGCTATGAGGTCATGATAGATCAATAATTTTTTTTTCCTGAACTCTATGGGATTTTTAAAATACTATCATCAAGGTTCATCTAATTCAGTGAGGAGCATTTAGGGAGCATTTACAGTGATTCCTGAGCCTCCATTAAGTACTCCATTTTCACATGGCATTCACTTCTGCTAAGCCTCTACATCTGCAGAAGATCAGCTACTCAACCTGCTGAGAGTCAGTTACTTCTGGGCACCATCTTCATAAGAAATGTGTAAAAGGCAAAATAAAGTTGGAGCCAGCCCTGATACCACCCACTCTATAGATAGGCATACATATTGCTCAAACAGCTCCTTGACATTAGCCAGCTTCTGATTACTTTGTAATTTATTTCTGGAAATTGTCATCGCATTTACTTTTTAGTCCTTCTATTTATTCACAACCCCACTGATTGAATCTCTCTTTCTCTCTCCTCATGGAGTAGTTGCTTGTACCCATCTGTGTTAGGCTGTTCTTGCATTGCTATTAAAAAATACCTAAGACTGGGTAATTTATAAGGAAAAGAGGTTTAATTGGGTCATGGTTCTGCAGGCTCTACAGGAAGTGTGTGGTGCTGGCATCTGCTTGGCTTCTGCGGAGGCCTCAGGGAGCTTTTACTCATAATGAAAGTTGAAGGAGGAACAGGAATCCCACGTGGCAGAGCAGGAGCAAGGTAGTGGGGAGATACCACACTTTACAACAACAGGAGTTCACGGGAAGTCACTGACTATCAAGAGAACAGCACCAAGCCATGAAGGATCCACCCCAATGATCCAAATACCTCCCACCAGGCCCCACCTCCAACAATGGGGATTATGTTTCCATGTGAGATTTAGAGGGGACACACATCCAAACTATGTCGCCAACCCTGACTGGGTACAGGAGAAGAGTGCAGTGCTAATCTTCAGCTTACTATATATGGGAGACAAAATAATACATAAGTTCTGTATTAAAGATGAGTCCAGCATTTTACATATGTAAGTGCTCAGATGAAGAGTTTAGACTTTACTTTAGGAGTTCAGAGTAAAAAGAGGCCCACTGTGTCTTTTTTTCCTTGTTCATACAAAGAATGGGCATGTTAAAATCAGGTATATAAGAGATGTCAATTTCAATTCTGATACTGAGAAGCTGAGTGACTTTGGGCTAATTCTTAAATTTTAGTTTCCTTATTTCCAAAATAGGGACAGTAATAGCTACAGTGCAAAATTGTTGGGCAAGATGCTATAGGTGGCATGCAGCATAGTGACACAGTAGGACTTATTAGATGTTTGTTACATTCAGTCTTTCCTTCTAGTTATTATTTGCTTGAGAAGCCCTTTCATTTATTCTTTCAACTCATATATGTATTGAGTGTTTACTCTGTGCTGGGGACTATTCAACATGTTGAAATCTTTGCCATCATTCAACTTTAGTTCTAGTTTCTAGTGGTGGGGAGGAAAGTAAAGAAATGAAAACATTCAAGTTGTAGTAAGTTTATGTGCTATTATAGTGGAGTGGTCAAAAAGACCCTTCTAAGGAGGTGGCATTTGGGTAGAGACTGAAAAGATGAAAAGTCATCTCGTGTCATCTCATCATGCTGAAAGATGTGAAGAGGAAAGAGAAAAATAGATCTAAGGTAGGAAAGAGCCTAGTGTTTCTAAAGAGTAGAAAGGGGTCCAGGGTGACAGGAAGAGGTCAAATCATGGGGTGCTTTGTAGTCATGGCAAAGCACATTAGCTCCACAAGGAAAGATATTTTGTCTGTTTTGCTCACTCCTGACTCTCTGGCACCTCAAACAGTGCCTGTCATAGTAGGCAGTCATAAAACATGAGTGTAATAAATTTTATTCTAAATGAAGTTCTATGTAATTGGATGTCATATGCTTTTGAAATGCCTCTAGCTGCTGCATAGGGGATAGACTGTTAATTCAAGTGAAACAAGGAAATGGAAAAGGTAGGGGACATTGCAGTAGCCCAGGTGAGGGATGATGGTGAATTAAGCTATAGTGGTGGTAGGGGAGATACGGATAAATGAAGAGTTTGGAGCTATAGTTTATGTGTCAAATCCCCAGCACCTGTTGATGGATTGGATTTGGGAGTGACAGTTTGGTGACATGTGCGTTTATACAGATGATGAAGGCTGGGAGAAGAGATTCTGTGGGGCTTAAAGGAAGGCAATTAAGTGTTACTATTTTCTATTTGTTGGTTTTGAGATGCTTGTAAAAGTCAAGTGGAGAAGTCAAGGTTTCAGTTGAATATTATATGTCTTGGGCTCCATAAGGCAGTCAGAAATGGCACACATATTCTGAATGTAGGTGATATTTAAAGCTGTCTGGATGAGCTCACCATACAGAGAGAACAGATGCACAACAGAAGAAGGTTCAGGAGGAAGCCTGGGAACTCCAACATCTAGAGGCTGAGAAGCAATAGAGAAGTCAGCAGAGGAGATCAAAGTTTTGCCTGAGCTATAGGAGGAAAACTAGTGTGGTATCACAGACACTGAAAGTCAAAAAAGGAACATGTGTCAAGTACTCGAATGGTCACTGCATGGAGTGTTCCTGAGAGGTGTGTAATGTGAACAGATAAGTGACCACAGAATCTGCCATATGAATTCAGCACATTCCTCTTATATTCAGAGTTGTAAAATGTAATATAATCACTGTACAAAACATATGGAAGATAAAGAGAAATTTTTTGGTACCTGTGACAAGAAGAATTTTCAGCTCAGTGGAACTATGGAGACAGAGCCAGATTGAGTGGGTGAATAATGAATGGGAATTCCTGGGTAGAAATGGCATATTAAATAAACAACTATTTGTTTCCTCCTGAAACTCCACTGAGAAGACAATAAGGGAATTTGTTTTTTAAATGAATAAAGCAACAAGGACAGAAGAACAAGAGCAAGAAAATTTTAGGATTGCAAAGATGGAGAAATGTGGTTCTGGAACTAGTACTGACAGCATCCCAGAAAGCTGAATTAAAATCTGCATTCCACAATATATTCCTCTACTTTGCAAGCACATTAAAGTTTGAGAAGTGTTACTTGGTTGACTCTAGAAAATGGAAGCCAAAGTGATTTATACTGCACCATCCCTAAAACACTCAGGGACTGGAGGCACTGGTATCTCTAGGAGTGGGGCAGGGGTGGAAATCGGGTAAAATGGATAAAATAAAGAGGATTGGTGGAAAGTATATTTAAAAGGCAGCCAGACTTTCCCCTCAGAACAGTCATGGGAGTGCCCCTACCCACCCAAGCAAAACCCCAAAGAATTATTCTTTAGAGAGCATAAAATAGGGAGTTTTTGGACTTGAGGATGCCAGGTGCCACTTACGACTGTTGGATGCTGAGACCCTAGTTCTTTTCCCAACCACCAGAATGCTGGTAGTCAGGACTTCATCCTCCAGTAGGAATTTGGAAGAATCTTCTCCAGGAAATTCAACCAGCCCAAGTCAAGACATAAAGATTCTGATGCAGCAATTCCCCAACAAACAGCCTAGCTGTTTCTTTGGCTGAGGTTCTTAAATCTGCTGCTGCGGCTATTGTTGCTCTTCTTCCTCCAGAATCTTACCCCAAACATCTGCTTCCAGAGCCACTTTGTAATTTTCCTATCTGACTAGCATAACTATTTGCACTTCTTTCCCCTTATTTCTAGTATTTGTTTGGGGGAATGAGATGCCATTCAAAGACTGTGTGTTCTTATTAAAGGAGTTCAGCAGATTTTCACAATCAGGGGCATGATAAGCAATTTTGCTACTGTTTGCAGGATTCCAGATGACCTCTTTGCTGTTCATCATAATTGTCATATTTTATTTCATTGCTTTTCCAGTTTGTTTTCTAACTTAAAATAATGTTTCTTGTTGCATTTTCTAATGTCCTCTCCAATGTATTTACTTAGAGAAATGCTGCACTGCTTGCCCACAAAACAAACAGCAATTCAATGAAGGTTTCTTCCTTTCCTGCCCTGACGAGAAATTAGCTTTGATGGGTACATGGTAGTGGCAAGGGTTTGTTGTTGACTGTGGGTACCTGCTCAGGCTGTGATCTGATGGTAGACAGTGATCATTCTTTTGCATTTAATTTGTTTTTCTACCCTAAAGCTAATATAACCATGCCAAATAGTTTGAAATTTAGAGGACAAGGAAATTACTTATAAGTTCAAGAGCATTCTGTAATTCCTTATTACTGTCCCCCTCATGCCAAAGCAAAATGTCTTAAGGTCTGTCATTTTTGGAGGGCTATGGCCTTTGTTAAGATTAGCTCTGGTCTTTTACTAGATTCAGGATCATCCCAGCTGCTTTGGGGGAAGCTGGCATACACAGCCCATTGACGGGTAAACTTTTACCCAACAGGCATAAAATAGTATTTATCAATACAAGTAGTTTTGGAAAAACGGTGAAGTTGGCAAAGAAAACAATGCAGCCTACGTTTCCCTTTGGTGCTCTTTTCTACCTTCTGTGTTAACCTCCTTTATCCAAACTGAAAAGATTGAGTCTCTTGTATTTTGACAATTTGTAAACTTTTAGTCAAACTTAAATATTTGGACACCTTTCCATTGAACCCTATCATTAATTTGCTGATTGTTCATTATATTTTAGTTCAGGTCTGTGCCCTTCTTATAAAATAAAACAAGGATTTGCTAGCTTTAAAGCAATGGAGTATTTTGGAAGTGGCCCTATATAGCCCCTGAAATCATCCCACGGTGGTCAAGAAGGCAAATCTAGATGGGACAGGCCAATGGCTGTCTTCTTATCATCTCTGTTCTGGCATCAGGCAGGCAGGTATCCATTCCTTCTAGCTCTCACAATCTATGATTTCAGATTGCACAAAGCAACATGCAATTAGTTGTCAAATTAGTGATTTCGACAATGACTATTCTGAGTTCTGAGAGAGATACTGATAGTTGCAAGTAAGAGCAAGGAAAAACATTGTCACTGCTTGTTTGAGTTCTTTTTTGGCAACTTCATGAGGACAGGGATCTTGCCTTTCCTATTGATTGTTTTCTCTCCAGTGCCTAATATAGAACCTTGAACATATATAATTAATAAATATTTGCTGTTCAAAGAAAACTTCATGAAAAATGAGCATCTTTTCTTTGGTATCAAAGGTGAGTAATATTGGAGTAGGAGAATATATTCAGGCTGGAGAAAATAGTAGTACTTGAGTAGGGGAATATAAAACATATTTGGAAGCTGGGGAGTAGAAAATAGCACATAGAGCATAGGGTTGAGAGGATGTAAGAGAAGAGATGAGATAGAAGAGTTAATTTGAGGCCAAAATACAGAGGATCTTAATGCCAAACTTGTGACTGGATTTTTGTTCTGAATTTGGGCATGTGTACCCACAGAGGAATTAAACCAGGACAAGATCTCAGAGCAGGGATCTGGGAGGGAAGAAGATGGAAAGCTCAAAGACCAATTCAGAGGCTACTATTGTGAGAAGACGAGGAACCACAAGAGGCAATGCCATCTTCTAGGGATGTAATCCTATCTTATGAACCAACATTTTGTAAGCTTTCTTAAAGGGACAGAATATTTGAAACCGAAGCCACTTCAGAAAGTCTAGTGCTCAAGGATGTGGCCCTTTCATATAAGGGGCCTTTCTTTCTCAAGTCCTTATTCCAAGAGAATTCAGGAGGGATGCAGTGCTCAGAGACCTGTCCCCCTGTTTAGTTATGAAATCATTGCTGGAGATAGGATCCCTCATAAATTCTTTGTTTAAAACCCCTCAACAAGTTGAAAATATCAAGAGAAAGAGATGTTTGTGTGGGGTTTTTCCATGCTGCATCTCAAAATAACAGAACTATTCAGCCCAAGGGAAACATGCTCACTCTCTAAATCCCACAAGTGAGATCAGAGGAGCGCAAGGATTACACAGCTGCTGGAATCTGACGCCTAGAGAAAGCCTATTGGTTTGGGGAAGTTTGGTGCCTGAAGATGCTTGTAAAATCAAAGCATTTGAGAATTGAAAACATCTCAGCGTCATTTTACATCAAACTTTCAGCAATCTACTGATGAGTTTTCTCTCAATATCCTCAATTTGTGGATCTTTCTGTTGCATCGAAACAGTTAAACTTTTGAGGTCCCTATTTCTTAGAAGTTTTCATCAAGCTTGCCATTAGAAAGATACAAAAATGGGCTCAGCTGTGCATTCTTGATGGTTTCTGACACAGGACTCTGTGATAACTTTATGTTGACTCTTGCTGAAAAAGGTCTGAGAGATGAGATGCAAAAAAGGGCTCATGTCACTCTGAAGACTAAAAGTATAATTGAATTCAAGTGCATAGCACGTGTTTGGCTGCTTTATTCAAATATTATTTTACATATCCTTTGAAGATTTTCAGATCAGCCAGCCTATTTCATACGAAAGAACAAGGTAATGGCATGTTCAGGTCAGAGATACAAAACATGCTCTGAGATACTCCAGGGAGAGGTCAGATTAAGAACAAACATCCATATCTCATTATAATCAGATCCTAGGCAATTAAAAATAATTACTCTCTTTCCTAGCTGACCTTGTGGGCTATATAAGCTAAAATCTAGTCTAAACAAAGCTAAATTGGAGAGTCTAAATCTAAGCGCCTAAAGAAAAAGTATAGTCCAATCAACCACAGTGGCTAGATAACCCAATTAGTGGCTTTGGAGAAAGATAATCAAAAGTTAAATGAATTTCCCATTTGCTGCCACAATGTCCTATTTCTGAAGCATAGGCTTCTTAGAGTAGAGGACTTGGGTGAGGAAGGATAGCATGCACCTTTAGGTAAACAAGGGGGTTTTATCATCACCAAGCAAGTGCAGTTCTCTGCTATCAAACCCCTACTCTTCAATTGCTAATAATGACTCTGTAAATTATAGCTCTTAGCCAATTCTCAGGATAGAGTTCATCTTCTACTTTAAAGGATTCTTTCCCTGCAATGTAATTTCCACTTTTTCTCTTTCAAGGTACTGCATTCTATAGCTGTTCCTTTAGTCATTTTTTTTTTTATTCTTCTGCAGGGAATATAAACCTCCCTTCCCCCAGCCCAATTAAATTCCAAATGTTGGACATAGACATATCATTTCTCACAAAAGTAGGTGCAGGATTTTATGTCAAGAGAAAGGATTATGTATATATTAGTGTGAACGCTGTGCTGTTTGTTTCTGTCAAAGAAGTACCTAAACAAGGCTATAGGAGACTCCAAACATGGGCACTCAGGGCAATTTGCACAGTGGGGTGTTCAGTTTTGATAATCAGAGAGAACTACGACAATCAAAGTACATCTGAGGAATATAGAAAACTTAAAATTCAGGGTCTAGAATCTGACCTTAATTGGCAAAAATTATATTTTTTGAACACTTCTGTCTGGTTTAAAGTGATTTTGTTTGGGCAAAATCACTTTCCTCTTTTCGATATTTTTGTTAGGTATAGAGAGGCAAGTATTATCACGTAAGTCAAGAGAATTGAATGATGTGCCTAGAGTATAGAATATTCAACTTTTAACTCAGTAGACCTTGTTTCTAGTCAACGTCTCTTTCTTTCTGTATAAATTAATGGATTCTGGAATGACACACAGGAATTTTCTTAAAACAAACACATAAAAAAGCAAGGAAAATAAGAAAGCTATCCGATCCTATACTAGTTCACTGCAGGAGAAAGTAATAATCATCTTTTATAAGAATTCTTTATTCAATACTGAGGAGCAGAGCAAATAAACAGATGTAATTCCTCCTGATTTATCGAATCATTTGTACTACCTGTAATTGAGCGTCCAGAATACACATCGTATTGAACCAGACACACTAAGGTGTACAAAGGAAATTTTCACTACAGTTGAGGAAATAAGACACACATGAAAAATTAAACGCAAGGCAAGATTAAGTGTGAAATGAACTGCACCAGTGTTTGAATGAAAGCAAGTTTAAATAAAGACGGAGTGGTAAGGGAAGACTTCATGAAAGAGGCAACCTTTGAGCAAGATTATAATAAGGCTGAATTTCAAGAAACAAAGAATAAACTGAGAATAGTACAAACAGGAGGCATAACGTAAAGACACAAAGAGGTAGAAATGCACAAACTATGCTTGAGCCCTGTGGAGTAGGCTCCTGTTGGAGAATAAAGAGAGGTAAAGTCAGAAAGATGAGCTATTGAATGTTTTTGAACTGGGAAATCACAACATGGTGGCAGTGGTGTTTTATGGAGAAAATAGAATGACGGTGTGCAGGCTAGTTTGGAGAAAAGAGGGATTGATAAGAAAGACATAAATTAGGAAGTAATTATATAATCCAGGATTTAGATTGCCAGGGCCGAAGCAAAGATAATGGTAATTTTTTTAAAAAAAATATTATTATTAGTAGCAGAAATATGAAAGGAACTTGTAAACTGATTAGATGGGTAACCAGAAAAGTTTGAAACCTATATGATGAGGAGAAGTAAACTGTCAACATTCAACAAATGAGGAAGTTAGGAATGGTTTTTATAGTTTTGTAATCCATTGTTTTATCTTCTCTTTCTTCACCTCAGAACAGGTAATACCTGGTTACCTCATGGTTACCTATAGTCTATACTTCAGAACCATCTCCTTCATGAGAACACAGCACACTTTAAAATACCTACTTGTCAGGCACAAAGCAATAAAAACGAATCCAAGAGTCCTTTTCTAGATGTGATATTGAACACTGAATCTGAGAGTCAAGAGGCCTGGGTTGTGGTTCAGACTTTAGAAGGAATTTATCCTGATGGCTGGGGTTGGATAGACCAGCCTTTCCCAAAGTGACCTCTGTGGAATGTTAATCCTCAGAATACTCTTAGAAAAGTGGCTCAGTTTGCAAACATCAAAAACTCTGTTTCACTCTTAAGACATCACAGAACGCCTTGGTATAGCAAAGGCTACCCTTTTTGTACACGATTGATACATCCCTCTGAACTAAGGACCTATTAAACAAAGACTAACCTAGACACACTTTAAAATTCCTAATAATAATCTGTGGTTATGGAATATGGAGATCTAAACCAGGATGAAAAAATAAGGAATGTAAGCCAAAGAAAGAAAATAAAAAGAGGAAAAGATAATTTGATAATTAGAAGTAAATGCTAGTGAAAAGAGATTGCAATGAGATATGGGAACTTGCTATAAGGACAAGGTTTAACACAGGCAGCCTATAATATAATCCCAGGACAGGTTTCCTTAAGACAAGAATGACCATCAATAGACCCTTTTCTTCTTTAGTATTATAATCATCTGACCCTGCTGAAGAAAAACATCATTACGTCCATACTGTTGCCTAGACTTCAAATTTCAGATGTAGAATGGGTGTTTGCATTCTCCTTAGGAATTCTAACTGCAGGAAGAATAAAGTAAGATCAAAGGCACTTTTCTAGATCCACTGACTGCCTCTAGGTGAAGCTGAGTTTCTAAGATAAGTCAGAAACCAAAATTCCTTTGACTATAGTCAGAATGAACCTGCTCCCTGAGTTCTTGACAAATATGGACAGCGTTAAGGGACACATTTTCTTACCCAGAAAGTAAGTCCATGGAGATTAAGTGCTAGATACCCTGGGAGGAGATTATTCTTAAACAAATGGGAGGTTGTAAACTACCTCAGAGTTATAAAGATCTTTATATCAATTTTCCAAAATCAGTCTCATATCTCTTGACTGACTTGGTCCTCACGAAAGCCCTCTGTGGTAGATAATTTTTGCCTAATATTTTACAGTTGAGAGCAACATTATTATCATCAACAACAATAACAACATGAGAGATATTGTGCAAAGTGTTTCACCCACATTGTCTCATGTAATCCTCATAGCATCTCTGTCAGTTAGGCACACATGGTGATTTCCATTATACAGCCAAAGGTCCAGATAACAGAGCTAAAATTTAATGGAACATCCTGGGTTTAAACTCAGGTCTCTCAGATTCTAAACACTATACTCCACCATCTCTGACTCATCAGAACCAGCTAAAGGCTGCCCGTGAGTGAACCTGCTCCCCTAGTTTAGTACTTTCTCCATGGTGCCATGGTGCCTCAGGCTGCCTAAACCCCACTCAAACTAGTAATACTTAACCCACTCTCTCAGCTATAGTCTAAATCAGAAGTGGGCAATACATAGTCCATGGGCCAAATTTGGCTTGCCCCATGTTTTTCTATGGCCAGTAAGCTAAAAATCTTTCTCACCTTTTCACATGGTTGAAAAAAATCAAAATAATGCTTTTTTGTGTGACATGACAATTATATGAAATTCAAATTTCTGTGTTCATAAATAAAGTTTTCTTGGAACATGTCCATGTTCATTAATTTACATGTTGTTTATGGCTGCTTTTCTGCTACTGTGATAGAAGTGAGTAGTTGCAAGAAGTGGTATAGCCCATAAAGCTGACTTCTGGTTTAAAATGTAAAGGATTACTCTTTTTTTTTTTTTTTTTTCAGAATAAGAAAGGTATAGAGTCAGATGATGTTCATTTCACATGGCATGCAGAGGAGATATAAAAGATTCAAATTTGGATCCCAGCTCTGCCATCCAGGAGCTGCAGGGATAATTGCCAGAGCTACTCAACTTTTTTGTGCTTTGGTTTGTCTTATTTGAAAAACAGAGCAATAATTCCAAACTTGCAGTTTTTGGTGAAGTTTTAATGAAGTAGTATGTACAAAACATACTGCATAAAGCAAATAGTAGGAGCCCCTTAGTAAATGAAATCTACTTGCCTGTTGATGGTGCTTCTGTTCTTTTAGCATTAATATCAGCATGTGCAGATCATAGGAAATTAGCAATCTTTCGTGATAGCTGGCAGATGTATCAAATGAAATGAAACTGCTGCAAGGTGAATGGAATGATAGGATAAAAATGTACATAGTAAAATGTAGGAATTGTTTTCCACCCGGTGAGCCTGAGTAACAATGAAGCTTTGACATGTTGATGGATTAAGCAATTGCAGTCAATGAAGTCCAATAATCCATCCACCTACACCTCATGTAATCATTAAAGTTAATACGCAAACTTGGAAGATTGTAAGGTGAATTAGAGATACTTAGTTGAACAGTCCATTTCATCCCTGTTCTGCCATTTACTTAGATAACCTTGATTCAGTCTTTTTAAGGAAGCAAAAATAAAGGTAATTGCTCTCTCATTCTAACAGTATGTGAGTTGTAATTCACTTGACATTTTATCTACTCTTCAGTGATTAACACACTGACCTGAAATAATTTTCCTTTTTTAAAATCTAATAGACAAAGCAACATTTCTCTTCTCACCTCAGTACACCTTTCCAAGAAGATTGCAAAGCCAAACTCTAAGATGGTCCAAGTCAAGCCCTACCAATGAGTGTGCAGAAGACAGAATCTTCTTAAGACTGGGTATTTGAGAGAGCTTCTAAAGCTCTTAACTATACTCATTCCTTAGGTGGAGGAAAATCCTAACACCTGGCAGGAACTTTCTTTCCTTTTCTTAGTTTTATGCAACTTTGTCCTCTAATACGTACACTGAAGTAAGGAATTGACCTAGAGCTAGCCTTTGTCAAGAATGTGAAATTTGTTTCTGGTGCTCTGTTCATCACACTCTCTCACACAGTCTCTTTCCATACTATCTCAACATCTCATGCTCTCTTTCCTTAGTTGCAAAATGCTCTTGGCCAGAGATGTGTTTTAGTCATTTATACCTTAGCATTACTTTTTTTCAAAAATTCATATCCTCTCATAGTAATTCATACAAATATACTCCCTGAAGCTTTAGGGTGTGGGGGTGGATTTTCTTTTCTTTCCTCTTTCTTTTCTTTCTCTTTTTCCCTTTTTCCCTCCATCTTTTCTCTTTTTTGGCCTATGTTTTCTCTGCAGAATGAAAAAAGAAAATCTCTCTTCTGATAAGGAGATTTCAGAAAGCAGACAGGCTAGTGTGAAATCACCCTAAAATTAAAACTTGTTTGGGTCTGTTTGTTTTATCAACTGGATGACACTGCTTGACCCACATGGAAACATTGGAAAAAGTGGAGTAGGTCCAGGAGAGGTGGAAATTAGGGTGTAGGGGTCATCTATATCTTTTAGTGTTCACAACAATTCAACCAAGCAGGTTGTACTAAAATGGCTTCAGAAATGAGGAACTTGAGGCTCAGAAGGGGTTAAGTAATCACTGAAAGTCACTTAGGACCAAATGACTTATAGGAGCTCAGGTACATTGGCCTTCTCCTGTGCTTATATTTACCTAATAAATCAGACTGTCTTTGTGCATGGGCACATTCTTCAGCATAATCAGGAGTAGCTGTCTAATCTGAGACAGTGTAGCCAAAACACAGAGCTGGCCAGTTATTTTCCCTGCCTCTGCAGCTGCCTCTGGATAAGGACTGAAGACTTGAGATGTTAAGGGGAAATGTGGCAAACAGAATCAATCAGGTCTGCAAGGCTGCAACTCATTGTCCCTGAGTGAAAATCTGAAATGCAACACCAACATGTTTCAGTGTCAATATGGCAATTGGTGAACTAAAGAGATGACCACCTTCTTCAATTAAATGCAAATCATCCACAGCTTTAAGTGACAAAGGTTGAAACAGGCTTCTGTTTAAAATCCTTGCAATAAAAACACAGAGAGTATCTAAAATCCCTGAGTCCCAACTTGCCAGTTCTCAGGGGAAGCAGTAACTGAACAATTACTTCAGGCTTCCCTCACTGTTGCTCTAATGGAGTCAGTCACAGTGGGTTGGGAAAACAAAACAAAACAAAACAAAACAGTAGACTGTGAGTCAAAAGGCCCGATTTCTACTTTTGGCTCCATCTCAACTCATCACGAGAGTTTGGAAAATCCTCTTTACTCTTCAGACACCAGATTCCTAATTTGCAAAAGAAAGAGAGAGTAGGATGGTGTCTAAATTCTTGGCCAACTCTAGGAGTCTACTTCCTGTTAAAATAGTTAAGTAAATTTCTAACTTATTAATCACATTTTTTTCCAGTTGTGTAAAAGATTATCCTGTATTTCTCCCTCTCTCTGTGTCTTTCCTATCTTTCTTTCTTTCTTCACACCTTTTCTCTTCTCTACCACCTCCTTTTTACACCCAAAAGCAGAATCTCAGTTCAGGAATTATTTGCTGCTGCCTTCAAAACGACAAAGACTATGGCCTTTTAGATTCAGTGTCCTCGGGAGACATACCTTGTGTATTCTGCTTAGATCAAAGCTGCCTTTCTGCCTCCAATTCTGGGTCTCCTAAGTTTCTACTTTGCCTTCATTTTCCTTTTCTGGTTCCACTAAAGAGAGTATGAAACCCAAGAGCAAATGCATTGAAAAGACAAAACTTTTCCCTTTGCCTTTGGATTCCGGTTCTCTGACACTGCCGTTCTCTGACAAATGCTGATACAAACTCTCATCTAAGATTCTTGGAAAGCCACAGGCAGGAGGGTTGGGCTGGGGAGTTAGTTGTTTTATTCAGGACTTCGGTCAAGGGGCAGAAATATTTCAGTCTAACAGATATCAGCCTAATGTAAAAATAATAATAGTACGCAATGCACAAATGCCAGCCATGCAGTTGTTCCCCCTCCCTCTGATACTCACAGTTCAATGGCATTCCTCGGGAGGTCAGAAGGAATCTCTGTCACCTTGCTCTCTTGGCAGAGAAAAACCCTGTTAGAGCAGTGACAGATCCGATGATGACATCCTGAGCCCAAGCTCAGGAATGCCAGCAAAGAGACCAGGAGCAGGGCCATAATTATGCATCCATCCACCTGATTTCTTCCTGCATTTGCAGAGAAAAACCTCCACAGATCTCAGAAGCTCCACACAGTGCCCTTATGAGAAGAGATCTGACTTGAGAACTGGTAGGGTCATGTGACCCACCAAGGGATGCTTTTTTTTTTTTTTTTTGTTACTTCCAGGCAAGATAAGCTACTCTGTTTTCCTTCAAGATTGGGTTTCTTACACCCTGACCTAAGGCACACAGCAAATAGAACCATTAGGCATGTCTGGAATAGTTTGCATTATTTCATTGCAAAAGTCTCCTTGCTGTTCACCATTCTCTTCTCAACAGAGTGACATGATTGACTTTCTCCAAAAAAGACACAACCCACAATATGACACATCACTAAGAGGGGTACTAATAAGTGAAGGGCTGGGACCTTCAGTCTTCAGCATCAATTTCTTCAACCAGCCCACCTGAGAGAAAACCAGCCCTTCTGGGTTGCATTCAATGATCCTCTTTTTTTGCTGTAATTATGCCAAAAATGGCACTATTCAGAAACAGGCAGGTGGGTTAGCAAACCTTAGGCAGATTTCCGTAGGTGGGAGGTACTTCTGATAGGGTTATCTGTAGCGATAATTGACTGAACTGAGTGATCTAAGAAATGTGCTATGTTTCCAGTGGGGATTTAGTAAATGCCAGCACATCCACCCCCTCGTGCATATCCTGCCTGCCTTCTCGCATTTCCAGGCTCTGAAGATTGCCCTTGCCTTTTGGCAATTGGCATAAATGAATTTATTTAATCTACGCTTTTAACTTACTTTTAAAAGTTCCCTGAGGTGACAGCCCAGCACTTTTGTTGGCATTCCCCTCCTCGATGGTGAGGGATCTGAGGAACGTTTGGCAACACTTTTAGAAAAGTGGCTTTCTACTTTCAATTGTAGAATCTATGAAGATTAAAAGGCAGAATATTCTCTAAGATCCTGCCCACAACTTATTACCTGCTAAAATTAGTTTCAATACTATCTTTAGATAATTAGTTGCATAAAATTGAGCTTCATGAAAATGTTAAAAATACCTACTTATCCCACCCCTCCTTCCCTCTCCCCTGCCTTACCAAGGAAAACCATGTAAAGAATGATTAAATTATTAAGAAAAAAACAGAAGCAAGTGATTTGGGGGGCAAAGTTGATCCCTAGATTTTTTCTGGGAGCAACTGGTTTATTCTAATTCTGGAATTGGCAGACAAAGGCAGTATCTATATGGACTTCATATTTTTAACAAATTGGCTAACATGAATGGTTAAATTAGTTTGTTCAACAACTGATCCAAGGAATTATAGTCTTTCAGATGTAGAAGGAAGTTAATTCAATCAACCAACTAATGCTTAAGTTTAAGTATTCATATTAATTTAAACGGATTTTCTCATCTGTACTTGAATAACTCCAGTGACAAGAAACTCACTACCAATTAAACCTTTTACCCAATTCCTCTGCCCCATAAGTCCCCTTCTAGCTTTTGGAGAGCTCTGTAATTAGTCTTAGTATAATAAGCAGAAATCTTTTTAAAATTGAGATTTTTATTTTAAATGCTATGTCGTATTCACAACTTATAGGTAACATAAATGTAATTTATTAAGCATAATAATGCAACAAACAATTGCGGGCTGGAGAATAAAGGACATAGCCAGTCCTGTTGCATCTACTTAGTTGATTTTCCTTTATTACCTTCTTGTGTTCCTATGCCCAAGGTGACCATTAATCTGAATTTTGTGGTTATTATTTCATTTGTTTTGTAAAATTAATCTTGTCACAAAATGTATCTCCAAGGAATATATTATTTAATTTCTTGCGTGTTTTTACATTTTTACAAAGTCTATCAGTCTTTTAGTAGTATTTTGCTGCTTACTATTTTACACTAACTAGACATTTTAAAGAAATAACCATGTTGTTATGTGTACCTGCAGTTTATTAATTTTGTACCTGTTAGGTATACCTGTAGTTTATTAATATTATACTACTGTATGATATTCCATTGCATAAATATACCATAATTTATGTTTTCATTCTCCTGTAATTTTTAAAATCCTGAGGTTGTGAAAATATTATTTTATATCTTCTCTAAAATTTTTTAGTTTTGCTCTGTACATTTTGGCCTTTGATCTATTTGGCATTGAGATTTATGGGTGTGAGTAAAGGACTCAATTTGTTTTTTATCTGATGGCATAATGGTTTTATCCACATGGATAAACATTTGTCCCAAAACCATTTATTGAATGGTCCCTCTTTTCTTTTCTCACTTGTAAAACTACCTTTCTCATATCTCAAGTAACTATTTTGCATGGGTTTGTGTCTAAGCTTTTTTATATTCCACTATTCTTTTTTCTACATTACACCAATGTTATACTGTCTTAATTACTACAACTTTAAAGTAAGCCTTGATATACAGTAAGAAAACACTTCTATCTTATTTCCTATAGGAGTATCTTGCCTATTTTGGACCTATGAATAAATTTTAGAATCAGATTATTACACTCCTTGAAAACACCCTGGTATAATTTTGTTTGGAATTATATTGATTATATAGATTAATTTGGGCAGAAATTATCACCTTTAAGATAACAAGTCTTCTTATCCATGAATATGGTATAGCACCATGTTATTTAAGCCCTTCTTTGATGTCTTTAAATAAAGCTTTATACTTTCTTCCATATATGTCCTAATATCTTAAATGTGTTTCCTGATGACATCCTGTTTTATGCTGTTATAAATGAAATCAATATTTAAAGTCACATTTTATGTTTGTTGTCATACTGTAAAAATGCAGTTAATTTTGGAATATTTATCTTATATCTAAATTACCTTATTACATTTTCTTTTTTTTTTTTTTTTTTTTTGAGACAGACTCTTGCTCTGTCACCCAGGCTGGAGTGCAGTGGCTCGATATTGGCTCACTGCAAGCTCTGCCTCCTAGGTTCATGCCATTCTCCTGCCTCAGCCTCCTGAGTAGCTGGAACTACAGGTGCCCGCCACCACGCCTGGCTAATTTTTTGTATTTTTTAGTAGAGGCGGGGCTTCACCGTGTTAGCCAGGATGGTCTCGATCTCCTGACCTCATGATCCACCTGCCTCGGCCTCCCAAAGTGCTGGGATTACAGGCGTGAGCCACCATGCCCAGCCACTTATTACATTTTCTATGCAAACAATTATCCATATCTAAATAATTCTGTGTATGTGTGTGTGTATGTGTAGAGAGTTTCTTTCTTTTCAATTCCTTCCTCCCTTCCTCCTTTTCTTCCCTGACTCCAACTTCCTTTTCTTCTCTCTCTCCTTCTTCCTCTCTTTCTACTCTTTCTTTACAATAATAATTTTTTTTTTGTTTTTGACATGGAGTTTCATTCTTGTCACCCAGAGTGGAGTACACTGATGTGACCTCGGCTCACTGCAACCTCTGCCTCATGGGTTCAAGTGATTCTCCTGCCTCAGTGTCCTGAGTAGCTGGGATTACAGGCACCCACCACCATGCCCAGCTAATGTTTGTATTTTTAGTAGAGACAGGTTTTACCATGTTGGCCAGGCTGGTCTCGAACTCCTGACCTCAGGTGATCTGCCCACCTTGGCCTCCCAAAGTTCTGGGATTATGGGTGTGAGCCACCACCCCTGGGCTACAATAATGATTATATGCTATTAAACTACACATTTCCTAATACTTTATTTAGAAATTTTGCATCTATGTTCGTAAGTTATTTGTAACTTAATTATGAGTAATTTTTAGTGCATAATTAATTCCTAAGTTTTCTTTCTCATGTTGTCCTTGTATAGTTTGGTGGCATTGTTACGTTTGCCTTATAGTCTGAATTGGGGTATAATCCCCCTCATTTTATTCTTAGGGAAAAAAAAACTGTTTCAGATTAAAGTAATCTATTCCTTTAAAGTATGCCTGTATTTGCCTAAAAAACCATTTGAGCCTCGGTTCATATTTGTGTGTATATATGTGTGTCTGTGTGCATGTTTGTGTGTGTCAGTGTATGTATGAAAATTTAAACATATTGATTCAACTTCTTTAATTGTTATTAGATGATTCAGGCTTTCTATTTCTTCTTAAATTTATTAAATTATATTTTTTCTAGGAATTTTTTATTTTAGTTAAGTTTTAAAATTTACTGTCACAAAGATTTTTAGTATTCTCTTTTTAAATCTATTCTAAACAATTTCTAGTCTTGTTTATTTCTGTCTAGTTTCTTTTCATTAATCAACCTTTCCAAAATTCTCTTTATTTTTCTTGTTCTTTCAAAGAACGAACTTTTGCCTTTACCCTTTGCTGATCCAATTCTATCTTTATGTTTTGTTTCCATGATTTTTGCGCTTATTTTTTCCTTTTTTGTTGTTCCTTTCTAAAACGTTTTATTTATATGTCAGATTATTAGTTTTCAGCCTTTCTTCCTTTCTAATAATATACTAAAGCTGTAAATTTTTCTGTGATTTCTGCCTTGGCCCTCTTCTACAAGTATTGATAGGTAGATCTTTCATTACAATTTATTTTTAA
Organism: Homo sapiens; assembly: GCF_000001405.40. Lineage (NCBI taxonomy): Eukaryota > Metazoa > Chordata > Mammalia > Primates > Hominidae > Homo > Homo sapiens. The sequence goes on from NC_000002.12 coordinate 49,158,931, forward strand.
ATATTTCTCAATTTCCCATTACAATTTCTTCTTTGGCACATAGATAATTGAGAGGTGTGGTTTTGAAACTTACAAACTTCAGAAATATTTAAATTTATCTTTTTTTGTTACTGACCTCCAACTTAATTGCATAATGGTCAGAGAATGTTGTCTGTGTTGATTGTATTTTTCCCCCAAACATGTTGAGATGTGTTTTATGGCTTAGGACACAAGTTAATTTTTACAAATACTTAATGTGAGTTTGAGAAGAATCAACATTCTCTGTTTACTTGTTTCCAGGTTCTATTTTTGCCCCATAAATTCAGCTTATTTTCCTAAAATCTATATATTTACTAACATTTTAAGTTTTACTTAAACTAATTGAAGTATTTCTGTTGAAATTTCACATGATTCGGATGATCCAAGTCTCTACAGTTCTGTCAGTTTTAGTTTTTCTTTATATATTTCAAGGCTATTTTCTTTGGGCCATGAACATTTAGAATGGTATACCTGGTGAATTAAACCTTCTATCTTTTGTCACATCTTACTTTACTCATAATACTGCCTTTTATCTTGAAGTCTATTTTATGTGATACTAATATAGATATACCAGCTTTTTCTACCTTTGTACTTTCAACCTTTCTGTGTCTTTATGTTCTAGGCATGTCTTTCATAATCACCTAACTGAATTTTGTGTTTTAATCCATTTCTACAATCTCATTCTTTTAACAGGTGAGCTTAGTCATTTACATTTTATTGCTCTATATAATATTGATCTATATAAATGCTTGTTTTTCTACTATGCAACATGCTTTCTATTTGTTCTAGTTTTACATGCTTTTTTTTCCTTTTATGCTTTTTGTTTTATTTGTTGAGTTTTTGTGTGCTGTTTTTTTAAATTGCTTTTTGTTTTCTTGTTTTATTTTGTTTCATTTACTCTTTTGCAAGTTTTATACTTTCTTTATAAATGTTTATGGTTAATCTCAAATTTTTATCTTTGACATTATGCTTTTACTGTATACTTATACCTTTTACTTAATGCAGTTTAATTTTATCAGTATTCTAACTCCCCTTCTAACAAATACATAAACTTTACATTGTTAAGGTTATTTGCTGGTTAGGTAACATGCATTCATTGTTGTCTAGGATCTTAGTTTTACAGTATTATATACCCTCATTATTTTATACCTTCAATATTTGCTTAGATTCCTTGCCACTCTGCACCATGTCACTGGAGCTCCTAGGGGTTTATTTTCCTTTGCCTTTGCAGATACTGTATTGCAAAGCCTTGAGAAGCATTGTGTATAACCAAGTATAATCTCATTCCAAAAAAAGGACCCAAGTAATTGAAGACAGCTAACTTCACAGATATGCTAGTAAATGCTCAACAACCAGCTCTCCAGAAAAAAAAAAAAAAACTCATTTGTAGCATTCGTTAATTTCCATGGTGTAACCTCTCCCTCTGCAGCTTATATCAAGCTACCCATGTGATGCCAACCAGCCTGCAAAATTCCCATTTAGCAATCTGTTCTTGTGAGCTGGTAGGAGCTGGTTCCAGCACATCACCAGCTATTTTGTACTTTTTGAATCATCTTTTTTACTTGTTGAGGCAATCTCCAATTCCTTCAGCCATTCCTTATCTGACATAGTTTTAAATGTGCTGCATTTTGTCTGGATTTTCATTCTAGAATAACCTCCAACCTCAGTTGCTTTACCTCAGGGACTAGAACTTACAGTGTTGTTCTGGGTTGTTTAACTCTATCTTAAGTTATATGAGCTTTATGAGAGTCTGGCCAGACAGAAAGTGTTTTAGGGCGTGAATATATACGGCCTGCTCTCTGAAGCAGCTATCTGGAGTTGCATTCTTCTTCCAGAGTGAGGAGAAAGGCTACTCATACTAGAATTAGAGAATTGGGCATAGCAGTTGTGGCAACAACGTTTGGCTGCAGTATTAGATGCAAAAGGGGGAAAAAATAACTCCTCTGATATAAAAGGGAATCATGTATAGAAAACGAGGCTTTAACATCTTAGCAGGAGATTAGTGGTGATAAACTGGAATTAAATGCCTTATTACTAAGTGTTCATCCCTTAAAAATTATGTGGAATACAGAACCTTTTTCTACCTCTGTAAATCTCCCACCTGACCACCTTTATTCTTTTAAACTTATCACTAGCACTCCTTGCGTGTCCTCACGGTTATTCTACTTTATGAAGAACTTTCTTTTGAGGTTATTTTCTAGTTATTCCTTATTTCAGAGGACCCTTTGCATTTGGCACTGCCTTCAGGTTGCTCAGACTTCCATAGGGATTAAGAACTATGCAAACATTAGGTAGTGATGATTATGATGGTTATGATTATGATTCACATCTTAGGAATCTATCTGTTAGGAATTGTATTGGAAAGTCAAGGTCCATTTTAACTTCATGATTTTATAACTTAAAGTTTCCTAAATCTCAAAGATCTCAAATCTCAACAATGAGGCAGTAGCACATTTTTACACCACAAGGCTAGAGGACTAAATAGATCTTTCAGGCAGATTTTATTTCTTGGACTTTCATGGTTTCATGGAACTGTATATAATTCTTAATCAGAGAAGATTTGTCACCGGTTAGATAATTGAACTGGTTTATAAACAAATCTGTGAAATTAATTTCCGGGTCAATTTTTTTTTTCCTTTTTAGGGTAGTCATGTGAAGGTAAGGTCTCTGGGGTCAATTGGAAAACACCTGTGTATCTATTTGGCTGGAAAGAAAGCCATCCTAACAGTGGTGAAAGTTGCTATATAAAAAATAAAATCTTACAAGTAGGAGTGTAGAATGAGTTGAGGTAGGAACATTTGTACTGATGACTTTTCTGTCAAAAGGAAACTTAATCTAAAGAATATAAGATGATGTCACGCCTGTAATCCCAGCACTTTGGGAGGCTGAGGTGGGCGGATCACAAGGTCAGGAGATCGAGACCATCCTGGCTAACATGGTGAAACCCCGTCTCTACTAAAAATACAAAAAAATTAGCTGGGTATGGTGGCGGACGCCTGTAGTCCCAGCTACTCAGGAGGCTGAGGCAGGAGAATGGCGTGAACCTGGGAGGCGGAGCTTGCAGTGAGCCGAGATTGCGCCACTGCACTCCAGCCTGGGGGACAGAGCAAGACTCCATCTCGAAGAAAAAAAGAATGTAAGATGATGTTGTTTTCTTTCTTATGTATTGAAACAGTTAGATTTTTATACTTAACAAACAACACCAAATCATCATGTCTGAAAACAACCAGTATTCATTTTATTTGTGATTCTGGGGGCCAGCAGTTTGGTCTGGGTTCAGTTGAGCAGTTTTAGACTTGACTGGGATTAGCTATTGAGTCAGCTGGGATCTGGCTGGTGCCAGATGACTTCACCCGGGATAACTTAGCTGTGCTTCACATTCCCCAGCAGACTGCCTTGGTGGTATTCATCTGATGGCATTCCAAGAGGCTCAGAACTGCCATACCATACATAATTTTGCTGTGGTCTATTGGTCATACCAAGTCACAAAGTCCAGACCAGATTCAAGGAGTCAACCAGATTCTGTTGACCCCACCTCTTGAGGAGAGAAACACAATGTCACATTGCAAAGTGGTGTGCAAACAAAGGTAGAAATAAAGACAGCCACTTCTGCCAACAATTTACCACAGGTACCCAAGCACTTAGAGGACATCCTTGTCCATGCTTGGTAATACTTGCTTTCTTTATTATTGTTTTTCAAAGTACAAGTTAGGCCAACCAATAGAGAGACTGACAACAATGATGTTGAAGACTCATCTTTAGCCTTTAGAAATTTGTTCAATTACTGACTAAGCATGTTGCTGTCCCAAGAGGGAAAATAATGTAGGTTGGTCTTTTTAAAAATCTGTCGTTATGACGGGACCAAAGACATTTATTCGCCATTCAGAAATTCTTATTTGGTAGGTTTATATTTATTTTAAAAAACAAATTCCTTTTCTATTTAACACATTATCCTTTATTTTTGATTGTTTCTGTGAATGTAGTGTAGGCATACTATAATATTATAGGCTTTAAAATGTATACTATGAGATTTATGGCAGGAATAAAAATTCCTTGTAATATGGTGAGACCATAAAGATGTAGCTTGTGAATTTTTAGTACAACATGATCATCTTTGAATACTAAATATTTCCAGTTAGCATCCTTAAATTCGCATTATTATTAATATTAGAACCTTGCTCTTTTACACATTAAGCTTTCATATTTTATTGCTTTATCATATAATTTATATATTATACCATATAAATTATACCACATAATGTAAATTTTTATATTATGCCGTATAATACAAATTAAGGATAGAGCATATAGATAGAATTAGATGGGATTATGTAAATGTACCAGGATATTATATAGGAGGCTAGCATACCAGCTCTACAACCAGCCACACCTGGCCTGTTGGGGCATGGCACACCTTTAGCTTACTGAGACAGGACAGTCATGTAAGCCATAATGTTAATGAACCCTCTTGGGCTGAGCAGTGCACGACCTACACAATTGCACCTGGCTGTCTGCTGGTGATGAGTGCTGGACCTGTGGAGGGTAAGCTCACTGGATACTGGCAGTGGAGGCTGAGGAGAGGCACTTGACAGAGTACTCAGAGTGTTGGGAGGAGGTCAACAACCAGCAAAGGAAGGAACAGTATGCTGGAGTTGGAGATCTGGGCTCCAGTCATAGCTTTGTCATTATTGTAGAATCTCAGGACATTGCAATTATCTGGAGGTGTATTTCTTCTTCTCCAAAATGGGGGTGTGAACACTTACAGGGTTCTCACGAAGACAAAATGAGAGAAGCATGTGGAAATACTGTAAGAGAGACTGGTGTGAATGTATGATAATATTCTCCTCACAGCTGTTGTCATGAAAGGGAGAAGTAGACTGCTCATCACTGCAAAAGTGGGCCTTTTTCATGGCAATTTTTCAGTTTGCTTACATGGTGAAGGGGTGTACAGACAACTCTGACTATATGGATATTTGGACCTCCACGCCACTGACCATGCCTGAGCTGTCTGCCACAATTCTGCCATTGGCAACACATACCTTCACTCACCTGCACTTCCCCTTTTGAACCCATTCTCCCACTCAGGACTTGAGGAGGTCAGGGCTGACCTGTTGCCGGCAGAGTGAAGATTCGCCTTCTTTGACTTGTCCTTGACCACTTTGGATAACAAGTGAAGTGTATGGGCCAATTTACACAACAAAAATGTTACTGTGAAAACTTATCACAGGTGGGGGAAAAATGTAATTGTAAGCTTGTTGGGGAATTTAGTGCTGCTTTTAGATGAACAAAGTGGATTCTGAAATTCTCGTATTAGTTTAATTTTTTGTAGAGAGAAGTCTTGGTCTCTTTTAAAAATAAAATGGAGTAAATTTGCATCACATTTTAGTTGTAGCAAATGATCTATAGGTGACTGTTTTTATCCCCACATGTCTAGATTTCAGAGTAAGCAGAAATTGAAGGGGGGCATGTTTGGGAATTGGGGTACACTAATATGGAAATCATATGTCTTATGTTTTGACATAAGGAGCCAGTGGGAAAATGGGGAGCAGTAGTTCCAGATTTGACCAGGGAGAGTTTTCTAAAAATCTCAGGGCAGATAAATGTTCTCAGGAATACTTATGGTAAGACCAGTATTAATATAAATCTATACCCAATAGCTGCAAAAGAAGTCTGGCCCTAGGAGTTGATGTGTGTCAGTCTAGGATACTGCCCCTTCCCTTGGAAAACTCAAACATTTAGCCATGATAACATGACTGAATCATATAACATTCTTTATTTCACAGGCATATAATCAAATTAAAGTGTAGCAGCATACTTAGTAGCTAACTATGTATGCTGTGGTGCTTGAGGAAACACTGATTTTAAGCTGAGCTGGCAGTGAAGATAAATAGATTTGGCAATTTTCTAGCTGATCTGGTTCTTGCACTCACTTAAACCTCTCAATCAAACTCCTAGTTAAACAAAATATTTTAAATATGTATATATATGCAGCATATACACATATTCAACACATAACAACATCTCAGGGTAGGGTCATTGTTTATGAAAGCAGGAGTGTCAGTTGTCAGCAACACAGCACTGCAAGCTGAAAATCCAAGGCCTATTTTCTATTTTTATACTTTGGAATGAAGAAAAATAATACTGTGTTTCCATTATTTATGAACACGGTTAAAAAAAGAGAGAAGCAGCGAAATTTCACTGCTTTCAAAGAATAATTTATTTTTATTCCACACGGGGCCTCTAACCTTTCCTCATAATCTCCCCTTCCCTGTGGGTACCTCAGGCAACCCTGGTGGTGTGAAATCTTGGCTCCTGCTGGGGAAGGGGAAAGAGAGCTGGTGGGCTCTGGCTGGGAGTGTTCACTGAGCTTGGGAGGCAACCGATTAATTGATCAGAAATGTATTGAAGGGTTGCAGGCACAGCTGAGGTATAAAATGGAGACTTTGTCCTCAAGGAATTTACTGACTCACAGGAGAGTTGAGAGCAATGTGTATAAAAAGAGGAGCCCATTTATAAGATATGGAGAGTCACATACCTAAATTCTTCAGAATTCAGATTTAGGCTATGAAACAGCTTCTACTTATTTTGTGCTAATTTTGTGCTAGACATCAGGCTAAATATCTTACATAATCTCTGATCCTCATACCAACCCTACAACGCAGCTCTGATTATTCTCATTTTATGGACGGAAAGGGTGAGGCTTAGAGAGATGAAGTGAATGTGCCCTAGTTCACACAGCTGGTAAGTGATAAGCCCAGGCTTCAAACACAGGTGTGATGGTTTTCAAGCCAGCACCCACTCCTTGGGGACAGCTCTGTCCTAGAAAGCCAGGGCAGCAGGGAGATGGACTGAGGGACCGGGAAGAAGGAGGCTGAGGCTGGTTGACTCTCAGGCTGACACTGACTTCTGCAGGACTACACAGCCACCCTTCCTGGGGAGAAGAGTCCCTCCCTCGGTTGCCTTGGTGACCCAGGAAGACTATGGTCCCTCTTTCGTTTCTGCCAGATGGTCCTGCTGAATCATTCCCACCTCATTGTAGCTAAATTACCTGCCTTAGTTCTATATTTTTATTTCTGTGGCTCTGACATAATGGGAAATAGCTCAGTTTTAATGCTAGTTTTGAGAGTGAGGTTTCTAAAGAAATGATTTAACTTACCTTGTAAACCAGAACAATTTTGAGAGTGAAAGGAGACTCTGTTAGTAATTACTGCCAGGACTATCCAAGGCATCCAGGACTTAAAATCATTCTACCAATATGGGATCAAAGGATATAGTTAACATGGAAATGAGACCCACATTATTCAGACAAGAACATCTTTAGGGCATCGAGCAGCCAAATGGAAGTGAACTCCATTGACAGCAGTAGTGGTTATCTGCTGCCTGATGTTAGGGTACAAATTTGGGCAGCGTAGTCCTCAACCTTCACCCACCCCTTACTAAGCCAAGGCAGCCCTGATTTACTGTGTCAGGGTGACATTGTTTTGTGGAAACCTCTTGCCTACTGCCAAAGTTAGTGAATTTGCACCGTTCTAACTTACAGGATTTAAATAACTTCTAATCCTTGAAGGCCTTTTACCTCTTTTCTGCTTAAAGTTTACAAATTGGACTGCAACCGCAAATACTGAAGTTTACCCACATAGAAATTCTGGCAAGAATCTGAAAGAAATCACATACTGACAAGCTGGGCTCCAAAAGAAAGAAAGGAGGTGAGGCATGAGGAGGGAAGAATGGGAGGATTGGAGGAGGAAGGGAGGGAGAGAGGACAGTCTAGGTGACTTTAAACCAACATGATCCAGGAACATCTTCCAATGTGACAGTGGCCTTCTAACACAAGGCTTCTCTTTTCAATCCCTGACCCTCTTGTCATTTGTTCTTTTCAGGTTGACAAATGGGTGTTGGTTTATGACAGCATCATTGATCAAATGACACGTTGTCTTGTATTATGTCTAGTAATAAAAAAAAAGACATAAAAATGCTTCTTGGAATAACTAGACAGTGTCAGTTTAGATAGTAACTTCCAGTCCTAAATCTCTCTGGGAATGAAAACAAATTCCATTTATCTAAAACCAAGGTGTTTTTCATTACTAATGCTGAAAATAATGCTTACTTTGAGATGAGAGGGTCGTCAACAATTTTCATCAAACCACCCCAATGAGAGTGGAGTTTTCCAAAGAGAGCCTCAATAAGGTCAACATTTCTTTGGTGTCTCTTATTTTATATTATAAATGTATGCAAATTTTACATTCTCTTTTACAATAGAGTCATGTTTATTTTACTATCAAATTTCTCAAAATATTTTTAGTAAGAGGTATGTGCAGAGATGAAAAGATGAGCCATTTTTATTCTGCAGCTTCATGTTTCCCTTTGGCATCATTCCAGGCCCTTCATTCTCAGAATGTGGGGATGAAACCACCCCAGAGCAGCTGACAGAAGGGAAGAGTTAATTATTTTAAAAGTTATAAACATAGATTTTTGATGATAAAAGTCAACTGTGAATCTGGAAATACTAATTTATTTCAAAGCTTTAAAAATAGTTTATTAAACTAGAAGCACAGTATTGAATAAAGAAGTTACTCTGATGATATTATTACACATTTTAGCTGACAAGAAAGACAGGTAGAGGATATACAGAGAAAAATAGTCTACTAAAGTCTTTGTACGGACCAAATAAAACCTGTAGTGACTCTTTTCTCCCAAAATATTCCATTATCCATAAGTGTTCCCTTGGTTTTTATCAGAAAGATAATTTACAATTTTGAACTTCAGGATAAGTAGAAGTGAAATGAAGTCATAAAACTGTATGTGAAGATTTTTTTTTTTTTTTTTGAGATGAAGTCTCACTCTATTGCCCAGGCTGGTGGGCTGAAGTACAGTGCTGCTCACTGCAGCCTCCAACTCACAGGCTTAAGTGATCCTCCTGCCTCAGCCTCCCAAGTAGCTAGGACTACAGGCATGTGCCACCAGACCCAGCTAGTTTTCAAATGTTTAGTAGAGATAAGGTCTTCCCGTGTTGCCCAGGCTGGTCTTGAACTCCTGGCCTCAAATGATTCTCCCACCTTGGCCTCCCAAAATGCTAGGATTACAGGTTTGAGCCACCACACCCAGCTGAGGACTCTTAATAACTCTGAATTTACCCTTCTTTTTGCTGGAGACTTGCTTTTATTTCTGAGGTAAAGGCAGATGAGTATGAACTTTGGCATTCATGGAGTAGACTTAAAACAGAAAACAGATGTACTTTCAAACATATTGATTTTCTGATAAGAACAATTAACCTCAGTATAAATCTGTTGACATAATATGGTTCTTCATTACACATTACTGTCAGCATCCTAAAAACAACAGCAGCAACAAACAGAAAACCAAAAACGAATGACTACCTTAAAGCCAAAACAAAACACAGTAAAACTGAAGATGTTGATAACATTAAAGGAAAAAGGCAAACTTGATTTTAACATTGTCTTACTTTTTGAAATTTCAAGTAAGTGTGTTGATGTATGTAATTACATTTATTTTCACAGTGAAATTCTTTTACAATCATTTAGTCACTGGAGTCTGGTCTTGCTTGACACGTGAAGATTTGGTCCCAAGAATGCGTAGCACCATTTCCACCATATGCTTTGGGAATGATTGAAAACACAAAGGCCATATCTGCGTTTTTAATGCTCTTCATTCACTGTCCAGATCTCTATTGAGTCTCTGCTATGTCTTAGGCACTGTGCTTGATGCTGAATAAATTAAAATGGATAGAACGTACTGCCTGTCTTCTTATCTCACAGTCTAGAGTACAGACAGTGAAGGTGTGCTGTATTCTGTTAGGTGAACTTGGCCAAAGCTGGAAATTTTATTTCCCGGGACAATAACCTTCTCTGACTGGTTTTTTGAAAGAACTTGCTTGCAATTTGCTTACAGAAATGAAGTAGAATTCATTACTCTCAGAAGGTTGTCACCATCGACCATGGTGATAGACAGATGCAGAGGTGCCCGATGGGCTCCTCCTCTTCCCCTCCAACTTGTCTTCACTCAGTGGCCCCAGGCCTACCACCAGGTTCTTGGCTGGGGACACACCAAAACTGCATCTCTGCACAGGCAACTCTTCCCAGGAAAAACAATTTTTGTAGACTTCATAAGCTCTCCTTTTTTGTGGTTTCACTTTGGTGGCTTTTTCAATTTCATTTCAAGCTCCTGCTGGTTGACCCGTGCCTTTGCTTCAGGGCACCTGGCTAGTGACTAATTTTTTTTTACCATCCAACTCTCCCTTCCAAATTTTCTTTTCCTCAGCTCCTCCCATATTTTTATAAGGGCTAACACCTACAATCAATTTTTTATTCCCATAACACTTATGGTAAATCTAATTTTCTGTCTGAATCCTATACAAACCCTTACAAGAGAATGTTATAATGAAGACAAGTAGTGAGCATTAAGGAAGATCAGAAAGGAATGACATCTCACCCATATTGGGTGGTGTCACGAACCTGATCAGGGAAGGCTTCTGGGACTAGGTGAGGCAGGCCTGGCAAAGCTGGTAAGGGCATTCCAGAGAGATGCTATGTGATATGATTTGGCTCTGTGTCCCCACCCAAATCTCATCGTGTAGCTCCCGTAATTCCCATGTGTTGTGGAAGGGACCTGGTATGAGATGGTTGAATTATGGGGGTGAGTCTTTCCCATGCTGTTCTTGTGATAGCAAATGGGTCTCATGAGATCTGATAGTTTTAAAAAATGGGAGTTGCCCTGTACAAGCTCTCTCTCTGCCTGCTGCCATCCATGTTAAATGTCACTTGCTCCTCCTTGCCTTCCACTATGATTGTGAGGCCTTTAGCAAAGACACTGGCAGCATTTTGCCCCTTTCCTAGAGATGTGTGGAAATTTGAACTTGAGAGAGATGATTTCGGGTATCTGGTGGAAGAAATTTCTAAGCAGTAAAGCATTCAAGAGGTGACTTGGGTGCTGTTAAAGGCATTCAGTTTTAAAAGGGAAACAGAACATAAATGTTTGGAAAATTTGTAGCCTGACAATGCAGTAGAAAAGAAAATCCCATTTTCTGAGGAGAAATTTAAACTGGCTGCAAACATTTGCATAAGTAACAAGCAGCTGAATATTAATCACCAAGACAATGGGGAAAATGTCTCCAGGGCGAGTCAGAGACCTTTGTGGCAGCCCCTCCCATCATAGCCTCAGAGGTTTAAGTGGAAAAAGTAGTTTCAACGGCTGGCCAAGGGTCCCTGTGATGTGTGCAGCCTAGGGACTTGGTGCCCTGCATCTCAGTCACTCCAGTCATGACTGAAAGGGACCAACACAGAGCTCAGGCTGTGACTTTAGAGGGTGCAAGCCTCAAGCCTTGGCAGCTTCTACGTCGTGTTAAGCCTTTGAGTCCACAGAAGTCAAGAATTGAGGTTTTGGGACTTCTGCTTAGATTTCAGAGGAAATGTGGGGTCAGAGTCTCCACACAGAGTACCTACTGGGGCACCACCTAGTGGAGCTGTGAGAAGAGGGCCACTGTCCTCAAGACCCCAATGGATCTACCGATCCATTGACAGCTTGCACTGTGCGCCTGGAAAAGCCACAGACACTCAACGCCAGCCTGTGAAGGCAGCTGGGAGGGAGGCTTTACCCTGTAAAGCCACAAAGGTGGAGCTGCCCAAAACTATGGGAACCTACGTTTTGCATCAGTGTGACCTGAATGTGAGCCATGGAGTCAAAGGAGATCATTTTGGAGCTTTAAGATTTGACTGCCCTGCTGGATTTGGGACTTGCATGGGGCCTGTAGCCCCTTTGTTTTGGCCAATTTCTCCCATTTGGAATGGCTGTATTTACCCAATGGCTGTACCTCCATTGTATCTAGGAAGTAACTAACTTGCTTTTGATTTTATAGGCTCCTAGGCAGAAAGAACTTGCATTGTCTTGGATGAGACTTTGGACTGTGGACTTTTGAGTTAATGAGTTTATGGGACAGTTGGGGAGGCATGATTGGTTTTGAAATGTGAAGACATGAGATTTGGGAGGGGCCAGGGGCAGAATGATATGGTTTGGCTCTGTGTTCCCACCCAAAATCTCATCTTGCAGCTCCCATAATCCCCACGTCTTGTGGGAGGTACCCAGTGGGAGATGATTGAATTATGGGGTGGGTCTTTCCTGTGCTGTTCTTATGATAGTGAATGGGTCTCATGAGATCTGATGGTTTTAAAGAACGGGACTTGCCCTGCACAAGCTCTCTCTTTGCCTGCCACCATCCATGTAAGATGGGACTTTTTCCTCCTTGCCTTCCACCATGATTGTGAGGCCTCTCCAGCCATGTGGAACTGTAAGTCCAATTAAACCTCTTTCTTTTGTAAATTGCCCAGTCCTGGGTAGGTCTTTATCAGCAGCATGAAAATGGATTAATACAGTAATCCAACCTTGTGGAGCTGCAAATAATTCTGTGTGACCAGATCACGAGACACATGTGGAGAGGTGTTGTGAGAGTTAAGTTTGGAGAGGTTACACAGGAGGCAGATCATAAAATTATTTTATGCCTGACCAGGGAGTCTGTGTTTTATGGACAATGGGGGATCTTGAAGTGGTTTGAAGTAAGTAAGAGATCGATGAAGTTTACTTTGGAAAATTTCTCTGGCAGCTATATAGAGGCTGAATGGTAGATAATCAAAATTAAAATCAGGGGGGCCAAGAAGAAGCCTGTTACATCAGTCCAAATTAAAACAAAATGCAAACATCACTGACAGAGAGGAAGAGGGACAGAAGAGAAAGAGGGAATGTTACCCTATGATGGGCTGAAGCATGAAATTTGTGCAAAATGCTGAGAAGGAGAGGTCAGAGAATTTGAAGGAGAATCAGAAAAGAGTGGGAACAAAGGGAGGGGAGAACTTTAACAGAGGGAAGTGGTCAATAGTGTAAGGAAATTAGGAGGATAGAGAACTGCCCATTCTTTTTCAACCATGTAGATATCATTGGTGACCATAGGTGAAGTAGTTCCTGTTGTATTTGTTTTATTATTCTTCACTAGCCTTCTGGACATGGAAACTCTTGAGAAAATTGCATTGTAAATACAGCGAATCTCTGCAGTTAAGGGAACACAACACCCTTAGCTCCGGCAACCAGTTAACTTTTCTCAATCACAAGTCCAAAGAGGCTGATCGAGGTCTTAGAAGCCTCCTTTTCCTCTGACCTATTGCCCTCAAAAGAACTCAATTCTGACTTGTATATGTGGCCAGCCATTTAAAACCTTTAATAGCTTGTCAGTAAATTGAATGATGATGGAGAGAGGTGGGAAAAGAGATGTCTTTTCCTAAATCTGAAGCTTGCTTTGTCTCGACCTCTTTAGTCAGAAATAGTTTTTTGATTCTCTGAGTGAGCCATCATCATCGTTCATGAGGCCATGCATGGGGTGATTCTCCATTGCTCTCTCCGCTGTAGGACTCATAGGCACCTGCCCTCAACCCAGGTGACCCTGAAGAAGAAACTTCACCATATTAATAAGACCACAGAGGCTTACACCAGAGGATAAACATCCTAGATGAAGTTAATTATTGAGTTCACAGAAATTCACTTTATGATTTGCGTTCTCCTGACATTTTTAACAAATGTTAAATTAACAAATGTTAATTTGGTCTTTTTCCTTTCTAAAAATCTATCTATTTAGTTTGTAAAGAGTGGGATAAGCTACAGTTTCCATGGAGCAATCTCTTCCTCCCGCAGAGCTGGTGACTGAGGAGTGGCTTTTGCTATGTCCTTGTTTGTTAACCCAGTTGCTCTAGGTTAACCACTAGCTTATTCCAGAGAAGGAGCAATTTGAGGCACCAAAAACTTTCCTCTTATACAGACAGATTATGAACCTGGAAATGACTACTCATACTTTGACATCCTGCTGTTAAAATGCAACCCTCCCAACCTGCCTAGCACCTCCCCTACACACTCACAACATTCACCCACAAATGGCCACCCAGTAGATTTTAACTGCTTTGAGAGAAGGGGCCGTGTTTTATTTACCTTTGTGTCTCTAATTCCAAGCATGTGTCTGGCACATTTATCATATAAATGGTAAATGTAACTGGAAAGCCCCCCTTATTTTCTTCCTAAAATGGGTACTAAATGTTTCATGAATAACTTTTTTTTGAAAATCCATCTTTCTCCTAGTTTTCTCTTCCAGAGGGGCTCCCCAAGGAAGCCTTAGAGGTTCTTCAAACTAATCTTAGTAGTCACTTGTTATCCTGTCCACCAACTCAGCTCTAAAGCATTGTTTTCCCCCAATGCCACATTATCACATTATCTTATAATTCATTTCTCCTGGCTGCTGGTGGGCACAGTCTCCTCTTCAAAAGTACAGCTAAGGCCAGATTCATTTATGGATTGCTGATGAAGTAATAGAAGCACCACCCCAAGTATAATGTGCATTGTCGCAGCAGTGGCTGCTTCTGCAACCCACAGACACTAATCTGTGAGCCTGAGAATGTTTTATTTCCTCTTCAATATGAACTTCCATTTGTTTCAAGGGAACTCTAGAAAAGTCAGTGGCAATAGTCAACAATATATTTTCCCAAGTCTACAGTATTCTTATTTAAATAATGCCATATAAGGAGCATTAATTATTAAACTTGCTTTTTAGAACAGTTATCAAAATCTTTAAGGGTACATCCTGGCTTACCATGGATGGATCAAATTTACCCAACTAATAAATGCAAACTTCAGCCTACACCACCTGCAGTCACATTTGTGGGGGAATCACAGCTTTCTCTGAGAACAATCGTTGGTATTTACATGATTTCTATGTAATCCTGTTGATTTCTCCAGAACTGAGGAAGTTGGTGTCAATAGTTTCAGATTCCCAAATAGCAGTTTTGTCATTAAAGTACAATTACAACATTTAAAGTTTGTCTTGATTGGTACCCCATTGTGTAAGTGTTTATTGAATTAAATGGATTTTAGAATCTTGTGATTAAAAAAAAGCTTACTCTTAATAATTGCTTCTCAAACAATGGCAAATAGAGCAAATGGTAAAGGCTAGAGAAATTCCTCTAAAATTCTGCATCATTAGCATGTTATTGTTGCTGTTGTCATTTGAAAATAGGAAGTGGCAGTATTTCATCTTAATAGAGAAGAAAAATGGCTCTTGATTCTTCCCTGTTCTTGTGTACCCTATTCCCTTTCTAATCATACGTATAATGTGAGAATCCCCTGCTTCTACATATCTTACTCAGATGAAGCAGAGTGTTTTAATGAGAAAAGCATAAATTGGGAGATCCGTAACTTCTCCCCATGATTTTGGACAAAAATATTTGGGCTACAGTTTCCTTATCTATTCAGAGGGGGTGATGAGTTTGTCTTCTCACAGGGTAAAATAAAACAATTCAATGTAGGACTCAGAGCCATTACTTTACTTACTGGTGAACCTCTCTTGGGGAAATATGGGTGCTGGGAAATAGATGGTTCTATATCTGTGGGTGGGTTACACAGAAACAGGAGTGTGGGCCTATGTTTAGGTTCCAGGGGAAAGGTGCTGAGAATGGAGCCTCGGCATGTGTTTGAGAGGTGACTCCAGGACCAAGGTTTTCAACAGTGGAGAGTCCTTGAAAGAGCTATGCCACTCCCTGCATACTGGATGCTAGGAAATGAGCATACATGGTCTGTGATTCTCAGACTGGAGCTCATGGACAAAAACTTTCAATAGTCCAAATGTTTCATAAAAGAATGTTTTAAAAATTATGTTGCATTTCAGTTATAATGCATTGCCTGACAGGCATATTTAGGCATTTTAAAGATCACTCATTCCAAGAATGGAGCACAGTTTCCATGTGGACATTTACATTTGTTTTTATAAATGTTATTTTCACTAAATGAAAGTCAAATGATGTCAGGGAGTGATGCATTAATGAAAGTATCACAGGAAGAAACGTGATGGGAGAGCTGAGCCATCAGAGGGCACAAGGACAGACATGCCTGTCAAATTCACAATATGCTTCTGCACAGGCGCTCCAAAATTGTGCAGACACCCTCTACAGATCCCATCTTTGAACAAGCCAAACTGTCACCGCTCATTCCTTGTAAGCATGGCCAGGCACATGAAATGAGACCTGCTTCTGGCAATCAGGATTTATTTAATGAAAATTTCAATAATGCTGGAATCATAACCTTCTTTTCAAGCAAACAAGACAGCATTACAGAGTTATCAAATGACACTTAATTAAAATTGGCACTTGAAGATTGTTTGTTGGCAATGTTTTGGAAAAATATGAGGTCTATTTGTTGTGAACCAGCAAGCAAAGCTTTGAAATAATTAATAACATACTTATGCTAACAGGCATTATCTGAATTACTGAAGCCAAAATACCAACAAAAATTATTCAGTATAGAACCTGACCTGAGGCTCATCTTTTTCCTATTAAAACCAATACTGAAGATCTAGTTTCAGCAGAACAACATGCTTTATCACAGTGAATTAATGTTTTTAATTTGAATTTTATTGGTCTTATAGCTTAGTTATTACATGTTTTTAATGTATATGTTTGGTTTTGGTTTAATGATTTTAGGAGGAGTTTATAGCTAGTTTTAGTCAGTACTGGAGATCCACAGGAATGTTTTTCTCTTTTAAAGGGATCTGTGTATCATTCAAATTTGGGAGGCACTGGTACAGGGGTTAAGAGCACAGAGTTTAACATCAGACCTGGGTTCAAAACCCAAGCTCTCACACTTAAAAACCGTGTAAACTTGAATGTGTTATTTAATTGAATTGTGTTTCATTTTCCTGATCTGCTAAGATTGATATAATAAAAGCAATAATCATTATCATAATTATAATTACAATGACTTACATCATTGGAATAAATAAAATAATAGCTCCCTAGTATAAAGATCTCTGGCATATAGTAGGTGCTTAATAAAAGTGAGTCATTATCATCATCAACATTTTTTAAACTTTGGTCTGAGAGACCCAAGAGTTGGCACAGCCAGATAAGGAGGTAAGAGATGCAGGAGGAGCAGCTGCTAGGAGTCATTGCTTTCAACAGGAAACGTTTTTTAAGGGTCATTGGACTGCAGCAGCTGCAGGAACTACCATTATCTCTGGAAGCAACTGAGGATGTCTGTCTGTGGACACCTCATTGCCTGGAGGTCCCACCCCTTCTAACAGCACTATAGCATTAGTCACCTCTGGAGAGGAAAGCAGTTGTTGCAGTCCTCGTCTCCTAGACCGATGCCTCCTGAACTGTGTTGACCTCCTTAGCACAGCTCCCTGCTGTGTACTCTCACAGTCACCCCTTGCATCTATCCCTTTGTATGGATTTTCAGGTCTTGGCTCTTGGTTTTCCTCATATTATGTCTGTCGTGGACATTCAAGGGACATCCTAGCCTCATCCATTGTGTTTCCTGGGACCGTTGTGGCTGCCATTCCCTCTGCGTTTCCCCAGAGCCCAAAAGGGGAAGGCAGAGGCTTCCTATGGGAATAAGATGGCTGGTGGGAGGAATTCATGGTGTAAATTACTTTCTCCTGTTGTTTTCCTCCTTTAATGCCTAGGGTTTGTTGAAACGTATCTCGAAGATATATTTCACAGAACTAACAGAGGTCCTGATCAGATTGCCCCGTGGGGTTCCTTCAAACCTAGCCTCCTCCTGCAGTTGCTGCTATCACAAGTTTCTCACATTTGGTTAGGACATCTCAGAGCTACTGCCTAGTGAATCTGGGGAGAGAATGGGGACTGAGGTTGGGTGAATATGAAAGGGCAAAGCTGATCTTGATGGAAAGGAGACAGAATCCTATATGGATGATGGAAAGAGAAGAAAAAGGGTAGCCTGTTTCAGCCTTGCAGACCACATAGAATGTTCACTGTGATTATTATTATTTTTTTTTCAAAACCACTTGCAAACCTGGTTGAACTCCCACCGAAATCCAGCCTGATTCCTTAACATGTGGTCAGTGGTGAGATTTGCTGATGTGGGCATCTGGTTAGAGTTGCATTAACAGGTAGTACACACCCCTCCTCTCTTCCCAAACCGCAAAACTCTACGGACAGATTTTTTTCCTCTTCTTCTTTTTCCTAGAGCATCTCAGAGCCTTTCTGTGTTCCCAAAAGGCATGAATTATTCACCGTATATAGCATCAAGCTTTAAAAAGCTTACTTTTAAGAAAGTAAAACTGCCCAAACCACCCAATAATTTGCTTCTGCCTTCATTTTCATTAACTGAACAACATCTTTAGAATTATTACTCACTTTCCTTCCTGCCATCTTTTTGTTGGTTTGATTCTCTTTTTTACTTCAACACTCCCCCTCCCCCTGTACCACCAAGAATGTAGAGGATTCATCCTTGTCTTGCTTCTGGCATGTCCAGGCCAAGGGTGTGGTTTATACTTGTAGTCAGGTTTCCATGTAAATGTCATCATCTTCATTTTAAATACCTTCCTGACCATACATGGAAAGACAGGATATCTCTCTTGTATAGTATCAGCCCAGCTGCTAATTCTGCTGACAGAAGGTATTGACCACCTACCTGCATCCCTTTAGCATTTCTTAAGATTCAGGAAGCACCTACAGCTTAGGTTTGCATTCCACCACTGCCATCAACTGAAGTAGGGACTTTGGCCAATAGCGGAGTCTTTCTGAGCCCCAGTTTTCTCATCTGCAAAAGATGATAATAATTATCCAGCAGCATGGTGAAGGTTAGAGACACGATGCCTACCCAGCATCACCTAGCATAGAGAAAGTATTTAGTGGTAAAAATAATTTTCTTTTTTTAAATTTTTGTGTTTTTTTGAGGCAAGGTCTTGCTCTGTCACCCAGGCTAGAGTGCAGTGGAATGATCATGGCTCACTGCAGCCTCGACCTCCCAGCCTCAAGCAATCCATCTACCTCAGCATCCTCAGTAGTTGGGACTACAGGCATGAACCACAATGCCTGGCTAATTTTTTAAAGAAAATTTTGTAGAGAGGAGATCTCACTATGGTTGTCCAGGTTGGTCTTGAACTCCTGGGGTCAAGCGATCCTCCTGCCTTGGTCTCCCAAAGTGTTGGGATTACAGGAGTGAGCTACCACATCTGGCCTAAATAATTTTCTTGATCAAGCTGGGTGTAGTGGTATGTACCTATAGTCCCAGCGACCTGGGATGCTGAAGTGGGAGGATCCCTTGAGCCTAGGCCTTCAAGTCCAGTTTGGGCAACACAGTGAGACTCTTTCTCTTAAAACAAAATTGCTTTATTTATTATCCATAGTCCAGATTAATGATATTTTAGCTCCTGGCTTCACCAATTGCAGCCTTCTGATATTAAAAAAGAAAAAAAAAAAACCTGGCATGATCCTTTTGTGTTTGCAACGGGACACAGCATATGCTAAATGCATTTGTAGGTAAATACTAAGACCAAGAGACAGTAGCAACTTGAAAAGAAACCTTATACCTTGAGTGTTAGACGTTCAGGAGCTAATAGTCATCAGATTTGAGTTCAAATTCTGTCTTGGCCACTTAGTTGACCAGGTGACTTTGGGCAATTGATTTCATGTGGGAATCATTTCATCTTCCTAAGCTGATTTTCTCATGTGTGAAATGGGGACCATACAAGCACCTAACCATGTAGGAGTTCAGTCAGGGTGGTAGGTGAAATTATAAAATAGACACAAACCTTCTTGGAAGGCCAGAAGGTTTTGCAAAAGCCTTAAGATAGGGTTATGACTGAAGGCAGCCTACTCTTCTTACCTTGAGCTAATAGCTTAGAGTAGGTACAAAGGAATGTAAGGGAGTTTATCTAAAGAGCTTGTTTACTCATGTGGTCCTAAGACTGGCCTTTGATCATTTGTAGGACTGCTCTCTCTGGGGGGACGGCAACCAGGTTAATTACCCACAGGTGTGTTGATTAAAAGCCTTTGTCATTAAATATGTGCTGAATAAATGCCCACGAAGCCAGCTAGTCAATATGTGTGGCTGCCACAACTCTTTCTGTGAGTGGCCCGGCACCCCTGGCCTGCTCTTTCACTGAATATCGGTGCCTGAGTATGTTACTCATCCATCGTGCAGCCTGCGTCTTCAGGTCAGACCCCGGCATACCCAGGTGCTTTTGTGATGATTAAATAAGATAGTGGATATAAAGTGTTTAGTCCAGTTCTTGACACAGGATAAATGTATGCTTTTAAACTGTGACTTTTACACAGTATGGCTGGCCATTTTGTGTTTTCTCCACAGCTATAGAAAAATGTTGAAAATGTGTGAAGGGGAAAAAGGAAGTGCCACAGGCAAAGTGATCTGATGTTTTCCAGAACAACTTCTTCAGTTTTTTTCTCCTTTTATTATGAAGCATTTAATACAGATAAAATAAGCAACATGTGAGCTATAAATCAGAAGAATAAACATATTACCTAGGAAAATACCTTTCAGGATAGTTACTTAAATCCTTGAAACGTCTGTAATTTTTCTTGATTTCATTTCCCTGCCTTACTCAGAGGTAACCACTATCTTTGACTGTTTGTTTTTATTCCCTTGCTTTTCTTCATAGAATTACCACATACGTATGTATCCATAAACAACATATTGTTTAGTTTTGTTCTTTTTTTGGCTTTATGAAAATGATGTTACACTGTATATATTCCCGTGAAATTTGCTTTTCTCAGAAAACATTTCTTTCTAAGATTCAAATAAGAGTGTCTGCGGCTGCTGTTCTTTTATTTTATTGCTGCATAGTATTCCATTATATGGGTAATCTATGATTAACTATCCTCCTGTCAATGTAGATGTAGAGTGTTTACAGGATTTTTTTGTTATGAATCACCAAAAATATAAACCTGCTGTACATGTTTCCTGTGATTCCTTAAGTTATGCTGTCCAATAGGATAACCACTGGATACGTGGCTATTGAGCATTTGAAATGTGGCAAGTTAGGATTGGTATGTACTCTACATATAAAATACACATCAGCCGTTAAAGACTTAGTACAAAAAATGTAAAATATCTAATTAATATTTTTCATATATTGATTGCATGTTGAAATGATACTTTGGTTGTATTGCGTAAAATTAACTACATTAAATTTATTATTGAGAGTAATTTCACATTTTTTACTATTTTGAATGTGCCTATGGAAATTTTTAAGTTTCTTTTGTGGCTTGTATTAAATTTTTATTGGACAGTGCTGCTTTAGGGTATGGATAATATATTCTTAGGAGTGGAACTTCTGAATCTGAGGGTAATGTAAATCAGTCTTACAAGATGAGGTTAATTTTATTTCCAAATGGTTGTACTAATTTGAATTCTCATTACTAGTGTATAATCCTCATTGCTCCACATTCCTTTCATACTTGGTATTATCTGATTCTTAAATTTTTGTCATATTGGTGATTGCAGATTGAATTTCATTTGTCTTATTTTGAAGTTCTCTGATTAACATTTCAGGTAAATTTTTTTCCCACATATTCCTTAGTCATTTGTTTTTCTTCTTCTGGAAAATGGTTGTTAATATATTTTGACCATTTTTATGTGGGGTTTTGGCCTTTTACTTGTTGAGTTTTTGCAGGTATTTTAAAATGGAATATTTGTTCTAATATTCCTCATAGTTTATGGCTCATATTTTCATTTTCTTCCTGGAATATTTTGATGAGCAGAAGTTCTTTTTTTGTCATTTTTTTAATTATAGTTTAAGTTCTGAGGTACATGTGAAGAATGTGTAGGTTTGTTACATAGGTATACACATGCCATGGGGGTTTGCTGCACCCATCAACCCATCATCTACATTAGGTATTTATCCTAATGCTATCCCTCCCCTAGGCCCCCACCCCTGACAAGCCATGGTGTGTGATGTTCCCCTCCATGGGTGCATGTGTTCTCATTGTTGAACTCCCACTTATGAGTGTGAACACTTGGTGTTTAGTTTTCTGTTCTTGTGTTAGTGTGCTGAGAATGATGGTTTCCAGCTTCATCCATGTCCCTGTAAAGGACCTGAACTCATCCTTTTTTATGGCTGCATAGTATTTGATGGTATATATGTGCCACATTTTTTTTATCAGGTCTCTCATGGATGGGCATTTGGGTTGGTTCCAAGTCTTTGCTATTGTGAATAGTGCTGCAGTAAACATGCGTGTGCATGTGTCTTTATAGTAGAATGATTTATAATCCTTTGGGTATATACCCAGTAATGGGATTGCTGGGTCAAATGGTATTTCTAGTTCTAGATCCTTGAGGAATTGCCACACTGTCGTCCACAATGGTTGAACTAATATACACTCCCACCCACAGTGTAAAAGCATTCTTATTTCTCCACATCTTCTGCAGCATCTGTTGTTTCCTGACTTTTTAAATGATTGCCATTCTGACTTGTGTGAGGTGGTATCTCACTGTAGTTTTGATTTGCATCTCTCTAATGAGCAGGGATGATGAGCTTTTTTCGTATGTTTACTGGCTTCTTTTGAGGAGTGTCCGTTCATGTCCTTTGCCCACTTTTTGATGGGGTTTTTTCTTGTAAATTTGTTTAAGTTCTTTGTAGATTCTAGATATTGGCCATTTGTCAGATGGATAGATTGCAAAAATTTTCTCCCAATCTGTAGGTTTCCTGTTCACTCTGATGATAGTTTCTTTTGCTGTGCAGAAGTTCTTTAGTTTATTCAGATCCCATTTGTCTATTTTGGCTTTTGTTGCCATTGCTTTTGGTGTTTTAGTCATGAAGTCTTTGCCCATGCATATGTCCTGAATGGTATTGCCAAGGTTTTCTTCTAGGGTTTTTATGGTTTTAGGTCTTACATTTAAGTCTTTAATCCATCTTGAGTTAATTTTTGTGTAAGGTGTAAGGAAGGGATCCCGTTTCAGCTTTCCGGATATGGCTAGCCAGTTTTCCTAGCACCATTTATTAAATATGGAATCCTTTCCCCATTGCTTGTTTTTGTCAGGTTTGTGAAAGATCAGATGGTTGTAGATGTGTGGTGTTATTTCTGAGGCCTCTATTCTGTTCCATTGGTCTATATCTCTGTTTTGGTACCAGTCCCATGCTGTTTTGGTGACTGTAGCCTTATAGTATAGTTTGAAGTCAGGTAGTGTGATGCTTCCAGCTTTGTTGTTTTTGCTTAGGACTGTCTTGGCTATGTGGGCTCTTTTTTGGTTCCATATGAAGTTTAAAGTAGTTTTTTCCAATTCTGTGAAGAAAGTCAATGGTAGCTAGACTGGGATAGCATTGAATCTATAAATTACTTTGGACAGTATGGCTATTTTGATGATATTGATTCTTCCTATCCATGAGCATGGAATGTTTTTCCATTTGTTTGTGTCCTCTCTTATTTCGTTGAGCAGTGGTTTGTAGTTCTCCTTGAAGAGGTCCTTCACATCCCTTGTAAGTTGGATTCCTAAATATTTTATTCTCTTTGAAGCAATTGTGAATGGGAGTTCACTCATGATTTGGCTCTTTGTTTGTCTATTATTGGTGTATAGGAATGCTTGTGATTTTTGCACATTGATTTTATATCCTGAGTCTTTGCTGAAGTTGCTTATCAGCTTAAGGTGATTTGGGGATGAGACAAAAGGGTTTTCTAAATATACAAGTACGTCATTTGCAAACAGAGACCATTTGACTTCCTCTTTTCCTAATTGAATACCCTGTGTTTCTTTCACTTGCCTGATTGCCCTGGACAGAACTTCCAATACTACATTGAATAGGAGTGGTGAGAGAGGGCATCCTTGTCTTGTGCCAGTTTTCAAAGGGAATGCTTCCAGTTTTTGCCCATTCAGTATGATATTGGCTGTGGGTTTGTCATAATAGCTCTTATTATTTTGAGATATGTTCCATCAATGCCTCATTTATTGAGAGTTTTTAGCATGAAGGGCTATGGAGTATTGTCGAAGGCCTTTTCTGCATCTATTGAGATAATCATCTGGTTTTTTCATTGGTTCTGTTTATGTGATGGATTACGCTTATTAATTTGCATATGTTGAACCAGCCCTGCATCCCAGGGATAAAGCCGACTTGATCATGGTGGAAAAGCTTTTTGATGTGCTGCTGGATTTGATTTGCCAGTATTTTATTGAGGTTTTTAGCATCGATGTTCATCAGGGATATTGGCCTGAAATATTTTTTATTGTTGTTGTGTCTCTGCCAGGTTTTGGTATCAGGATGATGCTGGCCTCACAAAATGAGTTAGGGAGGATTCCCTCTTTCTCTATTGTTTGGAATAGTTTCAGAAAGAATGGTACCAGCTCCTCTTTCTACCTCTGGTAGAACTTGGCTGTGAATCGTCTGGTCCTGAGCTTTTGTTGGTTGGTAGGCTATTAATTGCTGCCTCAATTTCAGAACTTGTTATTGTTCTATTCAGGGATTCGACTTCTTCCTGGTTTAGTCTTGGGAGGGTGTATATGTCCATGAATTTATCAATTTTTTCTAGATTTTCTAGTTTATTTCCATAGAAGTGTTTATAGTATTCTCTGATGGTGCTTTGTATGTCTGTGGGATTGGTGTTGATATCCCCTTTATCATTTCTTATTGCATCTATTTGATTCTTCTCTCTTTTCTTCTTTATTAGTCTGGCTAGTGGTCTATTTTGTTGATCTTTCCAAAAAGCAGCTCCTGCATTCATTGATTTCTTTGGAGGGTTTTTTGTGTCTCTATCTCCTTCAGTTATGCTCTGATCTTGGTTATTTCTTGCCTTCTGCTAGCTTTTGAATTTGTTTGCTCTTGATTCTCTAGTTCTTTTAATTGTGATGTTAGCGTGTCAATTTTAGATCTTTCCTGCTCTCTCTTGTGGGCATTTAGTGCTATAAATTTCCCTCTACACACTGCTTTAAATGTGTCCCAGAGATTCTGGTACATTGTGTCTTTGTTCTCACTGGTTTCAAAGAACATCTTTATTTCTGCCTTCATCTTGTTATTTACCCAGTAGTCATTCAGGAGCAGGTTGTTCAGTTTCCATGTAGATGTTCGGTTTTGAGTGAGTTTCTTAATCCTGAGTTCTAATTTGATTGCACTGTGGTCTGAGAGACTGTTATGATTTCTGTTCTTTTACATTTTCTGAGGAGTGTTTTACTTCCAATTATGTGGTCAATTTTAGAAAAAGTGTGATGTGATGCTGAGAAGAATGCATATTCTGTTGATTTGGGGTGGAGAGTTCTATAGATGTTTATTAGGTCTGCTTGGTCTATAGCTGAGTTCAAGTCTTGGATATCCTTGGTAATTTTGTGTCTCGTTGATCTATTATTGACACTGGGGTGTTAAAGTCTCCCACTATTATTGTGTGGGAGTCTAAGTCTCTTTGTAGGCCTCTAAGAACTTGCTTTATGAATCTGAGTGCTCCCGTATTGAGTGCATATATATTTAGGATAGTTAGCTCTTCTTGTTGCATTGATCCCTTTACAGTTATGTTATGCCCTTCTTTGTCTCTTTTGATCTTTGTTGGTTTAAAGTCTGTTTTATCAGAGACCAGTATTGCAACCCCTGCTTTTTTTTTTGCTTTCCATTTGCTTGGTAGATCTTCCTCCATCCCTTTATTTTGAGCCTCTGTGTGTCTTTGCAAGTGAGATGGGTCTCCTGAATAGATCACACCAATGGTTCGTGACTCTTTATCCAATTTGTCAGCCTGTGTCTTTTAATTGAGGCATTTAGCCCATTTACATTTAAGGTTAATATTGTTATGTGTGAATTTGATCCTGCCATTGTGATGCTAGCTGGTTATTTTGTCCGTTAGTTGATGCAGTTTCTTCATAGTGTTGATGGTCTTTACAATTTGGTATGCTTTTGCAGTAGCTGGTAGTGGTTGTTCCTTTCCATGTTTAGTGCTTCCTTCAGGAACTCTCGTAGGACAGGCTTGGTGGTGACAAAATCTCTTAGCATTTCCTTATCTGTAAAGGATTTTATTTCTCCTTCACTTATGAAGCTTAGTTTGGCTGGATATGAAATTCTGGGTTGAAAATTCTTTTGTTTAAGAATGTTCAATATGGGCCTCCACTCTCTTCTGTCTTGTAGGGTTTCTGCTGAGGGATCTGCTGTTAGTCTGATGGGCTTCCCTTTGTGGGTAACCTGACCTTTCTCTCTGGCTGCCCTTAACATTTTTTTCTCCATTTCACCCTTGGTGAATCTGACAATTATATGTCTTGAGGTTGCTCTTCTTGAGGAGTATCTTTATGGTGTTCTCTGTATTTCCTGAATTTGAATGTTGGCCTGCCTTGCTAGGTTGGGATAGTTCTCCTGGATGATATCCTGCAGAGTGTTTTCCAACTTGGTTCCATTCTCCCCATCACTTTCAGGTACACCAGTCAAAAGTAGATTTGGTCTTTTCACATAGTCCCATATTTCTTGGAGGCTTTGTTCTTTTCACTCTTTTTTTTCGAATCTTGTCTTCTCACTTTATTTCATTGAGTTGATCTTCAATGTCTGATATTCTTTCTTCCACTATCAATTCGGCTAATGATACTTGTGTATGCTTCACGAAGTTCTCATGCTGCGTTTTTTAGCTCTATCAGGTCATTTATGTTCTTCTCTGAACTGGTCATTCTAGTTAGCGATTTTTCTAAACTTTTTCAAGGTTCTTAGCTTCCTTGCATTGGGTTAGAACATGCTCCTTAACTCGGAGGAATTTGTTATTACCCACCTTCTGAAGCTTACTTTTGCCAATTCGTCGAACTCATTCTCCATCCAGTTTTGTTCCCTTGCTGGCAAGGAGTTGTGATCCTTTGGAGGAGAAGAGCCGTTCTGGTTTTTGGAATTTTCATCCTTTTTGCGCTGGTTTATCCCCATCTTCATGGATTTATCTACCTTTGGTCTTTGAAGTCGGTGCCCTTCAGATGGGGTCTCTGAGTGGATGTCCTTTTTTGTTGATGTTGATACTATTCCTTTTTGTTTGTTAGTTTTCCTTTTAAAAGTCAGGACCCTCTGCTGCAGGTCTGCTGGAGTTTGCTGGAAGTCCACTCCAGACCCTGTTTGCCTGGGTATCACCAGTGGAGGCTGCAGAATAACAAAGACTGCTGCTTGTTCCTACCTCTGGAAGCTTCGTTCCAGAGTGGCACCCACCAGATGCCAGCCAGAGCTCTCCTGTATGAGGTGTCTGTCAGCCCCTACTGGGAGGTATCTCCTAGTCAGGATACACAAGGGTCAGGGATCCACTTGAGGTGGCAGTCTGTCCCTTATTAGAGCTCCAATGCTGTGCTTGTAGATCCGCTGCTGTCTTCAGAGCTGCCAGGTAGGGACATTTAAGTCTGCTGAAGCTGTGCCCACAACCGCCCCTTCCCCCAGGTGCTCTGTCCCAGGGATGTGGGAGTTTCATGTATAAGTCCCTGACTGGGGCTGCTGCCTTTTTTTCAGAGATGCCCTGCCCAGAGAGGCAGTCTGGCCACAGGGGTGTTGCTGAGTTGGGGCGGGATCCGCCCAGTTCGAACTTCCTGGCAGCTTTGTTTACACTGTGAGGGTGAAACCGTCTACTCAAGCCTTAGCAATGGCGGACGTGCTTTCCTCCACCAAGCTTGAGCGTCCCAGGTCCATCTTAGACTGCTGCTGTGCTGGCAGCAAGAATTTCAAGCCAGTGGATCTTAGCTTGCTGGGCTCTCTGGGGGTGGGACATGTCTGGTTACTCCTTAGTCAGCATTACTACTTCTTCCTTAGCTTCCTACCCCTACTAGTGAGTTGGCCCCAAAATCAATCCTTGAATCTCTTCTTTTCTGTCTACACTCACACTCTGGATGATGTCACCGAGTTGCACATTTACTGATGACTGTCAAATATATAATTTCTAACTGTGCCCCTCCCCTGAACTCCAGATTTGTTTATCGGACTGCCTACATGATGTCTCTCCTGCATGTCTAATTGACATCCAAAAGTTGACCTGTCCAAAATGGAGCTTCTCTTCCTCCCACAGCCTCTCCTTTTAGGAAATAGCAATCCATCTTTCTGGCTGTTTGGACCAAAAAACCTTGGCATCTTGCTTGACTTTAATAGTGTGCATCCAGTCCGTCAGCAAATCCCACGGACTCTACTTCACAGTAAATCCAGAACCCAGCCATTTCTCATCACTTTGACTGCTACCACCAAGTTCCAAGCTGCTGTGATTTCTCACTTAGTTTTGTAATAGCTCCCTAACTTGTCTCCTGGCATTTGTTTTGCCTCTTCAGTCCATTGGCAGCATAAATGTCAGAGTGGTATTTTGAAAATACAAATCAGGCCAAATTCTCTTCCAATGTAATCCTTTCTCACTCATAGTAAAAAATGAACATTTCTTATAATATCTTTGGGGTCCACCTGATCTGGCATCCCATATCTCTCAGACCTTATTGCCCGCTATGCTCCTTCAGGATCATTCTGCTTTAGCTACATCACCCACCTTGGTGAAACAATCTAGGCATCCATCAATCCCAGGCCCTTCTTATTTCCTCTTTTGTCTGCCTGGAATGCTATCCCTCCAGGTACCACATGGCTCCCTCCGTGACCTCTTCCGGGTCTTTGCTGAAATCTGTCTTTCTCCATGCCCTACCTATCTAAAATTGATACTCTTTCCCACTCTACTCCCTTTCCTCATTTATAGTTTTATTTATTCTCGTTATTATTTATCATAATCTAATATACTATATGCTTTACTTATTTATTATCTGTCTTCTTCCAGCAGAATATAAGGTCCATGAGGTAGTGGTCTCTGTTAACATTTGTAAAGATTCCATGTGTGCCTGAAAACAAAGTGTTAGTTACAACATTCTTCATATTCATATTCTTCATTCTTCATATTCATTAATTAAGCTTTCTAATATTTAAATCTTCGCTATGCTTACTAATTTTTGGTCTGTTTGATTTATACATCAATGAGGATGTTAGTATCTCCCACAAATGGAAGAATTTGCCAGTTTTTCCTTATAGTTCCTTTAGTTTTTGTGCTACATATTTTGAGATATCTTAGGGTAATGCAAGTTTAGAATTATTACATCTCTCAGGAAAACTGAACCTTTTTTTTTCATTATGGTGTAAACTTTAACTCTGGTTTTACATGTATTTGTGGGAAAGCCTATTTTGACTGGTATGATATAGATATACCAGATAGATATCTAGGTTAATTTGCCTACTATGTTTATTTCGTCTCTTTATTTAAACATTTCTGCTTCTTTATTGTGAGGCTTGTTTCATCTAAAGCGTGTATATTCCTTGAATTTTTATAATCAAATCTGACAGTTCATGCCATTTACCCGGAGTTCAGTCTATTTTCATCTACTGCAATTTCTAAAATATTTTGATTTATTTTTACCACCTCATTTTTAAGCTTTCTATTTGTGTCCCTCTCTGTGTCTCAGATTTTCCTCCTTTTTTTTCTTTGAATCAATTTATTTCCCCGTATTCCATTATCTACTCTTCCTCATACATATTTGGAAGAGATATACTCTCCTTCTATTTTTAATTAAAAAAATTTAACATCCACACTTCTTATACTTAAATATAAATTAAGAGTTTTTCCTTCCCTTCAAAAATATAAAAATTATAGAATATTCTATTTATTTTAAGATAAATTTGTAGAAAGAATGCATGGACTGTAAGAGGGATATGCAGCAATAAGAAGGTTCGGCACTCACTCTGTCTCCTACATCTCTTTCATATTTTTCTCCATAGAATTTATCATCACTTGACTTTGTCATTTGCTTATTGGCTGCCTTTCTCCTCTAACATGCAAATTTCACAGGGACAAAATTTTTTAACAGTTTGTTTACTCTTGTTTACTCAATGCATCAAATAGTTCCTGCTTATAGTAAGTGCTCAGCAAATAAAGTTACTTTTATGAATGCTTCAATTGCAAACACACACTTCAGGCCTGCGTGATATTGTTGCTTAGCCTTTTAAACTCTTTTATTTATTCTTAACGTCACTAATTACATCCCTTAGAAGCTTTAGTATAGGTCTGTGGATAGCAAAGTCTCCGGAGGCACCTACTCAAGTGATGCAGGAACTTGAATATCTGGAAGGAGGGATGAGGAGCTGGACAGTAGTGCTATGGGAGTCACAAACAAAACAGGACAGTGGGAACCAAACTTCTGTGATAGTGCTAGTACTTTAACACCTCCTGGAGGAGGTGCCCATAGAAACCCCTGTTACAGCTGTATTTCTGACTGTATTTGTATTTGAATTTTTGGCCCCACAGATCCTATGGCATTGCTCACTAAGCCTTTATTCTCCTTGGCTGTCAGAACGCCATCAAATACCCATCAGTTGGCTCTGGCAAGAAAGCTTGTTTATTCAAATAGCAAAGAAGAAAAAAATCTCTTGCTGCCTCTCCCTCCCCCACTTGTTTTCTCCATGTCTACTTACTTGTTTCTCAAACGTAGGGAGAGGGATAGGCTTGCCTTCCCCAGCACCCCCTTAAGGTCCTGAAACTACTTCTAAAAGGGGAGGTCCAGTGGCTAAATACATTTGCATAGTTCACAGAGTTAGAATTTTGGAAATTGCCTGTTTTTTATTTTCATTTTAAAATTTTTATTCTTCCAGTCTCTGCTTGTCAGCATGACTCCTGATATTTCTTTCTGTGGCAGGCTGCATTTGAACAAGGCAAAGAAACAAAGTAGTGTGGTCAATGAACCACATGTTTACAACCTTTTGCAGAAATGGCTGTATCTTTGGGTGTTTCTTTCCTTGGGGGCTACTACTGCTGCCTAATCCCCTCTGACAATTGAACTCTTAAGAATTATTTCCCAGGTCTTAGTTGTGAGAGTCAAGGAGGTAGCCAAGGTTGTCTAGGCAATCCGCACCTAGCTTTATAACTAAACGATTGTTTGCATCTTCAGAGCTGCTTCTAAACTCAAGGAAGGAAAGCACTCATAATTTATCTGAGTGTTAAGAGTCGAAGTTCATTGAGTCATAGAGTATTTCAACATTCAGATTGATACTCTGGCAGTGGATATCCTACCTCCTGGGAAGTGGGAAACAGAAGAGAGAGTGCTCTCCTTCCCTGACCACTTTGCCTTGCTTTTGTGTATGCATATGCAGTTCCTTCCCTAGTCATTTGGTTCCAGGATGTTCCAGAAGGAAGAAATATCAGAAGCCATTATGCATTTAATTTTTCTCTTTTATTTAAGAAAATTCAATTTTGTTACACTCAGAATAAAAGAAACAACTACATGAGGTGGAGATGAGACTAATTATAGATAGTAAGTAAGCAAATAGCTGTGAGTCATAGAGGAAACTCAAAAATGTGCTGACCATGGATAGTAAGTTAGTAACTTGAGAGGCACAGTAGACCTAGCTAGAATTTGTAGAACTTTTTTGGAATATAGATCAAAATGATGGAACAAAAAAGAGTGTGACTTGTTGATAGACGATGGTGGAAAGCAAAGTAAATGTCAAAAATCCCCAAAGCACAAATTATGTCACCTCCAGATTGATAACTATGCCATATCTGAACTGCCACGTACCTCTATTCTGGCCCATGTGTCCTCTGTCCAAGACACACACTCTTAACTGCTTAGAGTGCTATTGGCCACTTACTATGTAGCCAAATAAAAAATTGGCTGGGAGTTAGTTTTAGCAAGAAAAAGTCATCACTCTCCATTGTCTCTTTTCTTTGTTTTTTAGCCCCCAAATGGTTATTATAATACTCAGTTTCATTGTGTTTCCTTCCCTATCTCATCAGTAAGGAGTTTGCAGAGGGAGTCTCTGGAGTCAAGATAAATAGGAGACTGGGAGTTCTATAAGGCTAAACATACATTATGTGAAAGTTGTGGATGTTAGATATGAGGTCCTCAAAAACAAATCTGTTCATGCCTGCTTTGTCTAGCTCAGCAAAGAGTTGTGGACTATTGTTGAGGGGTTGGTCTACTCTGATGTCCTCTTTTCTCTGGAAATTGTTCTTTCTCCACTATATTCTGTGATCCTAGTAGGATTTTCTATCATAGCACCCAGTCTCACTGGCCATTGGGATAGACATGTGACCAAGACCAGCAATTTCCTTATAGTATCCATAGTGCCTGGCTTAACTGCCTCTGCATTTATGAACGGAAAACTACGAACTGAGGTTTGGCTCTCCTGTCTTAGAAGACATCACTGTCTACAGAAGGAGGGAATAAAATCAGAGAAGGTAGGTTTAAGAGCTGGATGTACAAGTAAATGATCATATCAGCATCAACTTCTTAGGCTAGTTCTCATTGGTCCCAGAGCTTCCCTTCTTCCCTTAGTGACACTTTTGTTTCTGTGAGCCCATCCAGTCTAATGGGACAATAAGGCCCTTTTAGTGTGAGCCACTTTCTGTTGAGTTTCTGTTACATAATATACATTCCTGAAAAAATAGAAATCACTCATTAGAAGTAGGGTGTCATCAGGCCCTAGAATTCGGAATTGTTTGACTTTGGGTGGTGTATGATTGACAGGATTGCCTTCTTGTGGGTTGGGAAAATGGGATTATTGTTACATGATCCCATACCAGATGGTTGAATGCTTGCCTTTCATCTCTTGTTGTCATATACCAATTAAACATACCAAGACAGAGCCATTAAGGACTTGGGAAACAATTGTAAGTTTATTAGAGGGTGTTGGTTTTTTTCTTAGTTAATATGGGAGTCTAAGTAAAGAAAAAAGTCTTATTACTAGCTGACATGACTAAAACTATAAAAGGAATAGCATTCAGTATTGTTGGGATAAGCCCTTTCCACTTGTCACCAGCATCCTTCTTGGTCCTGTCCAAACTCCATCTCCTGCATGAAGTGTTTCCTAACTACTCTAGCCCACACATTCATTTCTTTATGGGTTAATTCTTCAAATATTTACTTTGCACCTACTGTGCATCAGAAATTGGGCAAGGTGCCAGACATTTCTACTGACTCTATTGTTTCTAGGACATAAGTCTTTTAATAACACAGTTTATTTACTGATGTTTCCATTGAAGAACATAATGAAACCTGAAATCAGTGGCAGCTGAATGAAGGAGCTCTGGCCTTGTGATAGTCTGTTAATACGAAAGAACCACAAAAAGCGAGATCCACATTGGGCAACATTCATTGAGTACCTACTATGCAAATTTGACAAGACTTCTGCCCTTGGGGAGGGAGTTCTTAGATTCTGGGAGAATTGTTAGAGTCGCACATAGGGGTCATTGTGAATTATCAGGAAAAGTGGCTTCTGGGTTTCTCTTCCCAGGGATTATATATTCATTCTCTCCTAAAAGGAAATCAGGCCAAGGAACCGATGATATATTCTGAACATTTGGGCAAATGCCAAAGCTACCAAATCACCTTGTGAACAGGAAGAAACCTTTTCTGCTGCTGAATAAACTTTCTTTGTGGGGTTGGTATTCAAATCTCTCTCTATTACACATTTCCTAGTTCTCTGTGTTCTTAAAATAAGATTAGCAAGAGTCAATTCCAATGGCCAAATAAATTTGTAAGTTTACTATGTTATTCATTCATTAGTTTGTTCATCAAGTATTTATTAACTTATGCTGTGTAGCAAGTTGTTTGCCAGGTGAACCATAGACAGCATAGAACTGAAAGTGAGGAAACTTAAATGACCGATCCTGTTTTGCAGCTGAGTGACTGTGTGACCCTGGGTGAATCATGAAAATGCTTTGAATCTCAATTTATTTATCTGCACTTCACAACTACATAATTAGGCAGGAACATGCATGAAATAGATATCTGTGAGTTCAAAATGATATAAATAAATGGTCAAATAAATAGGGAAAGGAGCAGATTAACTTCAAGTACATGTAGAAAGACTAAGATACGATTATCATTAGATGATTGCTGCATACAAGATCCACAAGTAAATGCTGAAACGTTACACAGGATATTTGGATAGCCTCAAAGTATCTCCCCCAAATATTCATTAAATAGATTGGTGGTTTTAACGTGTCTACAGATTCTTTCACAGTCCTCCTTTCAGGAGGTGGGCCTTAATCCCCCTTTCCTATAATGTTTGCTGGGCTCAGACTTTTTCTAACAAAGGACATAGGAAAAGATACCACTTTTAGGTGGAGAAATCCAGCAGACACCACCGTAAGCAAGTGATCACAGTTAACGTCACCAGTACTGTCATAGTGACATTGTGTAGCCCCTGAAGAAGAAGGCTTCATTAATGCAATGAATAAGATAAATTACTTTTGTGGTATTTTTCCCCAAAATCCATAACCCCAGTCTAATCATGAGAAACCATCAGACAAATCCAAATTGAGGGGCATTCTGCAAATACCCAACTAGTTCTTTTCAAAGGTGTCACCAGCATGAAAAATAA
This sequence comes from Homo sapiens, assembly GCF_000001405.40. Taxonomy (NCBI): domain Eukaryota; kingdom Metazoa; phylum Chordata; class Mammalia; order Primates; family Hominidae; genus Homo; species Homo sapiens. The sequence continues at coordinate 49,193,066 of NC_000002.12, forward strand.
AAGCTAAGAAATTGCCACAGATTGGAGAAGATTAAAGAAAATGCAATGTGGAATTCTCTATTGACTCCTAGAACAGACAAAGGATTAGTGGAAACTAGAAAATTTTGTGAAATCTGAATAAAGTCTATAGTTTAACAGTCCAGCATCAGTATTAATTTCTTAGTTTTGATAAATATTTCTTAGTTACATAAGATGTTAATATTGGGGGAAGCAGGGTGAAGGGTCGATGTGAATTCTCTGAACTATTTTTGCAACTTTTCTGGAAATCTAAATCTATATCAAAATAAAAAGTTTTAAAAATATTGTATCTTACAAAGTTGTTTAAGGAACCACTTCAATAATATTTGAAAATGCCTAGAAAAGATCTAGTATCATACTTACATATAAAAAAATTTTTATTTTTCTCATGGGGAAATGGAAAGAGTGGACAGTAGGGATGGCTGCTGGAAGGTGTAAGAGATGAAGGAAAATATTTTAAGTGACATTCTTAAAAGGTCCAAAATCATTTTCTAACTCCTGCTTTTTAGAATGTCAGCTCCATGAAGGGAGATGGTTTTATTTGTTTTGTTCAGGGCTGTATACATAGCAAGTACAGCAATCATCTAATGATAATCTTATTATTGGAACAGTGCCTGGCACATAGCAAGTGTTCCATACACATTGTTGAAGAATAAATGAATGAATTAATTAATGCTGGTCTATATCGGTCACCAGGTGAGGCAGTGTTGGAATGTGGTGATAGCAGTGAGGAGAGATTATAAACCCACCAAATCATGCTTAGGATGTGGGAGAATAACCCCAATCTTAGTCTGTTTGGTAGGGGTGAGGGGTGAGGTTAAGATCAGAGCAAGATGAGGGTTATCAAAAGCAGGGAGTGTGGGTGAGTGAGATGTTTTGGGAGAACCCGGATTAAAAACACCCAGAAGAAAAAAGAACCATTAAAATACAGGACTTGAGGTGACCCAGCATCTGGAGCAGCTTTCAGGACCTTTGGCCTTTTTCAGAAGTCAGACTGCTCCTTACCAAGGTCTCAGTTCCTCTAGATGAGTTGAGTCTCAAGAGTATTCTCCCCTCCACAGAAGAGCCCACTGACTGGAAGTATGGAAAAACTGCTACCTGAATATAAACAAAACACCCTCGTTACAATTAGACAGTGATATGCCCAAGTACACAATACCCTTTATCCCAGTACAATCAGGAATATGGATTTCCACCCCAGAATGGGTTCCAGTTCCTCAAAGAAAGCATCTTCCACACTCATTTGGGGACAAGGTAGAGGGTATATTTCACCGGCCTTCAAGTAGTTGTCTAAATTGTAGAGACTGCCATGTTCTTTCAGAGTTGGGATATGGTGTTTAGTATAGCAAAACAAAGTGCAGGCAGGAGGAATAAAAGCAGAGTCCTGAGTCTTAGGCAGGCAGTTTCTTAATTGCAGGGAACATTTCAACCGTGTTTTCTAGTTCATGACTGTTTACCAGGACTGGGGAGCTCATTCTGCAGGTCAGCCACTTGTTGGGTCCTGGCGGTTGTGTTTCTTAGAGAGGGAGACTCCGTCCCCCACAGAGACCATGGCAAGGCCACAGTGGCTTTTGGTACCATTATCAGAGGCCCCACAGAATGCTGTATCAGCAGCTCTCTCTCCATTTATGTAACACAGAAGAATTAGTTCTTTCCTTGCCTTCTTTAGATTGATTTAATTTCCCAGGCTGAGCTCCATAATGTAAGCTAAGGCCTGCTTCAAGGCCTATGACCATTAATGTTGAGTTGCAGTTTCCAGCAGAAAGTTTTTCTGAGAGTTGGTAGCTCAGCTGTTTCATTTCATAATGGGTGGGAATGTGGCAGGCGGGCTGTCAAACCTGATGCAAATGATATTTTATAAAAAGTGGTTTAAATTGGCTGAAGCTGTTTTTAGACTGATCAGTTAAAAAATATGTAGGGCATCTTTCTGACTTGCAGGAACACAGCTCCCAAGAATTAGATTTTTCATCACATACTTTGAGAGAGGTTTGTAGGTGGGCACAGGCTCATCAGAAAAAGCAGATGAGGACTTGTTAATATGGGAACATGTAAATTGGGTTCAAGCTGCCCTCAGTTAATTGGAAGGGATATGTGAGCTAAGAAGGGAGGAAAGGAAAGCCATATTGGAAGGAATACACTTAATGCCCTAGAGAAATAAGCCTTGTTCTTTGTTCTCCCCAGGCTATTAGAACAGTTGCAGGAATTCTGCCCCAAGACACAGAGGCAGTGTTTTTAGCTCCTGGGACTACAATTGCTGTCATTTTCAGCAGGACCTGAAGAAGCAAGTGATATTTTGACCCTTGATAAACAGATTTCAGGAGCAGCAGCCAGCAACTGTGGAAGGTTAGCTTTCTGAGTTTTGCAAAGACTAGTGCTCTTGAGATTAGACAAGCAGAAATTCAAAATTCCACTGAGAAACTTAGGAATTTATTTATTAATTATATTTTTTGAGACAGAGTCTCAGTCTGTTGCCTAGGCTGAAATGCAATGGTGCAATCTCAGCTCACTGTAACCTCTGCCTCCCGGGTTCAAGTGATTCTCCTACCTCAGCCTCCCAAGTAGCTGAGATTACAGGCACCCGCCACCATGCCCGGCTAATTTCTGTATCTTTTAGTAGAGATGGGGTTTCACCATGTTGTACAGGCTGGTCTCAAACTCCTGACCTCAGGTGATCCACTCACCTCGGCCTCCCAAGGTGCTAGGATTATAGACGTGAGCCACTGTGCCCGGCCTGGAATTTGTTTTATATTAATATCGGAGCTATCTAAATGACTTTCTTCTCCTCCTTTCTACTCAAATCCTACTTTCAGCCATTTTCCTGGGTCTGGGCCAGTCTAGATGCAGCAAGCATGGTTTCTTCTCTGGTGCTGTGCTGGGGTTTTGTCCCTGCCAACTCAGGAGACATGCTCCTGAACCGAATGCGTCTATTGCTTTGCCACTCTTGTCAAGTCTGTGGAATTCGGCTCTTAGGACCCCATCTCTCGTATATAAATTTAGATGAGATGCAAAATATTGTACATATATACATTTGGCTTCACATAAAGTAAATGTTGGAAGTTTGTGTGGAAATGGTTAATATGTAAATGTCTACAAAATCTGCCTCCTCCTTCCTACTCTCAGAAATTCTGTGTTGTTTTATTTGGGATTGCTCTGCTTCTTTTTTGGATTCTTTTTAGGACTTAGGGGTTGAAGAATTTGGGAGGCAGGGGAAGAGAGGACCAGAGGGAGATAAAACTACAGTTTTAAGGGTGGCTTCAGGTGGTTTTGAGGAGAGGTGTGAGAGCAGGTGCAGTGTGTACAGCTTGCAGACTGGAGAGGAAGTTTTTAATTTAAAACGTTTAAGAAATGTTGCTATTGATTAAAATCTTTTGCAATGTTAGGTGTTAAAGAAAAATACAAACATTAGAGCTGAACTACTTTTATACTATTTTGGTTGCATGGACTATGTTTTTGTTTTTAACTGCAATCCCATTTTGATGCCAAGCCATGTGGATCACAGCATTATAAGCATGATATTTGTTTTAACTAGTTGGCTAATCCACGTGTATCATGTCCATGTGTCTACTCTCTTCCTTCATCCGTCCACTCTCTTCCTTCCTTCAACTTATGTTAGGCAGAATATAAGTTGTGGTTTGAGACCTAGAGAAAGGAGAAATTCATTTGGGAACATAAAAGATGAGAACAATTTATAGAAGTTTTGGTTGTCCACTATGATGGTAACCATGGGTGCAACAAGAATTGGAAGAAAGGCTCAAACAAGAGCTTCAGTAGATCCTGTTTGCTGCCATAGCTGATCTCATATCTGTTTAGCATTGCAGTGTATCCAAATGCTGGCCTCAGCCTTCCTGACCTTTCTTCATGTTCTATTGCAATACTCTTACTTGCTTCCTTCAGGTTGTTCTCTCTCATCCTTGCACTTCTTCCTCAGTTCTGGTTACGTACCTGTCTTGGCTCAGGCTATCACCATCACTTGGAAATATATTCTCAAGAATGTAAGCTCTTATGATCTATGAAACTTTTTCAGGTTCCCAAGTCCCAGGACCTTTCTATATTCATCGGACTCCTTTAAAGTACTCTTTATTTTGCACAGTTTAATAATTAGAATCATAAGATGTGAGAGTTGAAGGGGTCCTTACAGACCATATCTAGCCATCTCCTTTCATTTGTCAGATGAGACAACTGAGCTTTGGTGACAGGGTGTTACTCACGTTAGATCGTATGCTTGGAATATATGTTAACATGTTTGTTTATAAACTGAAAGTTGCTATAGAAATAGTAGTTAGTACTCTTTGAGTGGCAGAGCGGCATCTAGAAGCCAAGTCCCCTGACTCCTTTCTGCACTATCTGTTATATCAAGCTGCCTCTACTAAATTGCTGTCATTCTGTGTAAGCCTTGTCTGCCCAGTTTGTAGTGAGAGAACATGTAAAAGGAAGCCTCATCTAGCACCTACCATGTAACAACCACATTTATTACCAATACTCTGTCAGATAATGTATCATTCTTATTTTTACAAATGAGGACACTAAACTTCAGAGAGGTTTAAACTTTTTCCCAAGGAGACACAGAAATCTGAAGACTCAGCATTCAGCTCCAGACTTGTGTAACTCAAAAGCAGTGTGTCTCCTTTTTCTTTCGTCTTTATCATGCCTCTTGAGGTCAAGATGATTTTTTTCCTTTTGTTTCTCTCAATATTTATGCCATCTTAGACCACAACATACGATTAACCTCAATATTCTACTTCATCAGTGTCTGAGTCCTCCATAGGAAGTCTCTATGAACCTTTTCTTTTTTTCAATGAACAATTTCCAAGGAGGATCCATTTCACAAATTCTAACAATCCATAATCATTTTAAAAATCATGATCAGATTAAAAGAACATGTGCTATGGCTCTCTGGAGAAAGATGTGAGAATTTGGCTCATGCTTTGTACTCTTTAGTTGAAAGTTACTCTTGAAATATAAAGGACAATTCATCTTAGTTTATAATGGGTGAATTCTGCATGATGATTGACAAGCACAAAAATGAGTTCAGGAGTTTTAACAGCTCAAACTGATTTGAAGATGAGTGGCTACCTGCTCCATCACAAGAGCGTAGATGCTGACAGCCTCCCTTCTGGACAGTGCATAAATGTCAATGACCCGGGAATGGTGGGCTTTGGTCAGCTCAAGGGGTTTCCTGCTTTCCAGTGTTTTCTTTTCTTTTCTTTTTTTGAGACAGAGTCTCACTCTGTTGCCCAGGCTGGAGTGCAGTGGTGCAATCTCTGCTTGCTGCAACCTTTGCCTCCTGGGTTTAAGCGATTCTCCTGCCTCAGCTTCCCGAGTAGCTGGGATTACAGGCATGTGCCACCACACTCAGCTAACTTTTGTAATCTTAGTAAAGATGAGGTTTTGCCATGTTGGCCAGGCTGGTCTCAAACTCCTGACCTCGGGTGATCCTCCCTCCTCAGCCTCCCAAAGTGCTGGGATTACAGGTGTGAGCCACGACGTCTGGCCTCCAGTATCATTTTCCTCTTTTTCAGAGGACCTTCTTACTGAGCCTGGACATTTTTTTCTCTGGATCCGCCCAGTTGGCTTCATGAGATGAGATGCCCCACGTGACACCTTATGCTGAGGCAGCCCTAAGAAAGTATTAATGCTTCTGTTCTAGAAGAAACCTACACTTTAAGAGGGGTGTTAGAGATAATGCCTTTAACCCTAAAGTGTGAATGTAATTTCGGATTCTTGGTAGAATGAGAGGCTAGTGAGAAGGTTGTTTTTGGATGAGTATATAATTAAGTAAGTGGGGAAAGGGAAGGAACATATATTTTAGGCCATAGTAGCCATTGTGTACTGCACATTGAAAATACAACCTAATTTGTAAGGAAGTAATAGTGGCTGTGAGCTGAGAGAGATAAGGGGAAAACGTCCAAATTAAGGGGCATTTAACATTTGACCAGAGTCATTTTGAGTCATAACTTGCTATCCTTTGTCCTTCTTGCAGGCCTTACTCTATGTGGCTCTGGCCTCGCTTTGTCATTTGCCTAGGTAGGTAACACTGCCACTGATGAGTAGCAGCCACACATTCACCTGGCATCTTCCCCTCTTCCCACCTGGCCTCTTCCTTATTTTCTTTTCTTCTTTCTGTGGCAATGACTAGTGAGTGATTTAACCTGAAATGGTAATCTACACATTCAGAAATGACCCTCAGGCATTCAGTATACATAACAGGGTACCCTTCATTCAATTTTACCTGTCACCTATCTTTTTACCTAATGGTATGAGAGTCTATTTGCCAGACAATTGCAGTATGGACTATGATTTTGAATAATATCTCTGGCAAATGGGTTTCTTCAGCCTCTGGGAATAGCATCTCCTTATCGCTCCCCTAATGCCCTAGTGTTTATTCTTTTCACGCCAAAGTGCTCTGCCATTTATCTGAACCTTCAACTTTCCCAATAACCTGTCTTTTAAAATAGCAACCATTGTCCCTCTGTGTCCCCTGAGGACAGAAAGGTATAAAGTAAATTTTCTGCTTCTATAGCATTCAGCTGCTAGGAGAGGAGTTCTTGACCAGGGAATTTCTCTATCTAAAGTCATACTGCAGAACCTTGGCTAATTAAAGAAAATTGGGTAGCATGATGGCCAATGCATTCTCTCCCTTTGGTTTGGAGGGTTTGTCCCTTGACATCTGTCATAAACCATTTATTTATGCCTACAGTGTTCTTTTCTCTATCTTAGGTGCTGAGGGGCTCTGGAGCAACTTAAAATATATCCCTGCCCTTATGAAGTTTACGACTGAATTCATCTATTCAAGAATATGTATGGGCTACCTATTACATATAACACATTGTGTCAGGGTATTAAGTAAGTAAGATGTGGGCTGTGCTCTTGAGGGATCACAGTGTCGTAAGATTAGTTTGTTATACACAAAACATAACACAATACATTATGCAATAAATGACACAAGAGTGTATTACGAATGTTTAGAGACAAGGATTACCTAGCTGTCTTGCATATATAGCACATTTTTAATGAGCAACACCAAACTTATTTTGCCTTTATTTTTCCTCTCCTACCCCAATTTGCTCCTCCTTTTGTCTTCTTCAAATAATGTCAATCAAACCAACAGGTCTAAAATATCAATATTTTCCATTTTTCTCTTTTACCTTCCCTTTCTAATCAGATTTTGTCAATTTTATATTATACTTGTCTCAGGAGATATTTCCCTCCTTCTCTTCATTACTGTCCCCTTCTCCAAGTGTGTCCTCTTCATCTGTAATTTGGGTTATTGGAATAGTTTCTCAATGATTTATCTGTATATATGCTCATGGTTTTGTGGGCCATACAGCCTCTGTCATACTCAACTTTGCCATAGCAGTGCAAAGCAGGCATACATAACACATAAATAGACATGGCTTGTTCCAAAAAAAATCTTATTTATAAACACATATCATTTACAATTGTTCTTTTGATTTTTTAAAGTTAAAAATGTAAAAACCATTATTAGCTCACAGGTCATATTCAACAAATGGCAGGCCAGATTTGGTCTACAGGATAACTCTTGGTGTACAGAGCCTTGAGCCCTCCTAACCTCCCTGATGACTCAGTACTTGCACTCCTTCATCTTTTCCCCAACCCTTTGTTTCTGCTGCAAAAGAGCATTAGCTTATTCCTGTACATGCCACATAGTTTTATATTTCTCTACCAGTGATTTTTAACCCTGGCTGCCACTCGGGCATGACTATCTAATACTGAATCACAGAGAATCTTCTCATATCCTTGAAACTGACCCATGAGACTCCTGTGTTTCCTCTTTTAGAAAGCCACGTCCCTGTGAACATCCCATTATTACCTCCCAAATTATCAAGAAGAGTGAAGGGTCTGAGATTTGATTTCGTGTGCGTTCACCCTCGATTAGGAGTTTGTAAAACTTTCTCCACTGTAGACTTTATTCTTAAAATAACCTGCTGATATTTCTAGTGAATATCCATGCATTATCTTGAGGCTTTTCTGAATTCAGATACACCAAGAGTTCCCTTTCCTTTCCTTTGTGTACTCCCGCACAGTTATGAATACACAGGTCCTATCATTAAGTAGTTTAAACTCGCTTACTAGTACTTTGGAGTTCCTGCTGATATCATCTTGTCATCTCATTTTGCAGCCGAAATTGTGGGTTATTGGTTTTCTAGATGATCTGTCTGTTTTTATGGGGGAATTTGAGGAGATTCTACAACTATGATGCTGTTGTAGTCTTCTTCTCAGAGTCATATCATTTTCTTCTTTCACTTTTAAAATCTACTACCCTTCATTATTTTTCATTCTCTGAAGTTTACACTCAGCCTCAAGACCTTGCTTAGAACATATCTTGTTTTCTTTTGTTCCATTTTCTAGTTTCTAGCCCAGGCATCTTTCCCAGAATATGGACTTTTTATAAGGTGCTAGAATATAAAGTGTCATAAATGATAACATCTTAATTCACTAAAATTTAACACCACCTGAAGTTATTACTCATTTTATACTAAGCCTTCTCTTTGAGGAATGAAGTAAGTAATTTTCTATAATATGTTTCACTACCATTCAATGAAAGCTAAAAAGTCGCCTAATACCAATGACAGGAAAAGAATTGTCAAGTTAAACTTTATGGGAAGTATTAGTGTCTTTAGCTATTTGTAAAGTAAATGATTGGCCAAATCACCTTGGAAAGGCAGTTGAAACTGAGAAATATCATGGGTTTTCTGGCTTTTTATCTAGCCATTGGAACCTAACTTACTTATATGCAGAAGCATGTAGATTCTGTCAAGCCTCATTTATTTCTTGAAGATAAAAGTACTGAATATTTACATCATAAAAGTCCTCTTTTAAAATATAAGCTGCTATAATATTATTATGTTTTTGTGTTGTAAAATTCTCCAAAGATATGTTGAATCCAGTGAATTGGACTATCTATTCTGAATCAGATGAGGCTTTATTAGAAGTATGACCTGTTTGAATATTATATTAGTGTTCTTTGCTGCCGTAACAATTTACCACAAATTTAGTAGATTAAGACAACACAAATTTATTGTACCACAATTTCTGTTGGTCAGATGCCTGAGTGGGCATGACTGGATCTTTTGCTAAAGTTTAACAAAGCCTAACTCCAGGTGTTGGCAGAGCAGTATTCCTTATTGGCACCTCTGAGGAGAAATCTGCTTCCAAGCTCATTCAGTTTAATTCTTGAATTCAGTTTCTTGCAGTTGTAGAACTCAGGTCTTTGTTACCTTACTGGTTGTCAGCCAAGGACTGGTATTTGCTCCTAGAAGCCACCTGCATTCTTTTCATGCTTTCCAAGGAGTTCTAAACATGGCAGGTTGAGTCTCTCTCCTGATTCGAACCTCTGTGACTTCTTATTCCACCTTCCTCTTGCCTCCAGCTGGAGGGCATTCTCTGCTTTTAAGGACTCCTGTGATTAGATTTGGCCGTCCAGATAATACAGGAAAATCTCTCTATTTTAAGGTTAGTAACCTTAATTATATCTGTAAACTTACATATTCCAATTCCAGGAGTTGGCCATGGACTTCTTTGGAGTACCATTCTGGCTACCACAAATATTGCTACTATCTTTATTTCTTCATGGCTAGAAAACCTATTGGGACAAAAAGAATAATTAACAACATGAAAATAACTTTATTTATCATGAAACAGGAACCTTCACGTCAGCTTCTCTTCGTCATCCTCATGAACATCCCATTCCAGACTATGTGTCTGATATACATTAGATAGTTAATAGGTATAGCAATAGGTACCAAGGGTTTTATAGAAACCATTGGTTTGTCAGTGGTTTCTATAAAGGCCACAGACAACCCTACACATAGTTTCTTTTCAAAACCTCTTACATCTCTGTTATCAAAAGAAAGGATGGAATGAGAAATTCCCCTGGAAAATGAAAATGAAATTTGTTTCTAGTTAATTTAGGGAATAAAGATAATGGCTAACATTTATTGTGCCCTTAATATTTACCAGACTCTTTCTTTGATTAATTCTTTCTACATTTATTATCATATTTGATAGTCATAACAACTCTGTGAAGTAGATATTATTTCCTCCAGTATAGAGACAAGGAGACATTAAAGAAGTTCAGAAATATTCTCAATACTAGTAAGTAGCAGAGCTAAGATTTTAAAAGCCAGATACGAATTCTATGCTGTTTCTTTAGAAAAAGAGTATTTATTTTCATTAAAGTTATACATGAAAATATTTTAAAGAGTTATATAAGATTTGTTGCTAAAAACAGCATATATTAAATATAAACAGCGTATATTAAATACTACGCAGCCATAAAAAGGATGAGTTTATGTCCTTTTCAGGGACATGGATGAAGCTGGAAACCATCATTCTCAGCAAACTAACACAGGAACAGAAAACCAAACACCGCATGTTCTCACTCATAAGTGGGAATTGAACAATGAGAACACATGGACACAGGGAGGGGAACATCACACACCAGGGCCTGTTGTGGGGTGGGGGGTTTAAGGGAGGGATAGCATTAGGGGAAATACCTAATGTAGATGATGGGTTGATGGGTGCAGCAAACCACCATGGCACGTGTATACCTATGTAACAAACCTGCACGTTCTGTACACATATCCCAGAACTTAAAGTAAAGTATAATAATAACAAAAAAAAAGCAGTCTTTTGCTCACGTGACCACCATGTTCAACTCCAAAACACAACTGCTTCCAATTTTATATGTTTGATTATGTCCATATCTCTATAAAATATGCCTACACAGCTTTTTCAGTTTTATTACTTGTCAATTGCCTCCCCATTTTTAAAAAAGCTCCCATTTTGCACACCTGTTGGAGAAATTCTCTCAACTTTTAAAAAACTTCTATTCTCTCTACTGAAATTTTAAATGCATTCAATCATAGTTTTAATTTCCAAAAGCTTTTCTTTAAATGTTCCATTTGTATAGCATATTGTTCTCAGTTCTCTGAGGATATTAATGACATGTTTGTATATTATTTTCTTCTTTTTCCCAGATTGCTCTTATCTGTTTGTTTTGGTTTCTGTCTTTCAAATAGAAATTTTTCTTAGTTTTCTGCTGATTCATGACTCTCTGTTCATATTTAAGAGAACAGAAGCTGAGTTTGCATGGACTGGTAATTGCATGGCATTATAATGGGACTTTTTTGTGGGCTTCGTTGAGTAGCGTTATAATGGGGAATGACCCATGTTACAGATTTGGGCTTTTTCCCCAGAATTGGTCCAGTTTCCGATTAGAATCTTTGATTCTTCTTTCTTGAAGGATAAGCCTTCCTAGTAGACCATTCTGAGAACTTGTTAAGGAAAGAGGACTGGTGGAGAAGTGGTAGTAGGGATGTCTCCAGATTCTACCTACAGGCTTTCACATTTTCTCCCTTATCTTAGTATCACATTCCTACTCTTAACAGTGCTAACTCTCTGTTAGCAGATCAGAGACTCTCTGTTTTCCTCACTGGAGGATAAATCTCTAGTCTTCTGATAAGGTGGGACATTCACTAAGTCAGAGAGATGATCTTAGGATCCAACCACTTTGTATATGGACTTGGTACTGATCCATCTGCAGTCCCACTTTACTCCACTTCTAGGGAATAGAAGATAATTGATAATAGATGATGCCCCTTTCTGAGCCTTTTGTGGTGTTCTGTAGTATGCATCTGGTTGCTTTTAACATTCTCGTCTTCATTTAAAATTTAACTTTTTGGTTTTGCTTCTATGCTTTCCAACTTCCACAGTGTTTTGCCATTGCCTCCTCTCCTTGTCTTTATGAGTTTATGTCTTTTGAAAATTCCATTTCTATCACTTCAGTAAGTGATAGACTAGGAGCAGAGGTGAACACTTGTGCTCACTCTTCCATCTGCCTTCTTCCAATGGCATCTGAGCCAGTTGCATTATTGACCTAGGCCTGTTACTCTTTCAGGCCCTCCTCAGTCAACATTGGCAGTTTGAATTGTTCATTCCAATGAACAAACAAGGATAAAGGGTAAGGGTAAGAAGAAAGGCCCTTACTTACTCCAGGGCCTTGTAGAATACACTGGTGTTGAACACAGATTTTCAGATGCAAATACCGACACTCACACTTTCCTCCCCAACAGCGGCCTTTAGAAGCAGCTGTCATGCTACCACTCCTCTAAGTTTAGAAAAGGCTGATACAAGGACTATGAAGATTGTGGTTGAGTGTTCTCTCTGCTCTTTAAGGAAGAGGACCAGAGCCATGACTAATTGTGTCTCCTTGAGAAGAACGAAAGCTAATTATTAGTTGTATAAACCTAAGCATTAAAGCAAGATATCCAGGTTTTTCTCTCCTCAGCAGTACATGCCATTGAAAAGTTACCAGGAATTCTAAAGGGAGATTGGAAATAAATGTGTTACAATAATCACTGGAAAAAGTTCAATGGAAAAGCTTTAGTTCCTTTGAATCTGTAGTTTTTCTTGAGCTAATCAGTCATTTGATAACTGCTCGCTAAGCACAAGCTCCAGGCCAGGCAGAATGTGAGGCTCATGGTGTTAGAACTAAAAAGAGATGTAGGGTAGCACCTACCAAAGTGCTTGGAACATCTTGGTCTTTGCTAATCATTTATTAAATTCAGAATGTGGGCATTGTTCTCAAGTAGCATACTTTCTAAACAGTGAAGCAAAGGCCTTTTGTGAGAGTGCATAGATGAAACAAAGGTTTAGATAGTTCTAAAAATTAGAGTAATAATCAATAGATAAAAATAAATTGCTAACCTGACTGTCTTCCTATGCATGCCTAAAACACTTGACCCAGTTGAGGGGAGAATAAATAATTGCCCATGGGAATGTTGTGTAAAACATTCAAAGCGCTGAATATTGTCTGGTGTGGCTAGAGATGACAGGACTCATACAATTGACCCTTGAACAACATGGATTTGAACTGCAAAATCCACTTATATGCAGATTATTTTTCAATAAATATATTGGAAGATTTTTTGGAGATTTGTGACAGTTTGGAGATTTGTGACAATTTGAAAACAGTAGCAGATGAACTTCATAGTCTAGATATCAAAAAAATAGGAAAAAGTTAAGTATGTCATGATTATATAAAATATACATAGATACTAGTCATTTTATTATTTATTACCATAATACATATACAGATCTATTATCAAAAGTTAAGTTTAGGCACACAAACACAGACCAAGAGAAATGTGAACAAATGTAAATATGCATTATTAAATCATAACCACACAAAATTCACTATAGTATATACTGTACTATCACAATAATTTTGTAGCCACCTTCTGTTTCTATTGTGGTGAGCTCAAGTATCTGCTTAAAATGTTGTGTGAGACTAATCATCTCCTTGGGAGCAACATCTCCAGTCAATTGTGCATCCCAGTAAAAAGTGATCACTCATAGTTCTTGCATATTTTTCATCTTTGTGTTAGTGCAATACCGTAAACCTTGAATAACAACACGGTACCCATACAAAGTGCAACTAGTGATGTTGGAAGTGCTCCCAAGAAGCAGAGAAAAGTGCTTTACAGGAAAACACTGAATTGTTTGATATGCACCATAGATTGAGGTCTGCAGCTGTGGTTGCTCATCATTTCAAGATAAATGAATTCAATGTAAGGACCATTACAAACAAAACAAAAACAGAAAATTAATAAAGCTATTGCTGTAGCTACAGCAGCAGACACAAAAGCCTTGCAGTTTTTGCAAAACACCTTTTTATCTCATATTGAAAACATAGCTTTCATGTGGGTGCTGGATTGCTATAAGAAAGGTATACCTATAGACTCTAATATGATTTGAGAAAGTGTGAGTTCATTATATGACAACTAAAAGCAAAAGGAAAGTGAAGGATCTAAAGCTGGAAGGTTTAGTGACAGCCAAGGATGGTTTAATATGTTTAGAAAGAGAGGTGGCTTAGAAAACATGTCAAGATACCAGGAAAAGCAGATTCTGCTGCCCAAGAGGCAGCAAAGTTCCTAGATGCCATTTAAGAAAATAATTGAGGAAAAAGACTATCTGCATGGTGAAAGGCTAAACGCTTTCTTCCTAAGGTCATGAACAAGTCAAGTATTTCCGCTCTTACTACCTCTATTTGACATTTCACTGAAGGTTTCAGCTAGTAATAAACAAAAGGCATACAGACTGAAAAAAATATATATATATCTACCTGAACAAGTTTTTATTGCAGACAAAAGTGCCCAATTTTGGGAAAAAGCAATGCAAAAGACATTTATTAGAAAAGAAGAGGCATAAGCACCAGGATTTAAGGCAGGAAGGGATTAGCTAACTCCACTGTTTGGCGCAAATGCAGTAGGATTCATCATGAGGACTGCCCTTATCTATAAAGCTGCTAACAACTCCGCCTTAAGGGAAAGAGATAAACACCAGCTTCCAGTCATTTAGTAGTATAACAAGAAGGCCTGGACAACAAGAACGCTTTTTCTGGACTGGTTCCACTGATGTTCTATTCCTGAAGTCAGGAAGCACCTTGCCATAAGAAACTGCCTTTTAAAGTTCACTTGATATTAGACAATGCTCCTGGCCACTCAGAACTCCATGACTTTAACATTAACGTTTCAAAAGGATCTACTTGTCCCCAAACTCAATGTCACTAGCTCAGCCTCCAAATAAGGAGGTCATAAGGACCTTGAAGCCTCATTACATGTAGCATTCTATGGAAAGGATTGCCAGCTCCATGGAAGAGAAGTCTGATAGAGAGATTATCATAAAAGTCTGGAAGGATTACACCATTGAAGATGCCATTGTTGTTATAGAAAGAGCATTATGAGTCTTATAGAAAGAGCATTATACATGACTTCACAGGATTTGCAACAGAGCCAATCAAGGAAATCATGAAAGATGTGGATATGAAAAAAAGGTGGCGGAAGGGGTGGATCAAGATACCTATCTTGGTAAAATTAGAGAGTTAATAGACACCACTCCAGAGGAATTAATAGAAGATGACTTGATGAAGATAACTGCTTCTGAACCAGTGACGGAATATGAGGAAGAAGATATAGGAGAAGCAGTGCCCGAAAACAAGTTGACGTTACACAATCTGGCAGAAGGGTTCTCAGTAATGAAGCCTGCTTTTGACTTCTTTTAGAACACGCATCCTTCTATGACATGGGCGCTGAAACTAAAGCAATAGTGGATGAAGTATTAGTATCTATAGGAACGTTTTTAAGGGAATGAAAAAGCAAAAAGTCAGGCAGAGATTATGATGTATTTCCGTAAAGTTACAGGGAGTGTGCCTGCCTCTCTTGCCTCCCCTTTCGACCTCCTCCACTTCTTCTACCTCTGCCACCCTTGAGACAACAAGACCAATTCCTCCTATTTCTCAGCCTACTCAATGGAAATGACAAGGATGAAGACCTTTATGATGTTTCACTTTAACTTAATGAATAGCAAATATATTTCCTCTTCCTTATGACTTTCTTAATAACATTTTCTTTTCTCTAGCTTTATTGTAAGAATACAGTATATAATACATATAACATACAAAATATGTGTTAATAGGCTGTTCATGTAATTGGTAAAGCTTCCTATCAACAGTAGGCTACTAGTAATTAAGTTTTGGGATCCACTAACCCCTGCGTTGTTCAAGGGTTGGCTATATTTGGAATCTCAAAAAATTTCATGAATAAACAAGGGCAAAAAAAAATTTGTATCTTAAAGCATTCATATCTAACTCATTTTTTCTACGTTTTCTCAATGAAATGGGGATATAAACATGGGAATACCAGATTTATAAAAATTACATATAAGGCATTTCTGAATAAACTGTTTTGACTAGATTAACTGAATTGTTCAGTCAAAAACCCACTAATATAATAGGGTTTGAGTGACATTTTAAAATCCTGAATCCTTTAATTTCATATATGGTGAAATCAGTGTATTCATGTAGTTATCCTGTTTTCATGTGAATACAGTGATAATTTAGGGCTTAATTTATAAAACTGATGTAAGGTGCTTGATGAATTTTATACGATGAATCTTGCGATAATTTCAGTCTTGAAAAATATATGCCGTTGATCAAAGGAAATATCAAAACTGGTTTAATATGTGTGGCAGACATTGTTTATTGGCACTCAGCTGTACACCCACCATTCTACTGGAAACACATTTATCAGACCCTCTTTTTAGGCGGGCTGAAGGGAAAGTCTTCCCATGGAAGATCTCCATGGGGTATTAGAAGACAGAATGGTGATAGACATCTGTCTGCTTCTGCTGCACCTTAGGTAGAAGAATCAACAGTGGTTGCAGTAGGGTTGTACTTCCTGTTTAGTCCTTTGGTGGCACCAGCAGCAAGTATAGTCCCTTGGGCTCTTGCAAGGGTACTGGAAGCTGCTTGCTCTCTGGGCAATACCACCCTCCCTCTTACACTCCCCCAGAACTTCCAACCCTTTTCTAATTTCTTGCATTAAATTTTTCTCTCCACAAGGTATGAAGACTGTTTTCTGTTTACCTCCCTGAATACTAGCTGATAAAAAACAGAAATAAGGATTTTTCTATATCTTTTATATAGCTATAGAAAAGTGTTTTTCTATAATTTCTGGGTGTTGGCTTGATGCTCTAGTTCTCTACCTCTTGGTCTTCTAAAGGAATTGATTTGGTCTTCTTTGAAGGTCATATATGTAACTACATAGATATTATTTTTATATAATCAAATCATCTTCAACCTTATTCTAGTTTATATTGTATATAGATATACCACACTTTATCTACTTTTGTACCATGTAAGATATTATATATTTAAGTGTTCTTGATTTAGTTATCTATTGTAGCATAATAAATTACCCTCAAACTTAGTGGATTAAAACAATATTCGTGGATTTCTGTTCCAAGACAGCCAAATAGGAACAGCTCCAGTCTGCAGCTTCCAGTATGATTAACACAGAAAACAGGTGATTTCTGCATTTCCAACTGAGGCAACTGGTTCATCTCACTGGAACTGGTTGGACAGTGGTGCAGCCCACAGAGGGCAAGCCAAAGTAGGGTTGGGGCATCACCTCACCTGGGAAGTACAAGGGGTCGAGGGATTTCCCTTTCTTAGCCCAGGGAAGCTGTGACAGACAGTACCTGGAAAAACGAGACACTCCCGCCCAAATACTGTGCTTTTCCAATGGTCTTAGCAAATGGCACACCAAAAGATTATATCACGTGCCTGGCTCGGTGCGTAACACACCCATGGAGCCTTGCTCACTGCTAGTGCAGCAGTCTGAGATTGACCTGCGAGGTGGCAGTCTGGCAGGGGGAGGGGTGGGTGTCTGCCATTGCTGAGGCTTGAGTAGGTAAACAAAACAGACTGGGAAGCTAGAACTGGGCGGAGCCCACTGCAGCTCAGCAAGGCCTGCTGTATAGACTCCACCTCTGGGGGCAGGGCATAACTTAAAAGGCAGCAGAAACTTCTACAGACTTAAACGTCCCTGTCTGACAGCTCTGAAGCGAGCAGTCATTCTCCCAGAATGGTGTTTGAGCTCGGAAAACGGACAGACTGCCTCTTCAAGTGGGTCCCTGACCCCGATGTAGCCTAACTGGGAGACACCTCCCAGTAGGGGCCGACTGACATCTCATACAGCCAGGTGCCCCTCTGGGACGAAGCTTCCAGAGGAAGGATCAGGCAGCAATATTTGCTGTTCTGCAGCCTCTGCTGGTGATACCCAGGCAAACAGGGTCTGGAGTGGACCTCCAGCAAACTCCAACAGAACTGCAGCTGAGGGACCTGATGGTTAGAAGGAAAACTAACTAACAGAAAGGAATAGCATCAACATCAAAAAAAGGACATCCACACCAAAATCCCATGTGTAGGTCACAAACATCAAAGACCAAAGGTAGATAAAACCACAAAGATGGGGAGAAACCAGAGCAGACAACCTGAAAATTCTAAAAATCAGAGTGCCTTTTCTCCTCCAAAGGATCACAGCTCATCTCCAGCAATGGAACAAAGCTGGACGGAGAGACTTTGACCAGCTGACAGAAGTAGGCTTCAGAAAGTCGGTAATAACAAATTCCTCTGAGCTAAAGGAGGATGTTCGAGCCCATTGTAAGGAAGCTAAAAACCTTAAAAAAAGATTAGACGAATGGCTAACTAGAATAAACAGTGTGGAGAAGACCTTAAATGACCTGATAGACATGAAAACCATGGCAAGAGAACTACATGATTCAAGCACAACCTTCAATAGCTGATTCGATCAAGTGCAAGAAAGGGTATCAGTGATTGAAGATCAAATTAATGAAATAAAGCAAGAAGAGAAGTTTAGAGAAAAAAAGAGTAAAAAGAAACAAACAAAGCCTCCAAGAAATATGGGACTATGTGAAAAGACCAAATCTACATTTGATTGGTATACCTGAAAGTGACAGGGAGAATGGAACCAAGTTGGAAAACCCTCTTCAGGATATTATCCAGGAGAACTTCCCCAACCTAGCAAGGCAGGCCAACATTCAAATTCAGGGAATACAGAGAACACCACAAAGATATACCTCAAGAGCAACCTCAAGACACATAATTGTCAGATTCATCAAGGTTGAAATGAAGGAAAAAAATGTTAAGGGCAGCCAGAGAGAAAGGTCAGGTTACCCACAAAGGGACGCCCATCAAACTAATGGCAGATCTCTCAGCAGAAACTCTGCAAGACAGAAGAGAGTAGGGGCTAATATTCAATATTTTTAAGCAAAATAATTTGCAAATCCGGCCAAACTAAGCTTCATAAATGAAGGAGAAATAAAATCCTTTACAGACAAGCAAATGCTGAGAGATTTTGTCACCACCAGGCCTGCCTTACAAGAGCTTCTGAAGGAAGCACTAAACATGGAAAGGAACAACCAGTACCAGCCACTGCAAAAACATGCCAAATTGGAAAGACTATCAATGCTAGCAAGAAACTGCATCAACTAACAGGCAAAATAACCAGCCAACTTCATAATGACAGGATCAAATTCAAACATAACAATATTAACCTTAAATGTAAATGGGCTAAATGCCCCCAATTAAAAGACACAGACTGGCAAATTGAATAGTCAAGACCTATTAGTGTGCTGTATTCAGGAGACCCATCTCACGTGCAGAGACACATATAGGCTCAAAATAGAGGGATTGAGGAAGATCTACAAAGCAAATGGAAAGCAAAGATCAAAAGAGACAAAGAAGGGCATTACATCATGGTAAAGGAATCAATTCAACAAGAAGAGCTAACTATCCTAAATATATATGCACCCAATACAGGAGCACCCAGATTCATAAAGCAAGCCTTAGAGACTAAGACTCCCACACAATAGTAATGGGAGACATTAACACCCTGCTGTCAATATTAGACAGATCAACAGACAGAAGGTTAACAAGGATATCCAGGACTTGAACTCAGCTCTGCACCAAGCAGACCTCATAGACATTTACAGTACTATTCACCCCAAATCAACAGAATATACATTCTTCTCAGCACCACATCACACTTATTCCAAAAATTGACCACATAGTTGGAAGTAAAGCACTCCTCAGCAAATGTAAAAGCAGAGAAATCACAACAAACTATCTCTCAGGTCACAGTGCAATCAAATTAGAACTCAGGATTAAGAAACTCAACAACCTGCTCCTGAATGACTACTGGGTAAATAACGACATGAAGGCAGAAATAAAGATGTTCTTTGAAACCAATGAGAACAAAGATACAATGTACCAGAATCTCTGGGACACATTTAAAGCAGTGTGTAGAGGGAAACTTATAGCACTCAATGCCCACAAGAGAAAGCAGGAAAGATCTAAAACTGACACCCTAACATCACAATTAAAAGAACTAGGGAAGTAAGAACAAACAAATTCAAAAGCTAGCAGAAGGCAAGAAATAACTAAGATCAGAGCAGGACTGGAAGAGATAGAGACACAAAAAACCCTTCAAAAAAAATCATTGAATCCAGGAGCTGGTTTTTTAAAACATGAACAAAATTGATAGATCGCTAGCAAGACTAATAAAGAAGAAAAGAGTGAATCAAACAGACACAACAAAAAAATGATAAAGGGGATATCACCACCAATCCAACAGACATACAAACTACCATCAGAGAATACTATAAACACCTCTACACAAATCAACTAGAAAATCTAGAAGAAATGGATAAATACCTGGACAGATACACTCTCCCAAGACTAAACCAGGAAGAAGATGAATCTCTTAATAGACCAATAACAGGCTCTGAAATTGAGGCCATAATTAATAGCCTACCAATCGAAAAATGTCCCGGACCAGACGGATTCACAGCCGAATTCTACCAGAGGTACAGAGAGGAGCTGTTAACAGTCCTTCTGAAACTGTTCCAATAAAAAAAAGAGGGAATCCTCCCTAACTCATTTTATGCAGCCAGCATCATCCTGATACCAAAGCCTGGCAGAGAAATAACAAAAAAAGAGAATTTTAGACCAATATCCCTGATGAACATCGATGCGAAAATCCTCAGTAAAATACTGGCAAACCTAATCCAGCAGCACATCAAAAAGCTTATCCACCACACTCAAGTCAGCTTCATCCCTGGGATGCAAGGCCGGTTCAAAATACGCAAATCAATAAATGTAATCCATCACATAAACAGAACCAAAGACAAAAACCACATGATTATCTCAATAGATGCAGAAAAGGCCCTTGACAAAATTCAAAGCCCTTCATGCTAAAAACTCTCAATAAACTAGGTATTGGTGGAACATACCGCAAAATAATAATAACTATTTATGATGCACCCACAGTCAATATCATACTGAATGGGCAAAAACTGGAAGCATTCCCTTTGAAAACTGGCAAAAGACAGGGATGCCCTCTCTCACCACTGCTATTCAACACAATGTTGGAAGTTCTGGCCAGAGCAATCAGGCAAGAGAAAGAAATAAAGGGTATTCAATTAGGAAAAGAGGAAGTCAAATTGTCTCCAATTGCATATGACATCATTGTATATTTAGAAAACCCCATTCTCTCAGCCCCAAATCTCCTTACGCTGATAAGCAACTTCAGCAAAGTCTCAGGATACAAAATCAATGTACAAAAATCACAAGCATTCCTATACACCAATAATAGACAAACAGAGAGCCAAATCATGAGTGAACTCCCATTCACAATTGCTGCTAAGAGAATAAAATACCTAGGAATCCAACTTACAAGGGATGTGAAGGACCTCTCCAAGGAGAACTACAAACCACTGCTCAACGAAATAAAAGAGGACACAAGCAAATGGAAGAACCTTCCATGCTCATGGGTAGGAAGAATCAATATCGTGAAAATGGCCATGCTGCCCAAAGTAATTGATAGGTTCAATGCCATCCCCATTAAGCTACCAATGACTTTCTTCACAGAATTGGAAAAAAACTACTTTCACATGTAACTATTTCATTTGGTTAATATGGAACCAAAAAAGAGGCCACATTGCCAAGACAATCCTAAGCAAAAAGAACTAAGCTGGAGGCATCACACTACCTGATTTCAAACTATATTACAAGGCTACAGTAACCAAAATAGCATGCTACTGGCACCAAAACAGAGATATAGACCAATGGAACAGAACAGAGGCCTCAGAAATAACACCACACATCTACAACCCCCTGATCTTTAACAAATGTGACAAAAACAAGAAATGGGGAAAGGATTCCCTGTTTAATAAATGGTGCTGGGAAAACTGGCTAGCCATATGTAGACAGCTGAAACTGGATCCGTTGCTTGCACCTTGTACAAAAATTAATTCAAGATGGATTAAAGACTTACTGTTAGACCTAAAACCATAAAAACCTTAGAAGAAAACCTAGGCAATACCATTCAGGACATAGGCATGGGCAAGGGCAAGGACTTCATGTCTAAAACACCAAAAGCAATGGCGCAAAAGCCAAAATAGACAAATGAGATCTAATTAAACTAAAGAGCTTCTGCACAGCAAAAGAAACTACCATCAGAGTGAACAGGCAACCTACAGAATGGGAGGAAATTTTTGCAATCTACCCATCTGACAAAGAACTAATATCCAGAATCTGCAAAGAACTTATACAAATTTACAAGAAAAAAATCAACCCCATCAAAAAGTGGGTGAAGGATATGAACAGACACTTCTCAAAAGAAGACATTTATGCAGCCAACAGACATGTGAAAAAATGCTCATCATCACTGGTCAGCAGAGAAATGCAAATCAAAACCACAATGAGATACCATCTCATACCAGTTAGAATGGCGATCATTAAAAAGTCAGGAAACTACAGGTACTGGAGAGGATGTGGAGAAATAGGAATGCTTTTACACTGCTGGTGCGAGTGTAAACTAGTTCAACCATTGTGGAAGACAGTGTGGTGATTCCTCAAGGATCTAGAACTAGAAATACCATTTGACCCAGCCATCCCATTACTGAGTATATACCCAAAGGATTATAAATCATGCTACTATAAAGACACATGCACATGTATGTTTATTGCGGCACTAATCACAATAGCAAAGACTTGGAACCAACCTAAATGAGCATCAGTGATAGACTGGATTAAGAAAATGTGGCACATATACATTATGGAATACTATGCAGCCATAAAAAAGGATGAGTTCATGTCATTTGCAGGGACATGGATGCAGGTGGAAACCATCATTCTCAGCAAACTACTGCAAGGACAGAAAACCAAACACCGCATGTTCTCACTCATAGGTGGGAACTGAACAATGAGATCACTTGGACATAGGGTGGGGAACATCACACACTGGGGCCTGTCATGGGGTGGGGGCAGGGGGAGGGATAGCATTAGAAGAAATACCTAATGTAAATGATGAGTTACTGGGTGCAGCAAACCAACATGGCACATATATACCTATATAACAAACATGCATGTTGTGCACATGTACCCTAGAACTTAAAGTATAATAAAAATAATTAAAATTAAAAAATGTAAAAAACAAATAATAATAGATGAAAATACATTAAAAAAACAGTATTCGTTATCTCACAGTTTCTGTGGGTCAGAAGTACAGCATGGTCTAGTTGGGTCCATTCTTTCTCTGGGTTTCTTTCAAGGCTGCAATCAAGGTATTGGCTGGGGCTGTAGTTGCTGGCAGGATTCAGTTACTTATGAGCTATTGGACTGAGTGCCTCACTTCCTCATTGGTTATTATCCAGAAGCTGCTCTTAGTTTCTTGCCATATGGGTTTCTTCATAGGATAGCTCACAAAATGGTGGCTGGCTTCATTATAGAAAGCAAGAGAGAAGAGAAAGAGAGGTGTCACACTCTTTTATAACCTAATCTTATAAGTGACATCTCATCACTTTTTTCATATTCTGTTTGGTAGAAGCCAGTCACTATGTGCAGCCCACACTCAATAGGAGAGGGATTACACAAGCATTTGAATGACAGAAGGCAGGGATCGATCGTTTGAGCCATTTCAGAAGGTGCCAGCCACATTACTTTCCTAAATAAATGGTCAATTTCTTGCTTTCTCCCTTAGTGTTTAAATATTGATGAAAACTGGGCTTTTGTGTGGTATAGAAACAGTCTAATTATTTAGTTTCAGTGACTGAACATCTAAACTTATAAGCAGTAACAACAGACAGCCAAACAAATAAAGCCACCTCCCCTTTTTACCCAGGAATATAAATTTATTTCTTGTGATTGCAGTTCAAACATTATTAGCTTTTACTTGTATATTTTGTAAAATCACCACATCAATAAATAACCTTAGCTATTACTAGTTTATCTGAGAGATTTTCTTTAGTTAGAAAGGACACTTTGGGATCTTGAAGTCAAACTTCACTCTGGGACTCATCCTCTAATGGCCACAGAAATAGAAAACGTGCCACCTGCAGACTTTTAGATAAACCGATCCCCATTTCCGCTGGGTGTGGATATAGCTGCTTTTAAAGGGATCTTTTAAAATTGCATCACGCTTGCACTTCAGTCTCTTCCCTAAATCCTGATAAATAGCAAAGTGCACTCTTTGGATGGGGGCACGTTTCTGCTGTTAAGATGTTCACACGGAAACCCCGTGCTATCTCTTACAAGTCCTGCCAATGCTTTCATCTTTTCAAATCTAAAAAGGGCTTAAAGTGGCTTCGTTAAAACCCTCTCTATGAAAAGCTTAAATCCTTCAATAAGTCAGAATGAGGTGTACAGCTACATAAAGGCACCAGAGTTACATGATTTTCCAGGTAGGAAATGTAGTGGCTATGTTTTACAGTATTACATTTGAAGAAGAAAGTTTTAATATAAATTTGATATATCAGAGATATCAGCACACACATTTTAATTATACACATAAAAAAATTGGTACAAGTCTTTGCCCTGCATGAATACAGATACAGCATTACCAAGGCAGTTTAATTTGAAGAGCAATCGGCAAACCAATACCCTAAAAAATTGTATAGTAGTTCACTCTTATCTGCGGGGAATATGTTCCAGGACCCCCAGTGGATGCCTGAAACCATGGACAGTGCCAAACCATATATATTTTATGTTTTTCAATCTGTTAACCAACATGTCTGCTAAGTGACTAACAGACAGGGAGGTTATACAGTGTGGATGTGCTGGACAAAGAGATAATTCATGTGGGGTGGGGTGGAGCTGGAGTGGGATGGTGTGAGATTTTATCATACTCTTCAGAATGGTGCACAATTTGAAATTTATAAATTATTTCTGGAATTTTCCCTTTAATATCTCTAGACCACAGATGACAATAGATAACTGAAACCGTGGAAAATGAAACTTTGGGTAAGGAGGGAATACTGTACTTTCTATCTAGTACAGGGAATACTGTACTAGTTTCTATCATTTAAGAGGCACCTCTCTGGATGAGTTAATTGTCTCCTTTGTAAATGCAAATGCCTCTGGAAAAGGAAAACAAGAAGTATCAGAATCTAGTATCTTTGAGTAAATTTATATATATATATTTATATATATATATATATATATATATATATATATATATATTTTCCCCCCCATAGGACTATTCCTGACAGATGGCAGAAGGTGAGGGGAAGGAAGCTGATTACCTACCCTAGGCAATGAAGAGTGAGGCTCATGGGGCAGGTAGGTCATTAGAGGGCAGAAGACACTCTAGAGGGAGATGAAAAAAAACAACAACCATGAATCAGGCATTTATTTCTGTGTTGGATACTGTGTAAAGTGTGATATATACATTGCATAATTCAATCCCACATCTCTCTCACATGGCTAGACAGGGCAGAGCTGGGGTTCAAGTTCAGCTCTGTCTGACTCTAAAGGCAGTGCTCTTTTTATCACACTTTCTTAGAATAAATCTGAAAGTGAAGGTGGGAAGCCCCAAAGATAGAATTGGCAACTTATTTTGTTAAGTGTATGTAAGTTTAAGAGTGAGAGAGCCATCCCACACTAGAAACAAAATTTCTGCATTACTGTCTTAGAGAGAAAAGAAAAGCCACTCACATTTGGATCCACTTCCCTTTCTGAAGGAAAATGGTTTGTTTGGTTGTCTTAGATTTTCTGTCTTGCGTGCTCTAGGCCATTTGGCATAGATGGCTCAGGGAATGGTGAAGGGCAACATTTGCTTCTGTGCCTCCTCTCCTTCCTGCAAATGTCAGACCAAACTACATCTACAGAGGCAGAAGCAAACAATAATTGATGCTCACATAATAATCCTCAGACATCAAGAAAATATCAAATTGTGTTCATTGACCTACATATAAGAAGGCAAAAATATGCATCCTATATTTCAGAAATAATTTTAATACATTTACTTTTCTAAACATTGGTGCCTAAATCCATTAATGTTAACTCATGCTTTGACATACTGCTTAATTACAGAAAACGTCTAAGAGGCATTTGGCATGATTCTCATCCTCAAAGATTTCTACTTTTGCTCATCTAAAAAGTATTTATCAGGCACCTATTGGATTCTGAACAAAGGTGTAGAGGCTACAGATAAAGCAGTGAACAAAGTCTTCTGGGACAAGAAGGAAAACAAGACAAAAAGTTTTAAAAGGCTAGATGTGGTACACAGATGTCTAGTACTATAGGATTGCAGGGAGAAGGGAAGGCCAGAGGAGCAAGCAGGGAAGAAAACTGGGGGTGGGGTGGGGGCAAATTGGGCTTGGAGAACTTTTCACTTGGCCAAATAGAGACAGATTTTAATTTCCTGAAAAGTCTAAAAGTAAACTTTGAAAAATCTAACTTATTCTTTCATAATGGCTATCTGATTCACACATTCTTCTCCACAGGCATACCCGCCTACCATCCATCCATCCATCCATCCATCCATGCATCCATCCAACCATCCAACCATCCACCTATCCATTCATTCTTTCAATAAACACTTGAGTGCCTACTATATGCAAGACAATAGGTTGAGTTCTGTTAATATAATGGGGAACAAAAGGGCAAAACCTGCCCCTCATTGAAAGACTTACATTTTGCCGAATGCTACAGAAGAAAAGAACAAAGGGTTATTTGACAGAATACCTAATGGAAGGCTTATTTTAGGAGGTGGCATTCATGCTTAAATCTGACACATGAGAAGGGGCAGCTAAGTGAAGACATAAGAGAAATGCATTGCACACTCAGCATTCAGCCTTCATAGGGAACAAAGGTGAGGAGGAGATTAGCATGTTTAAGAAGGGAAACAAGGCCAGTGGGGCAGGTACATTGGGAGTTAGGGTGGCAATCATATGCAATTTGAGAGCTGGGCAGGAATTAGACTGCCAGAGTTTTGTAAGCCATGGTAAGGGGCTTAGGTTTTATTCTAAATGCAAAGGAAATCATTGAGTGGTTTTAAGCAGGCGGTGATCCAATTTATGTTTATAAATATCCCATTTATTTTTATAAATATCATTTTGGCTGCTGTGTAGAGAATGGAATGAAAAGGGAAGAGAGTGATGAGAGACTACTTGTAGGCTTTAGCTAGATTAGGTGAGGACATCACAAGCTTTTCACTTGACAAAAGTAACAGATGATAAAAGTAGAGTCCACAGTACTAAGTTGCTTCATTTGTCTGAAGCACTTTTTAAATTCAGAGATATTCAATCAACTGAACAGTGGGAAGTGGCTTTTCTGGAGATCACTCTGACCCAATAAACATTCAAAGTCAGTGTCAGTTTAACCCACATTTGCGTCTTCATTCCTGGCTATCCAATACTCTTTCTCTTCTTTTGTCCTCCTCCTCCTTCTTCTCTTGTTGTTGTTGTTATTATTTTTCTTGTCCTCCTCAATTCCACCAAATAATATCTTTTATCTCATGCTACATCTACTCCCTCATAGTCCAGCTCAAACATATTCTCAGTCATCCTAGTCAAGTCAAAGGGTAGAGACTGACCACAGTATGTACTATGCACAGAGCAGGAGAAGAATAGTTCTTATATGATCAATGAGATTATATCACATTCACCATATAACAACATGCACAAGAAAATAGCTAAGTGATGAGAATTATGATTACCAAAGGAAGGTGAAGTCAATGGGTGAACTAGGAGGTGAGAGGAGGAAGTTGCTACAGATAGGAGGAGGGTTGGCCTTGAAACTGCCTATACCAATCATGGACCAATTACAGGGCCTATGAGAGAAGAGAAGCAAATCCTGTTCTATCTTAAGGGCATCTATACCAAAGAGAGGCAGAGGAATGGATGTCAAGGACACAAATTCCCTAGACCGTGTACTAGTCTCTAACCCCCATCATGAAGGCCTGATCTTTATGATCTCATCTAAACTTAACTACCTTCCATGGGCCCCATCTTCAAATACCACCATTATATTGGGAGTTACAGCTTCAAAATAGAAATTTTGGGGGGATACCATTTAGTCCATAGCAGACTGTATAAAGCCCTCTGGGACGTGTCACAGCCCTTTATACTTTCTTTTCATAAAAATGATGAAATATGCCTATGTATTATATCATTATATATTGTTACATAAAGTATAATATTTATATTCATTTGTATAACTATTTAATTCATATCTGTGTCTTCCATGAAACTAAGCGCTGTAAACACAGTGACTGAGGTCTTTGCTCATTATTCTATCTTTAACTGTTTAGATGATAGGTACTCAACACATATTTGCCTAATGAATATGTTTAAATATGAAGCATATCAATTTATATTAAAAAACATTTTGTGATTCTTCATTAATATTTTACTCTTTACATGTATTCTAATACATGTATTTCATTGCTAAGAAACTTTGAAAACATTGCCCTATAGATCTACCCAGGAATACCTCTCTCTATAAACTCTTCTATCATTTGCATTATGGGCAAACTGACAATTTATAGTGTTACATAAAACCCTCCATAGCTTATATTTGATAGCTTCTATTATAAAAGTTACTTTCAGTCTTTCAGGCTAGAAAACCCTAGCCAGCCACAGAGGACCCCCCTACAATCTTCTTTCAATTGATTCTCTAACTTTTTCACTTGTTCTCCTTTAGTCTGCTGGCTCCACCAGAGACGGTCTGCTGGTTTATCTGTTTCAAAAACATGCCCTACCACTTTGTCCTTGCTGCCTTCCTAACCCTAGTGATTGCATTCTGTGCTGAGCTTTCCCCAAGCTTCACATGCATAATTCTATTTAATTTTCTCAATGATCCTGTAAGATGGATATTGATATACAAATTTTAGCTGAAGAAATTGTAGGTCAGAGAAATGAAATAATTCACCGAAGATGATGATGTGGCTAATAAGTGGCAAATCCAAATCTCTACCCTAAAGCCTGTATTCCCCAACATAATAGCTTCACTTTTGAAAGTCTCTACCCAAGTCTACCGAAATATTTGAGGGCCAATGTGGATCACATTTCCTCTATAAAGCTGTTGCTATACACTTTAGTTCAGTGAATCATCCCTTTTTAAAAACAATAAAACCTGCCATATGTACCCTATGTACTAGAACTTCTGTTGAATTCTTACATATAAATTATCTTATTTAATGCTCTCATTGACCTTATGAGTTAGGATAACATTTTAATAGACAAGAAGCTGGTTTCAAAGTGATAGAGTAATTTCACTGACGTTCTCAGAGTTACAGTAGTTCAGAGAAAGGGCTTAAAGCCAGATCTGTCTGGTCCAAGATCTAGAGCTTTTACCCTCTTGTATAACATCCCACTTTAGCAGCATCACCTGCCCCACCAGGCATGGCTGGTTATGGGATAATATTTAGCATTTAATTAATGTTTAGAAAAATTTAAATGACATTATCTGATTATAAATAATGAGAAAGAATGACCAACACAAACACCACAGATCCATGTTAGAGAGTCTGAATTAAGTGGTTATATTAATTTCCTATTAATCCTATAACTACCACAAACGAAGGGATATAAAATGACACACATTTGTTATCTTACAGTCCTGGAAGTGAGAAGTCCTAAAATCAAGGTGTTGGCAGGGCATTCTTTCTGGAGACTCTGGGAGAAAATCTGTTTATTTGCCTTTTCTGGCCTCTAGAGGCTGCCCACATTCCTTGGCTTATGGTTTTAATAGCTATCTTCAAAGTCAGCAGTGTATTATCTTCTAATCATTTTCTCTGCCTCTGACCTTTATGCCTTTTTCTTAAAAGGACTCATTACTTTGGGCCCGTTTGAATAGTCCAGGATAATCTCCTTATCTCAAAATTCTCTGCTTAACCATATTTGCCAAGTCCCTTTTTCCAGATAATGTAACATATTTATGTTTTGGGGATTAGGACATGAACATCTTTGGGGGTCCATCGTTCATTCTACCACAGCGGTGGTGGTTTATAGGACATTCTGCTGTCCATGGCTAAGGAGAAGGAGTTACGGATTTTTTTTTTGATCCATATTATGGCATTGTTATTTTAAGGAAACAGAATAATGTTTCCTTATTCCTGTGGAATATATTTCCTGTGGAATAATAGGAATATTCCACAGGAAAAAAAAAAAAGAGCTGTAGTGGTGACATTTTAGTCACTGCTACCTACAACATTTTCCAAAAAATTGCCTGTTGTACTAACACAGAACACCAACCCAGGAAAAATACCCACAGAAATTTCTCAGTAATTCCTTACTAGGGATATAAGTACGGTGATCACACATCCTCTTTGTGAACCTCTTCAATCATATCGGAGTGCTAGGAGTGGAGATGTGGCCAAATAGCCGGGCTGGGTCTGCTTAGCACCTCTCCAGCTGAGATGGGCACACCCATTTTTTAAGTTGTAGAGGATGGCATCCAAGTGACTGACCTACTTGCCCAAGTTTTTACTGAAAGTAGGTTGAATGGTTGGAACTAAATCTGTGGTTGCTCAACTCTCAGTCCAGTGCTCTTTTCCATCTGACTCACTGAAATCAAGAAATGTTTTGAAATGCAATGGAGAGAAAAGAGGTGTCAGCTAGGAGAGAACAGAACAGACTACAGAAAGGGGACTTGTGTGGGGAGTTAGCAGAACACCAGATTTCTTTCTATGCTTCAGTTCTAAATAGGGCCCCACTTTCCATAATCTCCTCTTGGTTCCTTTTTCCTCTCCAAGAAAATGACAGTCTATGGTGGTGGCCCATGGTATTAATGCTTGGCACAGGAAAGGCTAGAGTTGATGGAGGAGTACAGCAAATGCTTTTGCTCTCACCTCGAGTCCCGTTTGAGTTGTTCGCATGACTTAGAAGTGAAATGGTTAGAGGGGCAAACAAGTTTCTGCAGCCAAAGAAAATGTTTCCATTTGTCATACAGGATGTATAATGGTATCCAATTTCCATGTGATTAATATTTTTGAAAGTTGGACTCCTAAACTTGAAGTTACTCTACCCTTCCCAATTCTGCAGCACAAGCAAAATGCAGAATGCTGAAATTTTTTTTGAGGATTCTATATCAAGCACTCAGAACAAAGATATAGATGTAATTCCAGCATCTTGCAAATAGAGATGCAAATAGTAAAAGAAATAGATGACAGGCATTTGCAGAGTAACCTAAAGGAAATAAATCTCTTAGAGAATTTTGAGGTAGTTAATTTTAACTACAGGAGGTAAGCTGTAGTTGGGTATCTGATTATTGCATTTAAGATCTTGATATCCACATTTGGTGAACTCGGTAAGATAACACTTGAAAAATGTTGGTTTAACAAGATGTATTTAAGTCTTAAGAAGCTACATGTTAACAATTTCCACTCCGGAAGACAGTTATGGCTACAGCATAAGAATTTGCTCCAGCCTGTACAACATCTCCTAGATATATTTATTTCATCCACACTGACACAGGCTCTCTTATTCATCCATAATGACATGGCGGGGCTGATGGGCTTCTCATTCCAAGGGAATTTGCCTTTAAAAGGAGTCTGAAGTGAATGATACTTTCTACTATAAGTAATGCAGAATCACAGGTAACAGTAGAGAATATATTTGGGAGAAAGAGGATTTTCTCCTGCAAATTACATTTTATATCCTGGTATTACATTCTTCCTTACCACCAAAAGGAATTTAAATGTTCATTTCTCTCAGTGTAATATCTAAGTATTTTTCTAATGCCTCAAATTCTGGAATTAACAGTTGACTTGGGAATGGACAAACAAAGATTGATCAGCTATCATTTTCCAGTGCTAGGGCCAGGGCTGAATCAGCAGCCTAACGACCTACAGGCAGCTGGAACACCTGGAACGACATCAAAGGTATAAAGAAAACAATTTCTCATGGCCAGGTCTCAGACTAATTCAAACACAAACAAATTCAAACTGATGATAAATTCACTTTGGCTCTAGCTCTTGTGTTAGAAGCATCAAGTCTCTGCCAGGACAACTAGTATGGCTGAAGGGAGGAAGTTAAAACAGCAATTAGATGGCACTAATATGGCTCCAGTATAATCTCTTCCCTGGTTTCGAGTCTCTGCCTGCCAGGGCCCTTGGCCACCATCCCAGGGCTTAATTGCATTTTGCAAGTAGCCATGGTACACTTGCCACTATATCTCCCTAACAAACTTCAAACACAGTCTTCATGTCCAATTCAGCAAAAATGAGCTGAAATACCTCTGACAGAAAAATGAACGTGTTGTCTAGTTTAAAGATTGGTTCAATTAAGAGAATAACTGGTTGTGAAGGGGAAAGAATAAGGGGATAAAATGGACAAATCATAGCCTTGAATTCTAAAATTTTCAGTAAAGCTCTGTAGAGGAATGGTTAATGATAAGATTTGGGACATTGCTATTGTTTAATGTTTATGTGCATTTTTAGGTGGAATGAACTTTAAATGTGATTTGACCTTGTGGTAATTGAGGGGCATTAGGGCTTAGCAGAAAGCACACTCTTCTCATTCTGGAAACCACTGGCTTTAAGCCAGATAAACTGTTTTGTCTCTTCTGTTGTAGTTACTAAGCATATGAACTTGGAGAAGTTCCTTGAAAATGCCACATCTCCATTTTCTCACCAACATATTGAGCATGAAAAAAATTTTTCTTATCTAATCTGTGGGGTTGGTTACTAAAATACTTACACAATTACAAAATGAGTTTAAGGTCTTATATTAAAACCTAACTAGTAAATATTTTCAGTAAGTGTTTCTTGTAAAATAAATGCATGTTTATCAAATGCAGTCATCAATAGAATGATGTAGAAAGCTGGAGGAAGGTCAAGAAAATGGATAAGTTTTATGGACGACAATGACATGGCCAAGAAAAACACATTGGGAATTTCACCTCTTTGTGCTAGTTCTAGTAGAATAGGCAAATCTTATTTTTCTATTAGTCTACAGTGCAGTAAAATGGAGCTGCTAGTCCACCAGTTGACAACATCTATTGAGCACTTATGGTATATTTAACACGATGCTAGCCATTGTGGGAATTAGAGAACATTCTAGTTTCTTTCCTTAAGGAGATTATAATCTAGCTGAAGAAACAAGACCCAGACAGTATGTCATTAAATAAGAAAATATATAGTAATAATTAAGTACACATTTTAAGAAAAGTAAAAGTCCTAAGGAGAAGGAAAAAAACATGAAAAGAAAGTTTAAAGAGGCTTCATAGAGAAGACAGGATCTGAATAGAACCTGAAGAGATGGTTATGATTTGAAAATAGAAAATATGTAAAAGGTTAGATATTTCAGTAGAGGAAAACATAACGAGTAAAAGTATATAGGAGAGAATAGGGATGACAGAAAGAGAGGTGGCTATGTTAAATAAAATGTGACTTATTAACTTTGTTTATAGCTCCTATGTAAGCAGGTATGGGAAAGTTTCCTATCAAAAAGGCATTGGCTGTTAAAGACCTATACCAAACAGTGACTGTGTAATTCATGAACTCTGAATCTTCCTAAAAGATAACAGGAACAATGATAAACAAGACTGACCTGAACACAGAATATTTCAACTGCACACGAACAGATGAAAATTAAAGGACCAAATCTAATAAGGGAAAGAATCAGCTGTCAAGGTCAACTTAGAGAATCAAGAGTTCAAAGTTCCCAAATCAAGGTCTAATGAGTTCAAGTAAGAGCAGAATCTTCAGAGAGAGTGAGAGTCCTGAGTGTTTGTCTTCGAGGCCAGCTAATCATCGGGACTTGCATTTATGAGCCAAAGGAAGATATTTGAGAATCTGACTCAAAGACCTGGGGTGGGGCTGGAAGGGAGACCATTAGGTTAGTAATAGCTCTCGATAATCACATTTCTCATTGCAACACTATCCCTTTAAGATCCAAGACATGGGAAGAATGTTTTTATGCTCACTGAGCCCAAAAACCGTAAAGCCTGAAAGAGGCCTTAAATATCCTTATTGTATTTCAAATAAATTGTGAATACTAGTAAGTTTGGAGGAATATTTGGAAAGATTTAACTCCACAGTCCAGAAGAAAACAATAATTAAAGTATGTTTTGGAGCATCAAACTTTGACTTCCAATAGTTATAGGGAAATGTTAATCCCTATGATCTCCCAGAACATTTGTGATAATGGGAGACATTTAGGGAGGAAAACAGAATTTTACAGAGCAGAGTCGCTGCAATGAGTGTCTACAGGGTAGTCTCATATAGATTTATAAATTCTCTCTGCAATTTTCTCCAGAGAGACCAGCATAGCTATGTGAGTCTATCAATGCTTTTGCAAAGGTAATGCTTACAGTGCTTGTGGTCTTCTTAATAGCAACCTTAACCTGAAGACCAAATTTGGCAGAGGTAAAAAGGAATACATTCAGGAAAATAGTAGTTACAAAGCCTATTTACCTTATTAACAAGTGTAGAGAAGAAAAGTCAGAATCTATGAATTAGACTCTTACATAAAATAATGATCAGGATTTAATCCGGTTAACCTTTTATTCTTGATACCTTTCGTTCTATCTTAGCAGTAAAAACAAACAAACAAACAAACAAAAAAAAGCACACACAAAGAATAGAAGAGCAGACAACACATCAATTGAATTAACATGTGAAAAAAATCTAGATTCTTACTGCATGCCTTAAGCCAAAATAAATTCCAGATGGACTGAAGTTCTAAATATAAATAACAGAAGCTTGAGAGCAATAGAAGTAGGTAAATAATAATGTTATACTTGGTAAAGGAGAACTGCCTAGGCATATCTCCCAAAACAAAGCTCATAAGAGAAAATAGTGATAGATTTGATAACATAAAATTTTTATTTTATTTATTTTGTTTATTATACTTTAAGTTCTAGGGTACATGTGCACAATGTGCAGGTTTGTTACATATGTATACATGTGCCATGTTGGTTGGTTGCACCCATTAACTCGTCATTTACATTAGGTATTTCTCCTAATGCTATCCCCCCCAGTCCCCCCACCCCATGACAGGCCCCGGTGTGTGATGTTCCCTACCCTGTGTCCAAGTGTTCTCATTGTTCAATTCCCACCTATGAGTGAGAACATGTGGTGTTTGGTTTTCTGTCCTTGTGATAGTTTGCTCAGAATAATGGTTTCCAGTTGCATCCATCTGCCTACAAAGGACATGAACTCATCTTTTTTTATGGCTGCATAGTATTCCATGGTGTATATGTGCCACATTTTCTTAATCCAGTCTATCACTGATGGACATTTGGGTTGGTTCCAAGTCTGCTATTGTGAATAGTGCTGCAATAAACATACATGTGCATGTGTCTTTATAGCAGCATGATTTATAATCCTTTGGGTATATACCCAGTAATGGGATCACTGGGTCAAATGGTATTTCTAGTTCTAGATCCTTGAGGAATCGCCACACTGTCTTCCACAATGGTTGAACTAGTTCACACTACCAAGAACAGTGTAATAGCATTCCTATTTCTCCACATCCTCTCCAGTACCTGTTGTTTCCTGACTTTTTAATGATCACCATTTTAACTGGTGTGAGATGGTATCTCATTGTGGTTTTGATTTGCATTTCTCTGCTGACCAGTGATGATGAGCATTTTTTCACATGTCTGTTGGCTGCATAAATGTCTTCTTTTGAGAAGTGTCTGTTCATATCCTTCACCCACTTTTTGATGGGGTTGATTTTTTTCTTGTAAATTTGTATAAGTTCTTTGCAGATTCTGGATATTAGTTCTTTGTCAGATGGGTAGATTGCAAAAATTTCCTCCCATTCTGTAGGTTGCCTGTTCACTCTGATGGTAGTTTCTTTTGCTGTGCAGAAGCTCTTTAGTTTAATTAGATCCCATTTGTCTATTTTGGCTTTTGTTACCGTTGCTTTTGGTGTTTTAGTCATGAAGTCCTTGCCCATGCCTATGTCCTGAATGGTATTGCCTAGGTTTTCTTCTAGGGTTTTTATGGTTTTAGGTCTAACATGTAAGTCTTTAATCCATCTTGAATTAATGTTTGTATAAGGTGTAAGGAAGGAATGCAGTTTCAGCTTTCTACATATGGCTAGCCAGTTTTCCCAGCACCATTTATTAAATAGGGAATCCTTTCTGCATGGCTTGTTTTTGTCAGGTTTGTCAAAGATCAAATGGTTGTAGATGTGTGAAGTTATTGTAGAGACCTCTGCTCTGTTCCATTGGTCTATATCTCTGTTTTGGTACCAGTACCATGCTGTTGTGGTTACTGCAGCCTTGTAGTATACTTTGAAGTCAGGTAGCATGATGCCTCCAGCTTTGTTCCTTTGGCTTAGGATTGTCTTGGCAATGCGGTCTCTTTTTTGGTTCCACGTGAACTTTAAAGTAGTTTTTCCCAATTCTGTGACAAAAGTCATTGGTAGCTTGATGGAGATGGCAGTGAATCTATAAATTGCCTTGGGCAGTATGGCCATTTTCACGAAATCGATTCT
Source organism: Homo sapiens (assembly GCF_000001405.40). Taxonomy (NCBI): domain Eukaryota; kingdom Metazoa; phylum Chordata; class Mammalia; order Primates; family Hominidae; genus Homo; species Homo sapiens. The sequence goes on from NC_000002.12 coordinate 49,229,201, forward strand.
TCCTCTCCATGAGCATGGAATGTTCTTCCATTTGTTTGTGTCCTCTTTTATTTCGTCGAGCAGTGGTTTGTAGTTCTCCTTGAAGAGGTCCTTCACATCCCTTGTAAGTTGGATTCCTAGGTATTTTATTCTCTTGGTAGCAATTGTGAATGGGAGTTCACTCATGATTTGGCTCTCTGTTTGTCTTTTGTTGGTGTATAGGAATGCTTGTGACTTTTGCACATTGATTTTGTATCCTGAGATTTTGCTGAAGTTGCTTATCAGTGTAAGGAGATTTGGGGCTGAGACAATGGGGTTTTCTAAATATACAATCATGTCATCTGCAAACAGGGACAATTTGACTTCCTCTTTTCCTAATTGAATACCCTTTATTTTTTCTCTTGCCTGATTGCCCTGGCCAGAACTTCCAACACTATGTTGTGTTGTTGTGTAGTGTAGTACGATGTCTAGTGATGAGTTTGCTAATACAATGCCGGTTAGGCCACCCACAGTGAAGAGAAAAATGAATCCCAGGGCTCAGAGCACTGCAGCAGATCACTTCATATTGCTTCCGTGGAGTGTAGCGAGTCAGCTAAATACTTTGACGCCGGTGGGGATAGCGATGATTATGGTAGCGGAGGTGAAATAAGCTCGTGTGTCTACGTCCATTCCTACTGTAAATATATGGTGTGCTCACACAATAAACCCTAGGAAACCAATGAAGTTCTTAGCATGAAGGGCTGTTGAATTTTGTCGAAGGCCTTTTCTGCATCTATTGAGATAATCATGTGGTTTTTGTCTTTGGTTCTGTTTATGTGATGGATTACGTTTATTGATTTGCATATGTTGAACCAGCCTTGCATCCCAGGGATGAAGCCCACTTGAGTGTGGTGGATAAGCCTTTTGATGTGCTGCAGGATTTGGTTTGCCAGTATTTTATTGAGGATTTTCGCATCGATGTTCATCAGGTGTATTGGTCTAAAATTCTCTTTTTTTGTTATTTCTCTGCCAGGCTTTGGTATCAGGATGATGCTGGCTGCATAAAATGAGTTAGGGAGGATTCTGTCTTTTTTTATTGATTGGAATAGTTTCAGAAGGATTGGTATCAGCTCCTCTTCCTACCTTTGGTAGAATCTGGCTGTGAATCCATCTGGTCCTGGACTTTTTTTGGTTGGTAGGCTATTAATAATTGTCTCAATTTCAGAGCCTGGTTATTGGTGTATTCAGGGATTCAACTTCTTCCTGGTTTAGTCTTGGCGGGGGTATATGTGTCCAGGAATTTATCCATTTCTTCTAGATTTTCTAGTTTGCTGTAAACACCTCTACACAAATATTCTCTGATGGTAGTTTGTATTTCTGTGGGATCGGTGGTGATATCCCCTTTATCTTTTTTTATTGAGTCTATTTGATTCTTCTCTCTTTTCCTCTTTGTTAGTCTTGCTAGTGGTCTGTCAATTTTGTTGATCTTTTCAAAAACCATCTCCTGGATTCACTGATTTTTTGAAGGGTTTTTTTGTGTCTCTATTTCCTTTAGTTCTGCTCTGATCTTAGTTATTTCGTGCCTTCTGGTAGCTTTTGAATTTGTTTGCTCTTGCTTCTCTAGTTCATTTTATTGTGATGTTAGGGTGTTGATTTTAGATCTTTCCTGCTTTCTCTTGTGGGCATTTAGTGCTATAAATTTCCCTCTACATACTGCTTTAAATGTGTCCCAGGGATTTTTATGTTGTGTCTTTGTTCTTATTGGTTTCAAAGGACATCTTTATTTCTGCCTTCATTTCGTTATTTACCCAGTACTCATTCAGGAGCAGGTTGTTCAGTTTCCATGTAATTTTGCAGTTTTGAGTGAGTTTCTTAGTCCTTAGTTCTAATTTGATTGCACTGTGGTCTGAGAGACAATTTGTTGTGATTTCTGTTCTTTTACATTTGCTGAGGAGTGCTTTACTTTCAACTATGTGGTCAATTTTGGAATAAGTGTGATGTGGTGCTGAGAAGAATGCATCTTCTTTTGATTTGAGGTGGAGAGTTCTATAGATGTCTATTAGGTTGGCTTGGTGCAGAGCTGAGTTCAAGTCCTGCATATCATTATTACCCTTCTGTCTCGTTGATATAATATTGACAGCAGGGTGTTAATGTCTCCCATTATTATTGTGTGGGAATCTAAGCCTCTTTGTAGGTCTCCATGGACTTGCTTTTTGAATCTGGGTGCTCCTGTATTGGGTGCATATATATTTAGGATAGTTAGCTCTTCTTGTTGAATTGATTCCTTTACCATGATGTAATGCCCTTCTTTGTCTCTTTTGATCTTTGTTATTTTAAAGTCTGTTTTACCAGAGACTAGGATTACAACCCCTGCTTTTTTTTTTTTTTTTTTTTTTTTTTTTTTTTTTTTTGAGCCTGTGTGAGTCTCTGCACGTGAGATGGGTCTACTGAATACAGCACACTGATGGGTCTTGACTCTTTGGGGCATTTATTCCATTTACATTTAAGGTTAGTATTGTTATGTGTGAATTTGATCCTGTCATTATGATGTTAGCTGGTTATTTTGCCCATTAGTTGATGCCATTTCTTCCTAGCATCAGTGGTCTTTCCAATTTGGCATGTTTTTGCAGTGGCTGGTACCAGTTGTTCCTTTCCATGATTAGTGCTTCCTTCAGGAGCTCTTGTAAGGCAGGCTTGGTGGTGACAAAATCTCTCAACATTTGCTTGTCTGTAAAGGATTTTATTTCTCCTTCACTTATGAAGCTTAGTATGGCTGGATATGAAATTCTGGGTTGAAAATTCTTTTCGTTAAGAATGTTGAATATGGGCCCCCACTCTCTACTGGCTTGTAGAGTTTCTGCTGAGAGATCCACTGTTAGTCTGATGGGCTACCATTTGTGGGTAGCCTGACCTTTCTCTCTGGCTGCCTTTAACATTTTTTTCTTCTGTTCAACCTTGGTGAATCTGACAATTATGTATCTTGGGGTTGGTCTTCTCGAGGAGTATCTTTGTGGTGTTCTCTGTATTTCCTGAATTTGAATGTTGGCCTGCATTGCTAGGTTGGGGAAGTTCTCCTGGATAATATCGTGAAGAGTGTTTTCCAGCTTGGTTCCATTCTCCCCGTCACTTTCAGGTACACCAATCAAATGTAGATTTGGTCTTTTCACATACTTCCATATTGCTTGGAGGCTTTGTTCATTTCTTTTTACTCTTTTTTCTCTAAACTTCTCTTCTTGCTTTATTTCATTAATTTGATCTTCAATCACTGATACCCTTTCTTCCACTTGATCAAATCGGCTATTGAAGCTTGTGCATGCCTCATGTAGTTCTCATGCGATGGTTTTCAGCTCCATCAGGTCATTTAAGGTCTTCTCTACACTGTTTATTCTAGTTAGCCATTCTTCTAATCTTTTCTCAAGGTTTTTAGCTTGTTTGCGATGGGTTCGAACATCTTCCTTTACTTCAGAGAAGTTTGTTATTACTGACCTTCTGAAACATACTTCTGTAAACTCGTCAAAGTCATTCTCTGTCCAGCTTTGTTCTGTTGCTGGCGATGAGCTGCGATCCTTTGGAGGAGAAGAGGCGGTCTGGTTTTTAGAATTTTCTGCTTTTCTGCTCTGGTTTCTCCCTATCTTTGTGGTTTTATCTACCTTTGGTCTTTGATGTTGGTGACTTACACGTGGGGTTTTGGTGTGGATGTCCTTTTTGTTGATGTTGATGCTATTCCTTTCTGTTTGTTAGTTAGTTTTCCTTCTAACAGTCAGGTCCCTCAGCTGTAGGTCTGTTGGAGTTTGCTGGAGGTCCACTCCAGACGCTGTTTGCCTGGGTATCACCAGCAGAGGCTGCAGAACAGCAAATATTGCTGCCTGATCCTTCCTCTGGAAGCTTTATCTCAGAGGGGCACCTGGCTGTATTAGGTGTCAGTTGGCCCCTACTGGGAGATGTCTCCCAGTTAAGCTACATGGGACCCACTTGAGGAGGCAGTCTATCCATTCTCAGAGCTCAAACACCATGCTGGGAGAACCACTGCTCTCTTCAGAGCTGTCAGGGACATTTAAGTCTGTAGAAGTTTCTGCTGCCTTTTGTTCAGCTATGCCCTGCCCCCAGAGGTGGAGTCTACAGAGGCAGACAGGCCTTATTGAGATGAGGTGGGCTCCACCCAGTTTGAGCTTCCAGGCTGCTGTGTTTTCCTACTCAAGCCTCAGCAATGGCAGACGCCCCTTCCCCAGCCAGGCTGCTGCCTCGCAGCTGGATCTCAGACTGCTGCGCTAGCAGTGAGCAAGGCTCTGTTGGCATGGGATTTGCTGAGCCAGGCATGGGATATAATCTCCTGGTCTGCCGTTTGCTAAGACCATTGGAAAAGTGCATTATTTGGGTGGCAGTGTCCCGATTTTCCTGCCATAGTCTGTCACGGCTTCCTTTGGCTAGGAAAGGGACATCCCCCAACCCCTGTGCTTCCCGGGTAAGGCGATGCCCCACCCTGCTTTGGCTCGCCCTCTGTGGCCTGCACCCACTGTCCAACCAGTCCCAATGAGATGAACCCGGTACCTCAGTGGGAAATGCAGAAATCACTCATCTTCTCTGTCAATCATGCTGGGAACTGCAGACGGGAGCTGTTCCTATTTGGCCATCTTGAAAAATATGGAATGCTTCATGAATTTGCATGTCATCCTTGCACAGGGTCTTGCTGGTCTTCTCTGTATTGTTCCAGTTTTAGTATATGTGCTGCCGTAGTGAGCACCATAAAAATTTTATATTTGGTAAGGCAAATAAACTCACAGATATGATGAAAAGGCAAGTCATAGTCTCGAAATGTATTTATAATACATATAAGGAATTAATTTTCTTAATATTATTATGTATTAATTAATATGTATGGGATATATAACGAATTAATTTCCTTAATATTTAAGTGAATCTTATAGGTTAATGAGAAATGACAGCCCCAGTAGCAAGAATGAACTAATAATCATAAGGGATAATATTAATAATCATAAGGGATAATATTCATTGTCATTAGTGATTAAATAAATGCTAATTTAACAAAATCATATTAAGGCTTTGAGATTATAAAAGAAAAATATATTGTGTTAATAAAGGTATGGTGAAAAGATAATTTCATATACTGAAACAATAATGGTTGAATTTTATTTAATAAGTTCTATGTGTCAGATCCCATTTTACATTTTATGTATATTTTCACATTTAATCTTCAGAACAACAATAAAATTTGATATTTTACCTATTTTTCATATGTGGATACTAAGAAGAATTCAAGAACTTGCCCAGTGCCTTCAACCAGATGAGGGTGAGCTAAGATTTCGACCTACAGGCTACTAAGAGGCCATGGTCTTACTCATCACTTGAAAGCTACTTTCACTTATGGAAAAATATCAATTGATAATGCCTTTCTAAGAGATAATTTGGCAAAAAATCAATTTAATTACAAAAGTTGTTATACTTTTACCCACAAATTCTTCTTTTAGGAATATAATAATGTGAGAAAAATACAAAATTATATGTGCAGAAATATTGTTATAATATGGAGCATAGTGAGAAGATAATGCAAATATGAAAGAATTAGGAAATGGCAGTGTAAATTTAAAGAACAGCTATAGTGGAATATTATGTAGATATTAAAAATGATGTTGAAACATATTTAATGGTCAGAGATACACACTTTGAGTTCAAGAAGCATGGTACAAGCAGTTCCTGTATTCAAATTGCTGCCAAGTCCGATTACAAGCCCTTTTGATGGTAATGATCTTCTTATTACTAACATTCATAGAGCTCTTTATGAATGTTACTGAGCATTTATAAACAAAAATGTATTTTCATTGCCATGGACTTTATATTCTAGTGGAAGAGACTGACAATAAGAACAAAATGGAAAATATACAGCACACTATAAGGACTAAAGAGAAAAACATAAAGCATATGCAACATTGGTAAGGGCAACTAAAATTTACAGAGAATGACCAGGGGCTCACAAAAGAATCAACTCATAAAACAGAGATCATAAAAAAGTCAACTTTTTACCAAACACCATAGATCACCAGAGGAAATTGAATTACAGAGTCAGGGAATAATTTTTCAGAGTTCTGACACCGAGTTAGAACAAAAGGTAGAACACAGGCACTCTGATTTTCATATGTTACAAATGGAAACTTCAAAAGAATACCATCTAATCATTAATAGTAATTATTTATGGATGGTGGGACACATTGAATTTTTTGAAAAGTAACATGTATCTTATACATCAGCAAACATGGTATCTTTTTAGTGATGTTTGGCATGGTCATCACATTGGTGAAGAAATAGAAAAGTGGCTTATTAGACATTTTTTGGTGGGGGTCGGGGGATGGAGTTTTGCTCTGTCGCCCAGGCTGGAGTGCAGTGGTGCGATCTCGGCTCACCGCAAGCTCTGCTTCCTGGGTTCACGCCATTCTCCTGCCTCAGCCTCCCGAATAGCTGGCACTACAGGCACCTATCATCACACCTGGCTAATTTGTTTTGTATTTTTAGTAGAGACGGGGTCTCACCATGTTAGCCAGGATGGTCTTGATCTCCTGACCTCGTGATCTGCCCACCTCAGCCTCCCAAAGTGCTGGGATTACAGGTGTGAGCCACCGTACCCGGCCATTTATTAGACATTTTTTGAATGGATTTCAAGGCACACTAAATCTGACTCACATCTTTGGCTTCTGCTGTAGTTGCTGTACTCCAGCTCCATACTTTATTTTTTATAATAACTTTATATCCTATGTATGAAGTCTCCAGAGTGGCTTCTTCTGTGGACTGCCTGTACAATGACACCACTATGACTAAAGCCACTGGATTTCTCCTTTCTATACTCTGTACTTTTCATGTGCCATGTTGAATAAATGGCCGAATCTAATAGACTTTTACTTTCATCATTTTCTCACATATGCCCTCTGTTTTCCATTGTCATGACCATGGTATGTTTAGGCTTTAAATTTCTCTCTCTCTCTTTTCCTGAGATAGGCACCACACCAATCTCCCTATTCTCTCACAATTTATCCAGAAAGCCATCTTCAGACCTTCTGGTTAACAGCTAGATTATCACCAAACCCAATCAGATCATCCTCCTAATCTTGTTCATTCAATCTCACCCTAGTTCCTAGGGTTAGTGTAAATTCTACATCCTGACAGTCACTACTGGAAGTGGCTGACATTTTCCATCTTATCTTTTACTCTCCATTGTATATGTTTCATAGCCCAGCCATGAAAGAGATAACAATGCTTACCAAATAATCTCCTTTCTCCCACTTTATGCAGCTTCTTGCCATTGAGCTGGCCATATGGCTAGTTCTGGTTAATTGGCTGTTAGCAGAAAGAACATACGTCATTTCTGTGCCTGAGCCTAGAAGAACAGGTGTGAGTTCTCCATGCTTCTTTATTCTCTTCCTGAAGCAACAAGGAAAGTTGCACATTTAAATCCTGCAGCTACAAAGTGGTGGAATCTGAGACCTCATTGATCTAGTGTGTGAGCAAAAAATAAACATTTGATGTGTGTTGGTGTGTTGGTGTGTTGTGCTGCTGGGATTTTGAAGTGAATCTGTTACTACACATAACTTAGCCTCTTTAAACTAGTACATCAACCAAAGTGGATGAACTCACCAATTCCTGCACCACATTGTGCTTTCCCTTATTCTTAACTTTGCCTTTGTGCTTTCCCTTATTCTTACCTTTGCCTTCGTGTATCTCTCCATTGGGAATATCTTTCTCTGAATGATCAATTCCTCCATCCCTCCATTGCCTTATTCTAATTATTGGCATATTACTCACCCTTCCAGAACCATCTCTAATGTTAATCATGTCTAGATGCTTGCCAATCAGATGTAATTTAACTTTCTTCTAATCATGAGGAGGCTTGATAGTCACCTTTTTTATTGCTATTCACAAATTCTGTCTCATCCTATACTTATTGGTATACTTACTTTTCCTCTCTGTTAGAAAGCAGGCCCTTCAGAGGGCCTGAATTATACTTACATGTCACACCTGCACAGCCCTTTGTATCTAAGTTTTCTGGAAAATATTTACAAAACTGAGTTGAAGACTCAGAGTGTGCAATATAATTTTCAAAAATTCTATCATAGTAGCTAAAAGAAATTATGTTTTGATATTTAGAGAACATCTATATGATGATTTTTGCAGAGTTTTTACTTTCCTGTTTCTTTTCTATTTTCATGATGAAATGGTGAACTCTTTTTTCACTATTTTCTTCTCTGGGCCTAGCACATTGCTTGGCACAAAATCAAATACTAGATAACTTGTGGGTGAATAAAGAAAGATTCAGTACATAAAACATTACTATATTAAAAATTGAGTTAGCTAAGACTTAATTGCTTACAAGACCTCTATAGCTGGAAAAAGCATTTAATATATAAGAGTTTTTAGAGGTAACAGTGACTTCAGAATAAGAAAAATGAAAACTAAATTTAGAAGTAGGTGTTATATTTCATAAAATATTCTCATATATGTTATCTCAGTTGATTGTTGTTCTCATTGTCTGCAGTAAACAGATATTATCCCTACTTTACAGATGAAAAAACAATCACAGCAAAGTTAAGTGACTTGCATAAGGTCAAACAGCTGCTTAAAAACTTTCTCAGGTCTTAATTCCTGGTCCACAGCTCTGTATTCTACGTTATTACCTTTTTCTAAGTTCAAGACAAGGAACACCTTTAGGATCATCATTTTGCTTGTGTAATGTGTTATCTTGGCAGCAGCAGCTAGGTAAGTAGTGTAGCTGAAGAAGGCATACATGTACACACACACACACATACACACAAACATAATTATACAAGCGTCCTCCAGTCTGGGCCAAAATAGAATTAATCCTGTGTTCACTGCTGGTGAATGCTGAAATCTTCCATCTCAGTGTTGTGTTTAAGTCCATATACACACTCTGTAATTGAATGTCAGGAAATATGAAAATATATTGTTTTATTGCTACTGTTCATTGATTTATCGAAGTGATTTATTGACGATGGACATGCAGTACAACAAATCATTTTGCTGACACCATCAGCTGCCTTAACTAGGTTGTCAGCTCACGACATTAAAGGTAATGGATAGTGATTATTTTACAGTAATGGGTTTAATCAGCACTTTGAATGACTTAGCAGTCATGTCAGAGGAGAGCCAACTTATCATTTATCATGGCAGCATTTTGTTTACCAATATCATCTATAATTCATTTGATTGTTAACAATCATCAGCAAGTACCTCTCAGGCAAACTTATATCAGAGATGGAAATCTGCGCAGCTGCAGCATGCTAAGTTACCCCAAGGGGCTGCCTGAGCAGACACAGGTGGGGAGGCATGCTGTTACCCTGGCCCGAGAGAGGTGGTTTCCAGCAACTGGGCTTTTAATCTTCTCACAGTGGGTTGGATTCTTTATGTTTCCATCTCTTCAACCCCCTGATTCCATAGGATCTTCAGTAACCCAGAAAGGTTTCAGGTAAAAAATCTATGAAGGTAGGAAAATGAGAGGCACAAGATCTTGTGTTAAGCTTGAGTCAGCTTAACATAGCTAAATACATCATCTTGGCTCTGCTACTTGTCACAGTAGAAGCCTGAGCTGATCCACTACTGAAGTATCAGACATGTCTGGGGAGGTTTGATGACCCAATGGGACAGACATAGCAGGAGTCTATTTTCATAAAAGATTGTACAGCTTCCTACAGGAAAGCTCAACAAAATGCTAGGACATTCTTTTTGCCCTTTGAGCACCTGAAATTTATCTCTAGAGGGTAAAAAGCACATGCATACATCATTTTAAATATAATTTTAGTGATTTTGCAAGCTCTCTAAAGTCTAGCCCTAGGCAGTAAAATAAAGTAATTAGGAGCTTGGATTCTGGAGGAAAGCACACTTGAATAGAACATCTGCTTCGCCCATTGCCAGTTTTGAGACCTTGGGCAAGTGACTAAACACATTTCAGTTTCATTCATTCACAGCAATAATAATATTACCTTTGTCAAGGGTGCCTATGAATATTAAATGAATTAATGTTGGTGAAGTGCTTAATGTCATGCCTACACAGAATAAGTGCTCAAAGATTAGTTTTTATTATTGCTATTTTTTAACTTATGAATTCAGTCTTACAGCACCTGTCTTTACAGAAGAGAGAATCAGAAAGCCAAATTAAGGTGGAAACAAAGCCTTAGTTGTATGAATCCCTTATTGTGTTTTAGTCCTGTTTGTCTATTCATTTTCAGACACAATGCCAGCAAGAGACAGAGGGAGGAAAACAGGAGCCATAAATAAGAAGCTGAAAGAAAGAGCTGTTCTGCTAAATCTTGGTGGTGGGCTGCAATATAAGTTACACTATCTTGCTTTTCTCTATAACATAAGAAAGCACTACACGGCACATAGCTTTGGCATCTTAAAAGTCCCAGGGCATCAATGCGGGTAGAATGCCCAGGGGGAGATGACAATACCAATAGGAGGGGCAGCAATGCCTAACACAAGCAGCATGCTCAGCAGAAACAGCAGTGGGAACCACAAAAGCTATAGGACCTGGACGTGCCATGGACCCAGATGTATATAAAGCATGAATGAGTAATTCAAATAGCTGATTGAGAGAGGGAGAAGAGGAACAGAGGAACCATGCAGTGGCTAACAGGACCGTCTGACTTTAAGCATTAGTGGAATATCCCCTGAGGGCTTCCAGAAATTATTTTATTTGGGGGCAAGCATATGTCACCAGAGGCTGGAGACCTAAACTAAACTATCAGGGTAGGGATAAAAGCCAGAGAAGCACTGCTCTACAGTCATTAGCAACTTGTCTTTGGCAGAGCCATTTATCCTCTCTTGTCATCATTTTTTTTCTCCTCCGTAAACTGAGAGTATTAGTATTAGACAGGATGTGTAGACACCAGTGGGTAAGGGGTCGGTAGAAATACATCAGAATCCTCCTATAGTCTTTTTCAAAATACATATAGTTGTGGTCCTCAACAAATCTTATCAAATCCCTGGTCGGGGTTTGGTAGATGTTGGATGGGATGAAGTTGGGAGAGTTGCACTGGGGTGTGTGTTTGTGTGTGTGTGTACTGGGGTGATGGTATGTATATTTAAACTCCCTGTTATTCTCATTGATATTTCTACTTCTGATAACCGTAGATTAAACCATCTCTGATTTACTTTCAGTCCTGTGATTCTATACATTTTTGATATGTTAATTAAATTCTAATAGTTATATTTAGTTTCCTTTCATAGATCTTTTCTTAGTTCTTTGCCTGGTCCAACCATCCCTGGTCATGGAGTAAGCAAGCCCCTCTAAGTTAGGTACTATAGGAGAGACATTAGAAAAGGGGAGCACTCTCAAGTAGTTTAAGAAATGAGTACAAATATTATAATAATAACTTTCATTGATTGCAACGTGATAAACACTGTTCAAAGTGCTTTTAATGTATGAATTTATTTAATCTTCACAACATACTTATGAGGTAGGTTTGGTTATTATTCCTGCTTTATAGATGAAAAAAATTCAAGCACTAGGAAGTCAAACAATTTGCCCAATGTCAACCAGCTAGAGAGTGCTAAAGCCATTCTTTTAACTCAGGCATCTGATTCCGGGGACTGGGCTGTTAACCCTTTCTCTACAGGGCTTGAGAATGATTAACACATAAACAAACAGCTAGGGGAGAATGACTCACACAGTGCACTCCTCTCAGATGACAACTGGCACACAGGCGGGTAAGAAACCCTTTCTGAACCTCACTCATGTGGGTAACCGAAAGACTAATATTGTCCCTATTGGAATTGACAATTAAGATGTGCAGCCAACTTCTTTACTTGGCATGTTATGCAGTATATGCACAAATCATACTCTCTTTGGTGCTGAAGGGAGAAGGGAAGTGTGGAGACAGGCTGGCCTGGGAATCACAAAGGTGATATTCCAAACATTGGAGCCTGAAGCACTGAAGACAACTTTGCCTACTTCACAACGTAACTGGGGACAGGCTCTACTTTTGAACCTGACCAACTCCTTTTGGCCTGGATAAGCAGTCTTTTTTGTGAGATGGAGTCTTGCTCTGTCGCCCAGCCTGGAGTGTAGTGACACTATCTCCGCTCACTGCAAGCTCTGCCTCCCAGGTTCATGCCATTCTCCTGCCTCAGCCTCCCAAGTAGCTGGGACTACAGGTGCCCACCACCACACCCGGCTAATTTTTTGTATTTTTTAGTAGAGACAGGGTTCACTGTGTTAACCAGGATGGTCTCTATCTCCTGACCTCATGATCCGCCCGCCCTGACCCCCCAAAGTGCTGGGATTACAGGCATGAGCCACCACGCCCGGCCCAAGCAGTCTTTTATCTATACAAATCCCAGGGAAAGAGGATAATGTCCAGGAAAAGAGGGACTGTTGAGAATGGCCACCATGATGATGAGATTACAATCACATTCCTGTGGCATGATCAGGAATCAAACAGGCACTGACCCCTGAAGGAGTGGCATCTTATGAACCCTGGAATAGTGGCAGGGATTTTTAAAAAAAGAAAAGACTTAAATCCTGGTAGAAGAAAGTGATGATGCAGCTTGCCTAATAGCATGCACTTTATTAGCTAAACATTTCTTTCCACCTATTTCATCATCTGCAAAAAGCTAGGAAATATTCAGATTTAAACAACTGGTGTGAAAAAGAGAAACCAATAAAGGAAACTTTTATTGCTTTTGAAATAACCCCATTTACTTATACCTCCATAATGCAACAGTAGTTGTCTGTCTCCGCTCTGGCTCCAGGAAATATTAACTTGAAAGTCTTCTCTCTGCCAAAACCATCTTTTCTCATCTCCGGGTGATAAGCAGGATACTCAGGAAGGAGGTAGAGGAGAATAAGGGGTCTTCAAAATGAATTTGTACACAACAAGCAAAAGCTGCTAGTGCAGAGATATTTCCTCATTTACTAAAACTTCTTCCTGCCACATGCCCCTCACAGGACTCCAAAATGAGGATATGCCTGCTCAAATACCAGTACATTCCACTTGGAAGGAGAGTCCCTTGCCAAAAGTGATGTCACAGCTCAGAAGAAATGAGAAGTGCTCATAATCAGGAAGTATATACCACTTTCTCTCCTGCTGCAAGGGAAAGGATGGAAGCTGGGTGTATTAGTCCCTACTCATGATGCTAATAAAGACATACCCAAGACTGGGTAATTTATAAAGGAAAGAGGTTTATTGGTCTCACAGCTGGGGGTGCCTCACAATCATGGTGGAAGATGAAGGAAGAGCAAAAGCACTTCTTACATGGCAGCAGACAAGACAGCATGTGTACGGAAACTGCCCTTTATAAAACCATCAGGTCTCATGATACTTATACACTATCAGAAAACACCACGGGAAAAACCCACCCCCATGATTCAGTTACCTCCCACTGGATCCCTCCCATGACACATGTGGATTATGGGAGCTACAATTCAAGATGATATTTGGGTGGGGACACAGCCAAATCATATCACTGGGATTGCTCTTTTTCTCTGAAAATCCAAATGCTTGATTTATTAAAATTTGAAGAAATTTAAATAATCAAAGTTTTCTGCTCAAGTGCTAAACATGAAGCTCAGAGCTTTTGAGAGATTTCAAATATTCAATTAATCACTGTTTTATTGAGGGCCTGCACATACATAAGATAAGCCACAACATAACCAAATGATCAAACAGACTGTACAAAGAGGAGATATTAGTGTTGGCTAAACAAGCCTTTAGAACAAAGTGGGCCTTGAGGAAATGATTGACCACAAAAGGGGTGAGGACAATCAAGAAGACAAAAACTGCATCAGCAAAACTTTGAAGATGGAATATTATTGAAAAATGAGGTCATCCCCATGAGGATAACTTGATTTGGCTACAAGTGTGTGTATATAAATTACTGCCTAAAAGTATGTTAATATTACTGTAATTTTTGATGAATATCACATGAGTCATATCTAATTTTCAGTCCTTCAAAATTAACTGGATGGGTGCAATTTAGCAAAGTTGTGACAAAATAGTAATGGCAGTGTTGCAAATTTCCTTTCTAATGAATGAGGGCGTGACCAATGTCTCCATATGGTACTTTTGCTATCAAACGTGCATTGTTTAGACATTTTAACAATTGGACCATTCTACATTTTGGACAGGATATGTTAACAGACAACTTTTTCTGAACTAACTTTAAATGTTTAATAGAAACAATGCATCCTATATATGCTCATTGTAGATTTTTAAATTCAGATTTTAAAAATGAAGAAAAAAGGTTAGACGAATTGCTAACTAGAACAACCAGTGCAGAGAAGAACATAAATGACCTGATGGAGTTGAAAAACAGAGCATGAGAACTTCATGAAGCATACACAAGCTTCAATAGCCAAATCAATCATGCAGAAGAAAGGATATCAGTGATTGAAGATCAACTCAATGAAATAAAGTGAGAAGACAAGGTGAGAGAAAAAAGAGTGAAAAGAAATGAACAAAGCCTCCAAGAAATATGGGACTATGTGAAAAGACCAAATCTACATTTGACTGGTGTACCTGAAAGTGATGGGGAGAATGGAACCAAGTTGGAAAACACTCTTCAGGGTATTATCCAGGAGAACTTCCTCAACCAAGCAAGGCAAGCCAACATTCACATTCAGGAAATACAGAGAACACCACAAAGATATTCCTCAAGAAGAGCAACCTGAACATGCATAATCATCAGATTCACCAAGGCTGAAATGAAGGAAAAAATGTTAAGGGCAGCCAGAGAGAAAGGTCGATTGCCCACAAAGGGAAGCCCACCAGACTAAGAGTGGATCTCTCAGCAGAAACTCTAGAAGCAAGTAGAGAGTGGGAGCCCATATTCAACATTCTTAAAGAAAAGAATTTTCAACCTAGAATTTCACATCCAGCCATACTTAGCTTCATAAGTGAAGGAGAAATAAAATCCCTTACAGACAAGCAAATGCTGAGAGATTTTGTCACCACCGGGCCTGCTTTACAAGAGCTCCTGAAGGAAGCACTAAACATGGAAAGGAAAAACTGGTACCAGCCATCACAAAAACATGCCAAATTGTAAAGACTATTGATGCTATGAAGAAACTGCATAAACTAATGGGCAAAATAACCAGCTAGCATCATAATGATGGCATCAAATTAACACATAATAATATTAACCTTAAATGTAAATGGGCTAAATACCCCAATTAAAAGACAGAGACTGGCAAATAGCATGAAGAGTCAAGACCTAGCAGTGTGCTGTATTCAGAAGACCCATCTCACATGCAAAGAAACACATAGGCTCAAAATAAAGGGATGGAGGAAGACTTACCAAGCAAAAGGAAGGAAAAAAAAAAAAAAAAAAAGCAGGGGTTGCAATCCTAATCTCTGAAAAAACAGACTTTAAACCAACAAATATCAAAAGAGACAAAGAAGGCAATTACATAATGGTAAAGGGATCACTGCAATGAGAAGAGTTAACTATCCTAAATATATATGAACCCAATACAGGAGCACCCAGTTAGAGACCTACAAAGAGACTTAGACTCCCACACAATAATAGTGGGAGACTTTAACACCACACTGTCAATATTAGATCAAAGAGACAGAAAATAACAAGGATATCCAGGACTTGAACTCAGCTCTGGACCAAGCAGACCTAATAGAAGTCTACAGAACTCTCCACCCCAAATCAATAGAATATACATTTTTCTCAGCACCACATCACACTTATTACTAAAATTGACCAAATAATTGGAAGTAAAACACTCCTCAGCAACTGTAAAAGAACAGAAATCACAAAAAACTGTCTCTTAGACCACAGTGCAATCAAATTAGAACTCAGGATTAAGAAACTCACTCAAGACCGTACAGCTACACGGAAACTGAACAACCTGCTCCTGAATGACTACTGGGTAAATAACGAGAGGAAGGCAGAAATAAAGATGTTCTTTGAAACCACTGAGAACAAAGACACAACGTTCTTTGTGTCTGGGACACAAAGAATCTCTGGGCCACACTTAAAGCAGTGCATAAAGGGAAATTTATAGCACCAAATGCCCACAAGAGAAAGCAGGAAAGATCTAAAATCGACACCCTAATGTCACATTTAGAAGAAATAGAGAAACAAGAGCAAACAAATTCAAAAGCTAGCAGAAGATACGAAATAACTAAGATCACAGCAGAACTGAAGGAGATAGAGACACAAAAATCCCTTCAAAACATCAATGAGTCCAGGAGCTGGTTTTTTGAAAGATCAACAAAATAGACTGCTAGCAAGACTAATAAATGAGAAAAGAGAGAAAAGTCAAATAGACGCAATAAAAAATGGTAAAGGAGATACCACCACCCATCCCACAGAAATACAAACTACCATCAGAGAATACTGTAAACACCTCTACACAAATCAACTAGAAAATCTAGAAGAAATGGATAAATTCCTGGACACATACACCCTCCCAAGACTAAACCAGGAAGAAGTGGAATCTCTGAATAGACCAATAGCAGGTTCTGAAATCAAGGCAATAATTAATAGCCTACTGACTAAAAAAAGTTCAGGACCAGACAGATTCACAGCAGAATTCTACCAGAGGTACAAAGAGGAGCTGGTACCATTCCTTCTGAAACTATTCCAAACAATAGAAAAAGAGGAATCCTCCCTAACTCATTTTATGAGGCCAGCATCATCCTGATACCAAAACCTGGCAGAGACACACAAAAAAGAAAATTTTAGGCCAATATTCCTGATGAACATTGATGAGAAAATCCTCAGTAAAATAATGGCAAAACAAATCCAGCAGCACATCAAAAACCTTATCCACCATGATCAAGCGGGCTTCATCCCTGGGATGCAAGGCTGGTTCAACATATGCAAATCAATAAACATAATCCATCACATAAACAGAACCAATGAAAAAAGCCACACAATTATCTCAATAAATACAGAAAAGGCCTTCGACAAAATTCAACCACAGCCCTTCATGCTAAAACCTCTCAATAAACTAGGTATTGATGGAACATATCTCAAAATAGTAAGAGCTATTTATGACAAACACACAGCCAATATCATACTGAGTGGGCAAAAACTGGAAACATTCCCTTTGAAAACTGGCACAAGACAAGGATGGCCTCTCTCACCACTCCTATTCAACATAGTGTTGGAAGTTCTGTCCAGGCCAATCAGGCAAGAGAAAGAAAGAAAGGTATTCAATTAGGAAAAGAGGAAGTCAAATTGTCTCTGTTTGCAGATGGCATGATTGTATATTTAGAAAACCCCATTGTCTCAGCCCAATATCTCCTTAAGCTGATAAGCAACTTCAGCAAAGTCTCAGGATACAAAATCAGTGTGCAAAAATCACAAGCATTTATACACACCAATAACAGACAAACAAAGAGCCAAATCATGAGTGAACTCCCATTCACAATTGCTACAAAGATAATAAAATACCTAGGAATCCAACTTATAAGGGATGTGAAGGACCTCTTCAAGGAGAACTACAAACCACTGCTCAATGAAATAAAAGAGGACACAAGCAAATGGAAAAATATTCCATGCTCATGGATAGGAAGAATCAATATCTGGATAATGGCCATACTGCCCAAAGTAATTTATAGATTCAGTGCTTTCCCCATCAATCTACCACTGACTTTCTTGACAGAATTGGAAAACCCTACTTTAAAGTTCATATGGAACCAAAAAAGAGCCCGCATTGCCAAGACAATCCTAAGCAAAAAAGAACAAAGCTGGAGGAATCATGCTAGCTGACTGAATTCAAACTATACTACAAGGCTACAGTAACCAAACAGCATGGTACCGGTACCAAAACAGATATATAGACTGATGGAACAGAACAGAGGCCTCAGAAATAACACCACAGATCTACAACCATCTGATCTTTGACAAACCTGACAAAATAAAAAATGGGGAAAGGATTCCCTATTTAATAAATGGTGCTGGCAAAACTGGCTAGCCATATGTAGAAAGCTGAAACTGGATCCCTTCTTTACACCTTATCCAAAAATTGACTTCAGATGGATTAAAGACTTAAATATAAGACTAAAACCATAAAAACCCTAGAAGAAAACCTAGGCAATACCATTCAGGACATAGGCATGGGCAAAGACTTCATGACGGAAACACCAAACAATGGCAACAAAAGCCAAAATAGACATGGGATCTAATTAAACTAAAGAGCTTCTGCACAGCAAAAGAAACTATCAGCAGAGTGAACAGGCAACCTACAGATTGGGAAAAAAGTTTTGCAATCTATCCATCTGACAAAGGGCTAATATCCGTAATCTACAAGGAACTTAAACAAAATTAGAAGGAAAAAACAACCCCATAAAAAAATGGGTGAAGGATATGAACAGACACTTCTCAAAAGAAGACATTTATGCAGCCAATGAACTTACGAAAAAATGCTCATCATCACTGTTCATTAGAGGAATGCAAATCAAAACCACAGTGAGATACTATCTCATGCCAGTTAGAATGGTGATCATTAAAAATCAGGAAACAACCGATGCTGGAGAGCATGTGGAGAAATAGGAATTCTTTTACACAGTTGGTGGGAGTGTAAAGTAGTTCAACTATTGTGGAAGACAGTGTGGCGATTCCTCAAGGATCTTGAACTAGAAATACCATTTGACCCAGCAATCCCATTACTGGGTATAAACCCAAAGGATTATAAATCATTCTACTATAAAGACACATGCACATGTATGTTTATTGCAGCACTGTGCACAATAGCAAAGACTTGGAATCAACCCAAATGCCCATCAGTGATAGATTGGATAAAGAAAACGTGGCATATATACACCATGGAATACTATGCAGCCATAAAAAGGATGAGTTCATGTCTTTTGCAGGGACGTGGATGAAGCTGGAAACCATCATTCTCAGCAGAGTAACACAAGAAGAGAAAACCAAACACTGCATGTTCTCACTCATAAGTGGGAGTTGAACAATGAGAACACATGGACACAGGGAGGGGAACATCACACACTGGGGCCTGTTGGCAGGTGGGGGCCTGGGGGAGGGATAACATTCGGAGAAATACCGAATGTAAATGACGAGTTTATGGGTGCAGCAAAGCAACATGACACATGTATACCTACATAACAAACCTGCACACTGGGGTATGCACATGTACCCCAAAACTTAAAGTATAATAAAAAGAAATAAAACATTTGTAACCTCTTTCCCCTCTCAAAGATAATATTTTTGTGTATTTCTTTCAGACTGTATGCGTGAGAATGTATGTGTGTTATGATATGAATATAAAGGGCATGCAATTTGTGGTAGATTATACGTTTCCCAATGTGTCAAACTTCCATGTATGCTAAGTCCTGGCAGAGTGTCCCTTCCCACACTAACTCTGGGGTGAGCCGTGTGACTTACTTAAATCAGTGGGACACCAGCAAACAGAAGACTTGGTCAGCTCCAGATCTAGCTTTCTTGAGAATAAAAGACCACATTTATAGAAAAGTCCAGTCATCCCACTTGTCCCAGATGAGCCAGGCCTTGAGTAACCCTGTTGCTGCATTGCATAGCACAGCTGTGTGAGTCATCCCATGAGAATCCCACAGAATGACTGCTTAGCCAACCAAAAAATTATGAGATATAATATATTGTTATTTTAAGTCACCAAATGTTAGTGTATAACTGATGCAGTGTTTTAAACCTGATTTTTCATTTAGTGTACTGTGAACATTTGTTTTTGCTCTTAAGTAGAATTCAGGAACCTAATTTTTAAAATGATTTTATCACATTCCATTACAACATGTACCATAACCTGTTTAACTAATGTCTCATTGTTTGACATGCTTACAATTAATTTTTAATACCCAATTGGTGACTCTCTAATGCCACTTCCACTATGTAAACTTATTTTAAAACAAGTTTATATGTAATTACCTTCTAAGCTCTTTGAGAATAGTAGCTGTGAATAAATAAGCCTTTCTCCGTCTTAAGCTCTTCTACTGTTCATGGCAAATAGTCAGTGCTCAAAATATTTATTGAATGAAAAAATGAATAAATAGCTTATAAATGTTAGAGAAATAGCATTTAATAATAGCCTACACATTTTAATACAATGTTATATTCAGGCAAAACATTATAGAGAAAGCTTGCTATTGGTAGACTCTTTTCCCTCACCTCATACTTTCATGCTGTCCAAAAACACTAAGAAATGAGCATTTTTATGAAATCAGCGTTGCTGCATTAAAACCTATTATTCCCCTGTCCCATTCTTTCAATGTCTTGTTTAGAGTGGAGGTGACAACCAGGTAAACTGATGAAAAAATTTGTACTAAATTGATACTCTACTCTGTTTACCATCCTGAAAAATGTGTATGTTCATGAAGAAATAGTTTGTGTTTCCTCAAATCATACTACATTTACCCATATTCTGACATTTATGACAAGAAAATACTTCGAGGCATCTACTGTTTTAGAGTTTTTGTTTCTTTAGTTCACTTTGTAAATAAGGATAATTCAGAGATGACCACATTGTGTTTTTCAATAAATTATCATCTATCATTAAAGTTAATCCAATATCCAATTTAGGTTTGAATTGAAATGTTTTAAATCGGTAAAAGAATCAAGATAACAATTTCTTTTCCTATTAACCTTTAGGGCAGTTTCTTTTATATTTTGTTTCCTTTGGATAAGGGGAAGTACACTGTAATCTTTATTTTAAATTAGGTTTTATAGCATATTTAATCCCCAGGTTAAAGCATATTATTCACATTTAAAAGAGAAAATGAACAAACTTAAAGATGTCAGCTTCAGACTGAAACCACAGTGGAAATAAGCTATTTGGATAACGTTGTCTAGGAGGTACCAAAACTTCAAAAGATATCCTTATAGTTTGAAACTCTGACCCAGAAAACCCTTTTTCTTCACTGCTTTTCATGGTGAACCATTTTGAATATCTACTCATTTTACTTTACTTTTCCCACACTGTCATTCTTTCCCTTTGAGAGGCAGGCCCAGGAGTGGGAAGAAAGGCTCAAATGGAAAGAGGACCAAAACTATTTGAGCACAGTTTGTTGCCACCTGAAATAGAATCTATTACCAAATTTTACGCTAACAAAACTGAGGCGTAGGTGATTACAGAAGCAATCAGTTACACAGTCGACACTCAGATCTCTCTAGATCCAAAGCACATTATTTCTTAAACTGAGCAGTCAGAAGGCCCAGATTGTAGTTATGGTTCTTGCAATCCTTGTGACATCTTGAGAAGATACATGGGCTTCAGCTTCCTTATCAGCAATATACAGATAAAGCACCTTTCTTTTCTGTTCATGAGGATAACATCACCTTTCCTACCTATTTCATGGGGCTAGTATAATATGGTTGAGAATATGTTTTAAAAACGGAAACATCAAATAGGAATACATTGCCTTAAGTTCCAGGTTCTGAATGAATTTAAGTAATAGATTGACTGGGCCCACATAGGGTATCTTGGTCATTCCCATGAGAGGGAAAGAGTAGGGCTCTTCACAGTGTCCCTTTGAACTGAGCCTCTTGTTCTTCCTTTCATGGTGACTCATTGATTTTCTTTTCTTCTTTCCTCACAGCAGTCTTTGGGATTGAAAACAAAAAATAAAAAACCAAAACCCCTCTAATAAGGCAGAGATCTACTCACTGAGAACGGTTTATGAAGAGAGAAGAAGGGGCAACCATATAGGGCTAGTGCTGTAGGAACACATGTTTTGAATCTGGTGAGAGAAGAACTAAGTTGAATTGGATGATTTCTAAACTTGGAGAGAAATTTCTTTTAGTCAGTAATAGCCATTATTGACTTCTGTTTGTAGGTCTGGTGAGTCAACACCCCTTCTACTCTTCTCTACACCCTTAGGTATCATTCATTTTCTTTCACAACTTTTATATCTCTGCAATGGTTTACCTCCTATGTTCTCATTCTCTAGGGGTGCATTCTAAAAAATCAACTTTGGTGCCAAGAATTGGACAGTAAATGATGGGGAACACTTTGGCCATTGCTTTGCATTATGGTGGGTCCATTTATTTTTTAGTGGCCCTTTAAACTTCCCCTGCAAAATGGGGATATGGCATTTGCTCAGGTCTCTTAATCTTGAATATTAAAAAGGTCTTTAAAAAACTCTAGGGTTTCTTTCATTGACACTGCTTGCTTATAGAACCTTTTTTGATGGCAAATACTAGTTCAGTGTTCCAGCACTTCGAACTTTTTTCTCCTCCAGAGGCAATATTCACTTAGACAAATAACATGTTTCTACCCGGTTGAACCGTATGCTATTGCTGTGCTTATAGGGCAAAAATGGTTAAACGCCAGAAATTTCATATAGTTCAGCCTAGCATCTCAAATTTTTATTTTTCTTCATACATGTCTTCCTCCCTCCTTTTATTCCCCTTTCCCCTTCCCCTTCCTCTTCCCCTCCCTCCCTCCCTTCTCTTTTCCCTTCTCTCTCTCTTTCTTTCTGTCTCTCTCTTTCCGCTCTTTCTCTCTCTCTCACCCAGGCTGCAATGCAGTGGCGTGGACACAACTCACTGCAGTCTTGAACTCCTAGGCTCAAGTGATCCTCTCACCTCAGCTTCCCAAAGTGTTATTACAGGTGTGAGCCACCAAATTGAGCCCATATTTACCTTTTAATATATAAACAAAATGATACGCATTCTGCTTCCCCAAAGAAAAATAATAGCATTATGTTTTCCTGTTAATAGATATTATAGAGTAATAAAGTTTTCATTTCTTTTCTGCAACCTAAAATGCTGACTCACCAGATGATACAGCTTAGGAGCTTGATACAGATGATACAGACATGAGTAAATACTGTATCCCCATTTTGCAAGTGAACATTTTTGTGGCATTTCAGTGCTTGGGGAAAGAGAAAGTAATGCAGACCATTCCTTGGAAGAGAGAAGGATGGGAAAGGAGGAGGTTGTGACCTGGGCCAGACAGGAAAGAGAGAAGGGATACCAAGAGGATTCCAGAGCCTTTTCTCTAGGGAATCACTTCCTGTAGAAATGGAGTTCTGACTGTTGAGAAGATACCCACTGACAGTAGGGAAGCCCAAGCTCTGAAAATTACAGGGTCTCTCTCCCCAGATCCCATTTTACCACTTACTCCAAGTATTACTTATAGTCTCATGATGAAAACAAAGTTTAGTGATTTAACTGTGATTTGTAATCTTCAGATTTAAAGTTTACATATTATATGCTTTTTTTATTAATTATATTTTTTCTACAATTTTGTTCTCAAAACTGATGTTAGAGTATAATATTAGAATGCCCAGTGGGGTACATATTTCTAGATATGTCTGTGAAACAATGCCTAGGATAGTGGAGTGCCTCTGAAACTGTGGTAGGGGTCCTGAATGGCAGCTGTAACCGCTGTAAAGGCAGCAGTGGTTACCCACGGTCATTTCACGAAAGGTGAATTTACTGTGCATTACAAAGCAAAGATCTTGGGGGAAAATATGAGGAAATAAATGGAAAATATGGGTGATCTATTTTTTTTGTTTTATTTTTCTCCCAGTTGATTATGCGTTGAATACTGTTGGAGTGTTTTTTGCTCATAGGCATTCGCTGTATAGCATTAATGACTGCAAAAGTGATATCAAACACATATTGAGCACTTTTTATAAGACAGATTCTCTAGGCCAAGATTAACTTGTATATCTCAGTTCATTCTTACAAAATTCTTGCATGAGAGATATCATTAGTACCCCCATTTTGCAGAAGAAAAAAAAAATCTAAATTTAGAGAGGTTAATTACATGCATTTCAGAAGGGCAGAACCAAGACTCATATCATGATCGATCTGACACCAAAGGTAGAATCTTCAAAATGACCCTCTGTGACCTGTCAGTCATACCACTCTGAAGAGCTTATAAAAGGCCAGAAGGAAAAATCTGGCTGGACAGTTCAATGAGTTAAGAAAGAAGGATGAGAGTTAATGCAGGTAGAGAGGCAAGACTGGTGAAACAGCCAAGTACTCTTACAGTCTACGTATAGAAAAAAATCTCCACATCCCTACAGCCACTGTATCAGATAGTCTTCTTCATTTATTCCAGATTAACTGCCTGTTACTCTCCAGGTGATTCTCTATTCTTCCCTTTAGAAATCTAAACCATTTCTGAGTGAAATAAAACAGAGATCAACACAAACCTCCATACTCTTTCTCTTAAAGTTGGAAACACTGGCATGGCATTAAAACTTAAATATTTCACTGGCCTTTACTGGCCTAACATTTCTTCTCCCACATTGATTTTGCTCACCTTGGAAATGGAATTTGGAAGTAGATTAATAATGTTAGAACTTATGTTACTATGGTGACCCAGGATAGAGGGTATGAGATTTCTTCCCTTCAGATCTTGATATTGAGAAGTCTGCCTATTTGTCCCTGTCTTTTACAAAAGCTCATGGTGTGATAGAAGGGATAACATGTGGGAAGAAGCATTATTACAGAGAAAAGCAGATTTAGAACTGGCCTCTCCCTGCTTCTGAAAGGTCCAAGAGCAGATAACTCTGTAATTCCTGTTCAAAGACTAATAAAGTCTTGGATGGTTTGAAGTCTGACAACTGTACCGAGTGATTTATTTATGGATTTCTGAAGTATATCCACAGGTCTCATCTCTTTTCTGTCCATATTCATCCCTAGGTAATCTCAGTCTCAGTTTTAAAATACATCACATTACGATGCCTCCTAAATTTTTATCTCCATCCAGAAATCTCCCCTGAACTTCAGACTTTTAACCCAAATGCTCTTTGACTAGTGTTGTCAGGTGAAATATAAGATGCTCAGTTAAATTTGAATTTCAGATGAACATTATTTTTAATGCATGTCACAAACATTGTATTTACTTATGCTAAAAGATTATTCATTGTTTATCTGACATTCAGATTTAACTGGGCATCCTTTATTTCATTTGATAAATCTAGTAACGCTACTCTTTAACCAAAGACCTCTATTTGGGTAACTAACAAATGCTCATAGCTTAGGATGTTCAAACTCCCACATATCCTCAACTAAACATCCTTCTCTCACAGTCTTTCTCAAATCTGTGAATGACAACTACATTCTTCTGATTACTCAGACCAGAGCTCTTGACTCTTCTCCTTTTTGGGGCACTATATTGAATCTAAATATAAATGGTTTGATTCTACCTTTATTGTCTGTCTAAAATCCAATCACTTTTACCACATTCATTGCTACTACCTTGAACAAAGTCATTGCCATCATTTGCTGGACTATTAAAAGCACTTCCTTCCTTTTGTCCCTGTAGTCCTTTTTCCACACTGAAGTCAGACTGATTCTTTTAAACCAGAGCACGTCAGAGAGCTCTAATTGCGAGTAAAGGCCAAAGTCATCAAAATTGTCTACAAGGCTCTCTGTGCCCAGCTCCTCGGCCACTGCCATTGCTTTGCCTCTCCTTCCTCATCCCCAAACATTCTTCTATTCACTTGCTCTGTGCCCTGTGTGGTGGGTGGCGGGGAGGTGCTGCTCACTGTTCCTCAAACACACCAAGTCTTTGCACGGCACTCTTGTTTGTCTGGAAGTTTCCTTTCTCCTTATATGCACAGCTTGCTCCCTCACAATGCCCTTTAGGTTTTCAAATATCTTATTAAAGATGCTCTCCTTTCTCCTTCACCCCTCAACATTCACGATTCCAGTTATATTGTTGTACTTTTTCCATATATGTTCACTACCTGACATATATGCATATATATATTTTTTTATTTTCAAGCCTGTGAATATAACCTCAATGAGGGTATGAACTTTTTTTGTAGTCCCAGAACTCAGGATAGTAACATGGCTCGAAGTTGGTATTCCAGGAAAATTTGTTGATTAAATGAATGAAATCAACAATTGCTTTGCAGTAGTCAGATGCAGAAAAATCCCACGCAAAGATTAAATGGGCATATTAATGTGCATATAAATTGGAATATGCACATTTGTGTACTTGGACATATAGGAATAAACATCTTTGTGCATATGTGTGGGTCTCACATAATCCCAGTTTGCTTACGGAGAAGAATACCATAAAACATACCTTTCCTTCTCTGTTCTTAAATCTGGTGTTATTACCAGAAATCCATCTGTGCCTCTGTCTAAAGCTTTATGTGTCTATAATTGGATTGTTTTTCTTTTTGCTTACTTTTTTTGGAGGAGACTTTAGTGAGTTTTTTTCCTTAGTATTTTAGGTAATGCCTCCCTGAGTCATATATTAACAGTGATAACTGTTTATCTGGCTGTCCCTCTTTCTCCTGGCATCTGTATGATTTCTTTTAATCACATTCCCATTATCCTCTAATTGTGTAAAATTGTTATATTAAATATAATTTCTACTGGTAGCCACAGGGTGGCATTCATGTTCTTTGCTATCATTTTAATGACTGATAGATTACAAGGTCACTTTGAGTAGATAAATAGCCTATAGATTCTTTCCAGTGAGGTTCACATTCTGATTTTTCATATTAACACTTGTAAATTGCAGAACTTATTATGCTTTCCCACCCATCCCTCATTTTGCTTCCAGCACCTTCAGTCCCTTCCTACAGGAATCCAAGATGACTCTGTCAGGTGGCCTTGTTTTAATATTCGCCTCGGTCAGAGAGAATCTAATGAAAGCCAGAAGCTGACACTGCCTCGGTATTCATTTCAACTCAGCCATCATGGGAAGATTTGCCAGCAGCCTTTAGCACAGGGCTCTGACTGAACACTTGCTGGTAAACACTAAACTGAATAGCAAGTAGGATCACTTACCCCAACAGGTTTGTGCCAGTCTAGGTGTAATCTCCAGACAAGTACTTAAGGCACTAAAGCCATCTACTGAATATTTAAACATGACTTTGATTATCAGGAGAAAACACACACACACACACACACACACATACACACACACACTGAAATGTTTACCTGGGAAGTTCAGCTCTGAAGAAGCATTTGGATGGTATTTTAGATATGCAGAGCTTATTGCTTTTACTCTGGAGCTGGGTATTTCATTCATTCATTCATTCATTCTTTTAGGTAACCTAATTATCATTCATTTAACTTATGGTGAGTTCATACATCATTACATATTTTATCACATTAATTTATCAAATATTATTTTTCCCATTTTAGAGATGAGGAAAGTGAGTTAACAGTTAACAAGGTTAACAATTAATTGAAAGCAACACTGAGAGTAAACTACAGAGGTGAAATAAACATAAAGGACTTTTGACTAATTATTTTTTCTCTTTTCACATCCCCACAGTTGTTATGGGAGTGATATAAACACGTCTTCCCTCCAGGTACCCCATACCTTGAAATATTACCATTTTTTCACTATCTCACGTGGACTTCTTTTAATAGGGTCTCTCCTGGCTTTCCTCATTCCAGCTTCTTCTCCATTCTCTTTCTGGAACCACCTTACTAAAACTCTGCTGTGATTTTTTTTTTTCTGACTCAGAAAAGTAGAATATCATGCAAAACTCAGCTGTGTTTTTTACTCCTCATTGACCCTTTAAAATTAATTTGCTGAAAATTTCTTTCTCCTCCTTTCAATAAACATCTTAGCAATCCCCTGTGAATTTTCTGGGTACTTATAGGTAATAGAAAGTCCTATGCTTTCCTTAAGTCACAAATATAAACTCAATACAGAAACCAGGATGTCTATCCCAGTATCTTAAGGAAGACTTTAATGGAAATGCTTCTCCCCTTTCACCTGCAGCTAAGCTTCCTGCCTTCAAGGAGCAGAGTGCAATCAGATTCACCTTTTTCTTTTCTTTTTCTTGAGATAGTTTCACTCTTGTTGCACAAGCTACAGTGCAATGGCGTGATCTCCACTCACTGCAACCTCCGCCTCCTGGATTCAAGTGGTTCTCCCCCCTCAGCCTCCTGAGTAGCTGGAATTACAGGAGTGTGCCAACACGTCCAGCTAATTTTTTTTTTTTTTGTATTTTTAGTAGAAACAGGGTTTCACCATGTTAGCCAGGCTGGTCTCGAACTCCTGACCTCAGGTGATCCACCCGCCTTGGCCTCCCAAAGTTGTGGGATTTACAGGCGTGAGCCACCGTGCCCAGCCTCAGATTCACCTTTCTTACTTGCTCGCCTTTTCTCCTACTTCCTAGATGTTGTTACTGACTTTTCCAGGGTAGTGGATGAAAGAAGAGAAGTAGTGGAACTAGAAGTTCTTACTTGACTGGTATAAGAAGATAGCTTTGCTTTCCTAAGCCTAAAAGATGCATAAAGCCAACTCTCTAATGGCATTTGTGGGTTCTCTAGATGCTCCTTGGCTCGACCCTCTTCTTTAACTTGCTTCTTGAAATGCCCTCGGTTTCTGCTTTTTTTTTTTTTCTGTTTTTTTGTTTGTTTTTTTCAGCAGTCCACTCTAGAACCTCTGTTGAAATGCCATTGCCCCAGAAGCAAATCTTTTGACCCAGAATCATTTAAAACATGATCACAGGCTCAAATTTTTACCATAGTTCCGTATCTGGCCCCCAGGATTCATGCATCTTTGACCATCATTGGGGGAATAGTAGTTACTCCCTCAAGCATTTCACTCTTCTCCCATGAGATGCTTTAGCTGGCCTCTCATCTTTGGAGTCTTTCAGACTAAGCATCCTTCCTCTGTATTTTCTAGCTGCAGAGAATGTTTCTCAATTTCTGACTAGTCTTATAGATCGCTTCTCTAGTTGTGAAATTAAGCCTTTCTCCTCAAAAATCCATTGCTCTGTTGCATTTTGTGCAACATGTTTTTGTCTTCCTTGTGGACCAGTTGTCAAACTGGCTTTGTAGAATCTTCTTTGAAAAATCGGCTCCTTTGTCACCTCACTTTTGTATTTGATACCTATTGTTTGGCCTTCAAATTTTAATCCCAGTACATATATATATATATATATTATTTAATATATATTTAATATATATATATTAAAAGATTATTTAGATTCCAAATGTTGGAACTGGTAGTTCAGCCTAGCCATGTCACTGACAATAAAACACAAAGCAACTTGGAAACTCAAAACTCTGAAAAGTGATACAGCATATTTGAAAATAATCCAATATAAATTCTTAAAATGGAAATGTAATAAACAAATTCACTGAGTTTATAATTTTGCTTAAGAGTGTATTAAACATAAAGAGAAAATTAGTGGAATGTGATATAGACTGAATAAAATGTCTATAAAGAAGTACAAAGAGACAAAAAAATGGAAAATTCAGGAGAGTGGGTAAGAGAAAGATGATGCAGTAGGGTCTAATACATGTTTGAGACAAATGGAAGAGAGGATAGTACAACCACATATATTTAAAGTGCTAATGTCTAAAAATTCTCCAAAACTGATGAAAGACCTCAATCCATAGATTGAAAAAAATTCAACAAAACTATAGCAAAATAAATTTTAAAAATACCTAGACAAATCACAGTGAAATTACAGAAATCCATAGAAGACATCATCTTAAAAATATCCAGAAGGGGGGCAAAAGATTTCCTTCAAAAGAGCAGTATTTTGACTGAAAGCTGATCTCTCAAAAGCATTGCAGCTTTTGAAAATTAGAACAAGGCAATGAAGTAATATCTTTAAAATGGTGGAAGAAAATAACTGGAAACTTAAATTTTAGCCCTGTGACATATCTTTCAACAATAAAGGTGAATATGACAACTAAATGTACCGTTTGAACTGGGACTAATTCTGGATCAGAAAAAAATGCTATAAGGGATACTATTAATACCATTGCAAATATTTGAGTATGTACATGAGATACTTGCTACTCATAGTACCATCTGGGGATATGCCTCACCTGTGAGCTTCTTAAATTATGAGCATAATCACAGGCACCATTCCAGATCCAGTGGATCATTTTCATATTTTTACAAGATCCCCAAATGGTTTGTATGTACATTAAAGTTTGGGCAGCACTGTATTAGTTAATTATATTTTATTTATGTTAAATGTCCTGATTTTGATAAGTAAGAGAACGTGACATGTTGGAAAATGTCTTTGCTCTCTTGATATGTATGCTCATATATTTACAGTTGAAGGATTATGATGTCTGCAACTGAATCTAAAATGGTTCATCAAAATGATGACAGGACAATAAGTAAAAATATATAGTAATAATTATAAGAAAATGCATTGTTACCGTGAGAGACACTGCAAATATGGCAAAATGTTTTTAATTGGTGAGTCTAGGTGAAGAGACAGGTGTTCATTGTGCTATGTTTGCAATGTGGAAAAATAGCTTTGGAAAGAAGTTTGGAAAACATATTCATTAAGGTTGAAGATACACATAATGTATATCCCAACATTCCACTGCTAAATGTGTATCCAAGAAAAATATTTGTGTAAGTCTACTGAAAGACACATGCAGGAATATTCAAAACAGTTATTATTTGCAATGATCCCAATCTGAAAACACTCAAAGTTCCATCAACAATGCAATGGATAAATTGTGACATATACAATGGAATATAATAGAATATTACAAAGCAATGGAAATAAATTATCTATAATTACAGATAATATTCATGATTGTTATAAATGTAATATTGAATGAAAGAAGCAAGATCTAAAAGAATGTATGCTGTATTTTATTTCACTGTATAATTTTATTTCAGTTGACAGAGGCATAATTAAGTGCTAAAAGTATAAATAAAAGCTAGCAATTTATTACTGCCCATGTCAAGATAGTGGTTACCTGTAGGAGAGAGGGAGATGGTTGGGATTGAGGAGGAGCATGTTTAAATTTTATATGTTGGGAAGAGTCTAACTTTTGAAATGGGGGGTGGTTCTATAGATGTTTGCTTTATATTAATTTATTAAGCTAAACATTTATGTTTTATGTACTTTCTGTATATGTGTTTTATTTCCGGACAAAAGAAAGGTTTAAAAAACAAGAAAAATATGATTACTCTGGTTGGTATGTGGAAAATGCACTTGAAGAGATAAGAACAAAAATGGAGAGATAGGAGGAACTCACCATATTCTGAGATAGATGGTGACAGTATGTACCAGAGAGGTAGCAGGAACAATAGAGAGAAGTGGATAGATTCCAGAAAGTTTGGAGATAGAGTCAATGAGACTTGTCAGTGGAATGTATGTGCAGACTGAAACTTTCACCTCCAAAAAACTGTATAAAGAACAGTATCTTGGTTTTTGGATGGAGTAACTATGCAGATGATGAGGCCATTGACTGAGATGGAGAACAAGGAAGGGACAATTTTGAAGGGAGAAATCAATAATGTATTCTGGGGTGTAGAGAGAGAAGACAATGGGATCAAGACCAAACCTTAGGGCATTTGGGTGAATATGGTATCATAAAAGCAAAGATAAAAGAGTGTTTCAAGAAGGAGGTATTAGATGAGCAAGATGAAGATAGATAAGTGGCTTTTGATTCTGGCAAGATGAAGATTGTTAGTAATTGTATTACAATAAGAGCAGTTTCTGTGGAGAGGTAGGTAGGAATAGTAGCCTCCTCGAACTGGGTCAAAAAGACAATGGAAATGAGGAAGTCAAGAAATCAAGGATTGAAAACCTTTTAAAGACATATTGCTGTGAAACTGAAAAGATAAATAGCGTTGTATGATAGCTAGAGTGGGACATAGGGTCAATTTTTGAAACAAGGACACATTTCCAGTTGATGAGAATAATCCAATGAAAGGAAAATTATGATGCAGAAGAAGGATGGAATACTTCTAAGGATGAAGGATGAAATCCTTGAGTAGTAGAGAGAATAGAATATAGGTGATAGCATTTATTATGTGGTAGTCATGGGTCAAAGAACTAGAGGTATACAGCATAAAAATTCATTTTCTGCCTTTAAGGACAGCACAGAGCAGTAGTAAGACAGGTTAGTAAACTAACAATTGTAACATAGTATGCTGTTAAAATACAGGAATGCTCAGAATTACTCTAGGATTACAGAACTCAGCCTTGGAAACGGGATGGGGGAGGCTTTCTCAAAGAACTCAAAGGATGCATCTAATCTAACCAGACATAAGAGGGATAAGTAAACGTTCTTTCACAAATTTACCACTGCTAAACTTATCAGAGCATCGCTTCCTCCAAACACGCACATCTGAACCTTCACTCACATCAAAGCATCTGTCATTTGTTTAACATGTCACGCTACGTTATTATGCATGTGCTGTTGGTTTTCTGTAAAATGCTTTTTCCTGCCTTGTGCATATCTCTTTGTCTACATATCTCAAAACTCAGCTTAAAGGCCAATTATTCTCCAGTTTGGTTTCTAACTCTACAGGCAGAAAAAAATCACTTTTGTCCCTGGGCTCCTATGGCACTTTCAGAGCACCTTTATAGCATGGGGATTTGTGACTTTTGAGGGAGTACCATACCATGGTTAAGCATGTGGATGCTGGTGCCAGGCTGCCTAGGTTCAAACTGTAGCTGTGCCATTTACTAGCTGTGTCATATTAGGAAAGTTCCTCAATCTCTCTGTGTCCCAGTTTTTTCCTTTCTAAAATGTGGATAATCAAACCAACCCACCGCAGTGGAAGTGAGAGAGATATGAAAAGAGAAAGAAGGCACAGATGATATAGAAACAAGGGACACCCAAGAGGAAAATTCCAGACCCTGAGGGTTTGCTTGGA
The DNA here is from genome assembly GCF_000001405.40 of Homo sapiens. Taxonomy (NCBI): domain Eukaryota; kingdom Metazoa; phylum Chordata; class Mammalia; order Primates; family Hominidae; genus Homo; species Homo sapiens. Next base: position 49,261,719 of record NC_000002.12, read on the forward strand.
GGTCTGTCCTGCTTCCTTGACCAGCCTTGCTCAGCTTTCCTAGAGAAGAGATGAATATATGTGCTGGAGGGAAAATTGGTCCTTGTTCCTATCTTTGAAAACATAACCGCGTTGCCTATGAATTATGTGTGATTCTAGAAATGAAACCAATTTTATTTTTGACAAGGTCTTTTTTGTCTTCTGCATTCTCTCCCTTTAGTTCTTTTAAGTGCACTGTCCATTTTGCCAATTTGTTCCCATGGAAACCATTGAAAATTTATAGCTTGTTTAAGTGGATCTGAGAAGAGGCACAGGTTGTTGTGGGTATTAAATTAGTTTACAATTCAAAGCACTTAGAGTGGTGTCCGGCAACTGAAAATATGCTCGCTAAATCTTAGCTATTATTATGATAATTATATGTTTTTCCACTATGATAATAAAAATATCTCTTATTTATTTTTATTTATTCTTTGCATCCTGCCACTCTTCTACCACCCACCAACTTGCTCTTAAATGACGTAAAGGAGCTCAATAGAGACATACAGAAGAAACAAATGAGTAGGTTTCCCTCCCCCACTACCCAACAGGTTTTTATAGCAAGGCTGTCTTCTTGATGTCTCCTTTGGGCTTAGCTAGGTTTGGACATAAAGCGCGCAGGACATAGTGTTATTTTAATAATTTTTATACGTGCTTGCCCCTAAAGATTTTTTAAATAGCAGAAATATCAGGGGCAGTGCATTAAATCCTTAACACTTTAGTGCAACTGCTAACAAATCAAAGATTGTCAGAATAAAACTTGAAGCTAAAAAAGTTGAATTCCCTTTTTGTTACGGAATCTTTTCTCAGCATCCATGACCAATCTTCTGTCATTTAGTCTCTGCCTAACCCCCAAAACTGGTTATCAAGAAACCTCTCTTGGGAAAATTTGAACATTGGGTGCCAGAGAGGGAGTAAGAGACAAAGAGGAGACAGGGACAGAAAAGACGGAAATAAGAGACACCCAGGACAAAAATTCCGGATTCCGGTGGGTTTGCCTGCCAGTCCTGCCCTGCTTGGCCAGCCATAGCCAGCTTCCCCAGAGGAGTGATGTACGCACTGGAGGGAAAATTGGTCCTGATTTCTATCTTTTGAAATCATAAGTGTAATGACAGTGACATCTCTGTGATTTTAGAAGGGAACCTGGTTTTATTTTTTCACAAGTTCCTTTTGGTCCTTTGCATTCTCTCTCGTTTTGAAGTGCACTGTCCATTTTGCCAATTTGTTTCCATGGACACCACTGACAATTTACAGGTTGTTTAAACGGATCTGAGAAGAGGGAATAGTAATAAATAAAGCCGTGACATGGCTATAAATACCAAGAGTGCTCTGGACTTTCATCCTCCACCTCTCTACTTACCATTTAGCAAATCAACTCTTACAATAATAATATAAAAGAACACTGGACTTTTTTTTTCTCTGTGAGTGGCAGGAGGGAAGTAAATACATATCAGTCCTTATCTCTTTGGATTGAAAGTGGTGGCCAATCTAAGGAGAAGAGGGCATTCTCGAAGGAATCTACGGATTATTAGTTGGTGTCTGGCCCACACACAGCTGTTAGCACTTACTCTTTCTCAGAGTAACTAGGGAAACTGTGGCTCCTAATTTGATTGCCAACAGCAGGGAAGAAAGACCTGGGGATTTTGTCATTCTCACTGATAGTGAAAAGGGGTGGATGTAGCAGAGAAGAGATGGTTGCTGAGAGCGACAACAGAGAGATGCCAAGATTAGGAGGCTGAAACCCACAAGGGCAATCTCTGGTACTGCAGGGAGACCATCTCCATAGCATCCACAACGGAAGGGGCAAAGTAGAGGGTGGACGCCTGGGCCACCAGGGACTAAGGCCGACTCAAAGGAAGAGGGTTGCCTTTATTCAGAGAAGTGCTGCTCAGATTTAAATTAAGAGGGAGAAAGTAAAGGAGGGTTGTGACTCATAAGAAATTTTAAAAGGAAAGGGAAGCAGGGTGAGAAAACAAAAAGAAATGAATACAGTAGACATAGACATAGAGAGATAGAAATTCAAAACTATGTTCAAGGAAAACAAAATCAGCATTTTCCAAAGGTACATCTTATAAGATTGACTCTCACAAAATTAGTGACTGTCTGCCATTTTTCCAGCATCCTGCTAGGCACACTGGGGAAAAAAAAAATAAAGGTCAAAATTTCTACCCTGAAAAATTTGCAATCGATGAAAGAAAGCTTGAAAAAACATTTCTCCATCAAATACCATAGGTCTTTTCTGTTAGATAAGAAAGTGACAGCTCAAACGGAAGTTGATAGTTGTAATTTGGGTGAAGCTGGAAAGCCCTTGAGAATATAGCCACTCTTGTTGCTGTTCATCAGTGCTGAATCAGTATCAGCCTAGAAAGTCAAAATGGCCCCTGGACAAATACCTTGGAAAATAAGGAAGTTGAAGAAAATGTTTTACATTTATGACATAGTAATGACTTAAGCAGGTTACCTTTACAATCACATCTGTTCCCAGTCTTGAGCAACATACTTGCTCTAAGGCTTAATTTGGATTTTACGTACTAATACCCAGGAGGTGGTAGAATTGGGGAACCAAGAAGAGGCTACCATGCTGAACAGCTTAGAACTCTACTCACAAGTTGGATATTCCAATTGGCTCATTGTAGAAAAGGGATGGAATCTAGAAAAATCTTGTCTGGCTCCCCTCTTGCACCCTCATACACACAGAGATTAGAAGTTTTAAGCAGGATGGAGATGGCACTTTTACAATTTAGAGTGCTGACATACATGGAGTTTGATGGAGTATTTTAAAGAATAGCAAAATACTCATTCTATATATCAATTCAAGTAGCCTGGAATTGCCCTGTGATTATATGATGTAAGGTGCTCTGAATAAGTTAGGTAACAGAATAATTGATTGACATAATTAGATAGAACTAAAGGTCCAATATGGGGTCTAAATAGGAAGCACGAGGAACTTTTCAAAAAAGGCTGGTAAATATGGGCCACTCCTTTAAGAAACTCAAGGAATGAGCCAAGTAGACCAAGTAGATAAAATATCCAGTGAATGATATATTCCTATACAAGATGCTGAGAAACTTGCCCATTGACATCCTTACCAGTTAGACAGAAGACATGAAAACAGATGAACAGCCAGATAAATATTGCATATAGTAATTATGCACCAGCTATAAATATGGTGACTTGATGTTTTCTGCCTCCAGGGAAGTGCAGTTAAAATTGGGATCGTGATTTTCATGAGAAGGGAATCAGAATTCAGGGAACCTGAGTTCAGAATTTTAAGTAGCCCTAGAGATTGAGTCATCATAATAAAGCATTATAGACTAGACCACCAAGGAGAACTTTATTTTCTCATGTCACTCCCATGATGTTTGCACGTGAAGAGGTTAAGATTCTTTCCTGCCTTTTTGTTTCTAGCAGGATTCCTTGGGCTATGATATCCATTTGTGTTAAAGCATTTAGCCACAGGCAATCTGGTCTGGTTGCCTTTTCTTTGTTTAGATGCTCCACTGAAGTAATAGTAAGATTAGCTCCCGAAAAACCAAAAATTTTGACCCCTGTCTTTGCTGAAAGTTGTTCTCTAATGTTAGGGAAGTGTAAATTCCAAAGCTAAATCCTGTGTTATAGGAGGAAAAAAGAAGCCTAAGCATACCTCAGAAAGATATCTCTGCTAGTGATTTATGTTTTCTGCTTTGTAAGCTGTGATAGAAATATGGTTTTAGATATGAGGATCAAGTGTAATATCCTAGTGTTCAAAATATATATCCCCAGTGCAAGCTTTCCCCACTCTGAGTTGCTGTAATTTTGGTTAACTGCTTTCTTTCTTTTATTCTTGAAAAATCTGTTTCCTGGTATGTGACACAAATAGGCCAATGATAATTCTAGGAAGTGGCTGCTCTCCATCCATCTTGATAAGGCAAACAAGTAAAGGAAGCAGTTGCCATTTGTATGCTTTTATTTGTTGAAAATTAGTCCAGAGCCTATGGGGGAGGGGACCTCATGCTTGCATTGTGCGTTCTTGTGCATTCCTCTGTTGGAATTCTTCCTTAACATGAAAGTGCTCAGGACACATTTCTACTTTAAAATATTACCTGGGGCTGGGCACAGTGGCTCACGCCTGTAATCCCAGCAATTTAGGAGGTTGAGGCTGGCGGATCACCTGAGATCAGGAGTTTAGGACTGGCCTGGCTAACATGGTGAAAACCAGTCTCTACTAAAAATATAAAAATTTGCTGGGTGTGGTAGCGCATGCCTGTAATCCCAGCTACTCCGGAGGCTGAGGCAGGAGAATGGCTTGAACCCGGGAGGTGCAGGTTTCAGTGAGCCGAGATCGCACCACTGCACTCCAGGCTAGGCGACAGAAGGAGACTCTGTCTTGAAAAATGAACAATAAAAAATAAATAAAATATTACCTTGTTTCTTGTCACTTGCCGGTCTGAGTCTGGATTTCCTAGCATGGCATCCAAAGCCTTTTATAATGTGACCCCAAGCATGCAAAGCTTCTCTATTGCTGTATGATCACTGATCATACATCCCTAGGACTACAACCAGCCCACCACACCTTCATTTCTTTTTGCCTTTGACTAGTCTACCTTCTCTGTTTGGAATTCTATTATTTTGTTTTCCGTATCATGTTTCCTCTCCAACTCTTCTTCCTGACCTACTCATTCTCCAAACTCCAGCTTAAAAGTCATCTCTGTGAAGTCTTCTTGAGTAACTCTCTTGATCCTAATGTAACAAAATGGTCTCTGCTTGTCCCTTTTGTTATAAATTGGTTCAATCAAGGTCAAGGATGGTGTCTCATTAACTTCTGTATTTCCCAGTGCCCAGAAGAGTGCTTAACACATACTAAGTACCAGTAGGAAAAAAAAAAAATCAGAGAGAAAATAATGAATAGGTACTAGTGAAATACAAATATTGGTGAAAAGAGAACTATGTTAAAAATTACATAACTGTCTTTTGAATACACAATTCATATTTTAACTTAGATAATTACATTACCCAGATTCATTTTGTTACTGAGAAATCAAACTATTGAAACTCAAAAGTAAATCACAAAATTCAAGCTTTTTTGTTAGTCCATAGAACTTCAGATTTATATGATATGGACAATTGTTCTGATAATCTATTTTTTCTTAACAAGCCATCCTAGAGCCTAGATGCTTAAAATAAAAATTCATTATTTTATTTATTAATTTTTTATTTATTGTTTTATTTAAAATGTTGTAGGTCAAGAATTCAGGGAGAATTTTACTGGATGGTTGGTCTCTATAGTTGGAGCGTAGGATCTCCTTACACATGGGCATTTTGGTGCTGCTTGGCTTCTTTCTATCTCTCCACGTGACATCTCATCCTCCAGGCCTCTTAACAGAGCCTGGAGTTCTCACATGATGATTTCTGAGTAGTTATACTTCTTACCTGGTGGCTGGTCTCCCACAGGCAGGAAGTGGGCACTGCCAGGCCACTTAAGGGCTAGCCCTAGAACTGGCACTGATTGCTTCCTCCACATATTATTGGTCAAAACAGTAACTGAGTCTATCAAGTTCAATCTCTCTTAATGGGATGTGATGAGATCACATAGAAGAAAAGCATGTAAGATGGAGCATGATGTTGTGGCTATATATGAGAAATGCAACCAATGACACAATATATATTTGATAAATCAGCACCTAAAGGCCCTTGTCATAAACATCAATCAACCCTCTAGAAATGTTCAATGTCTCTCACTCTAACAAAGTATAATCCAGTATAAGCTTCTTTCTGTAGCCTCTCTGCCACAGAGATGGAATCTCTGAGGAAGAGAAAGAAATCCAAGTCGACTTTTCTTCACCTCGATGTTTTGATTCCATGTATATTATGAAATATACTACAGAATACAAGTAAGAGTCAGTTTTGCTTCATATTGTGAGTATTCACCCTGGCATAACTAATTTTCCCACAAGGTGGCTTTAGGTAAATTCATGAGTATTAGAGCCTCACTGGGTTAAATAGAAATAGGAGTGTTACCCCATGTTCTCACTCATTAGTGGGAGTTTAACAATGAGAACACATGGACACAGGGAGGGGAACATCACACACTGGGGCCCATCGGGGGCTTGGGGGGCTAGGGGAGGGAGAGCATTAGGAGAAATGCCTAATATAGATGACAGGTTGTTTGGTGCAGCAAACCAGCATGGCATGTGTATACCTATGTAACAAACCTGCACGTTCTGCACATGTATCCCAGAACTTAAAGTATAATTCAAAAGTATTAAAAAAGAAATAGGAGTGTTAGAAACCTATTCCTAGCCTTTGAGGCTGACAGCAAATAGAGCAAGGTTTCTTAAGCTTTGAGTTGTGATTCTATTAATGGGTCAGGAAATCAGTTTAGTGGGTTGGGGCCAGTAGTTTAAAAAAAAAAAAAGAGAGAGAATAGAATACAAAGTGTTAGTTTTATATACATAAGTATGTATAGGTGTGTTTTGTGCATGTGTGTGAATGTGAGAGCTGGATTACAATGTGATCTCTATTTCTAACTATGAGCCACAGTCAAAAATGTTTTAAAGCCACTAAAATAGAGCATCTGTGTCCTCTCATGAACCCTCTCTTGGTACCACTTTCAAAGGCAAACATGGGACTAAAGGGACCATTGGTTTGATCCAGCATGGCATTTCTGATGTTCTTATAAAAAATATTCTGTTTGGGGCCCAGAATGACAAATAGCTCAGAGTCTAATAGAAACATCGTTTTCTAAGAGAAGAGATTGCTTTACAGACAGTGTACAGCAAAATAAAATATCTCACCTCTACAGCTTGTGCCCTCTATCACCAATAAAGAGTTTTTATATAAGATTTTTTCTCTCTCTTTTCAAACTTACATTTGATTGAATAGATTTCCCAAGAGCTTAATTCTTCACCTATCCAATGTTTCTGACCCTTGACAGGCTACAAGAGATGGTTCTGGCTAGACCCTGAAGTACTGAGAAATGCCTAGTTGTGCAGCAACAGCCATGTCTGATTGGATTGGAGGATTCCTTCTGCACTATTCTCAGCTCAAGTATGGGGGTCTTGACATAGAGGTATTTCTTTAATCTCTGTTCTGCCACATGCTACTCAGTCTTCTTCCTTCCTACTAAATGTTTTACCACTCCTATCTTATCTACACCTATAAAGGAAGAATGATTTATTTTAGTGTCTGTTTTTGACTCTCCAAATTAGGCCCCTTTAAGATTATAATTTGTTATGAATAGTAAATAGAGCTTATACGTTGCTTTTCAAATATGTGGTTTCACTTAATATTCAGAAGAATCTTGTGTGATGGTTATTATAAATATGTTCATTTTAAAGTTGGAGAAGTTGAGGCTCAAAGAGGTAACGTTGCTTGTCCAAGGTCATAGAAATATATTAAGCAGCAGACATAAGATGACTTTTGGCCCCAAATCCTATACCATGCTGCCTTCGGCCAGAGAGGAATAGGTCTGAGCTAACTTTCTGGACTTGTGAATTTTCTTGACTTTATTTTAGGTTTCTTTCCTAAGGATGCCTTTAGGGCATTCATCCCTTTATTAATCCAGCTCTCAAAATCAGAGTTAGTTCAAATCTTGCCCTACTTCTAGAAGTCGATGTCATTGCAAAAAAAATAAAAGTGATATTAAGGCATATATCTAATGATAGCTAAGCAGAGATATTTCACATAGAGAGGTACTTTGTTCTGGGCCTGCCAGACTCTTCTATACCTCTGCCTGGCTCTTAATTTGATTTTTTACGAGATGGAGTCTCAAAACTCTGTCACCCAGGCTGGAGTGCAGTGGCGTGATCTTGGTTCACTGAAAACTCTGCCTCCCGGGTTCAAGCGATTCTCCTGCCTCAGCCTCCCAAGTAGCTGGGATTACAGGTGCCTGCCACCCCGCCCAGCTAATTTTTGTATTTTTAGTAGAGCCGGGTTGCAGGGAGGTTTCACCATGTTGGCCAGGCTGGTCTCAAACTCCTGATCTCAGGTGATCTGCCTGCCTCGGCCTCCCAAATTGCTGGGATTACAGGCGTGAGCCACTGTGCCCAGCCTTAATTTGAGAATGTGGTGAATGAGCCCCCAAAACATTGGTATGTGTCTTAGTCAATTTGTGCTACCATTACAAAATACCCAAGACTGTATAATTTATAAAGAACAAAAATTTAGCTCCTTACAGTTCTGGATACTGGAAGTCCAAGTCACCAGCAGCCATGGTGTCTGGTGAGGGCCCATTCCTTACATGGCACCATTTAGCAGTTTGCATATGGCAGGAGGAATGGAAGGGCGAAAGGGGATGAACACTGTGTCCTTACATGGTGGAAGAGCAGAAGAGAATGAACCCACTCTTCCTCAAGCTTTGTAACATGAGCCCTAATTTCATTTATGAGGTGCCACCCTCCTAACTTAATCACCCCTAGAGCCCCCACATATTTATACTATTACATTGGTGATTAAGTTTTAACATATACATTTTTGGGGACACAGTCAGACCATAGCATTTCACCACCATCCCCCGATACCCCGCACCCAACAAACTTTGCAGATAGATCACTGCTCTACTGATGGATGTTGCGAATATCTCTGCTTTGGCCTCTAGAGGGGACACTGCTTTTATTGGAGTTACTTTAAAATATAGACCAGGTCTTCCAACTGTCGCTGCTGCAAAAAAAGACAATTCCTAAAGACCATACACCTAAATCAGACTTCAGAATCCCTTGGCGTATGAATTCCTTACCTCGCTCCCCTGCTGTTCATCACATGACAGTAACTAGTCTACCTTATCCCCATTTTCCACCAATTACTAAAAATCTCCAGAACTTTCTACACTTTAGAATTCAGACCCAGCAAAATTCCCCTGATCCAGAAAGAGCTGTTGCTACCTCTAAGAAAAATGGTTAATGCCTGCCTTACATCTGTGTAATCAAATGGGCTTTGCAAATCATTCTCTCCTAGAACAAAGAGATTCTCTGCCCTAAAGGCAAACCTCAGAAGCAGAAATGACTTACATCTTTTAAAATGGCATTTTTTTCTCTCAGAAATTGGTTGGCTCAGTCTTTGTTGGACACTCCATTATGCAGAGAATTTTACATATTGCCATTGCAATTGCCCAGAAATTCAAAATCTTCACAACTGTTAGCCAGTTGTTTTTATATTTGTAAGTGGAGTGAAGTTGGGAACACCAATTTCCCTAAAATTTGGGTAATGAAGAAAGCACATGTGTTCCTGTAAGCCAGTAAGCACTAATCTTCAAACCCTTACATTCCTGAAACTTTCTGATAAGTTTTCATTTGATTTTAGTTTTTACTCATCTCCTATTTCATATACATAGCCTCTCCATCGTGTACCCTCAGTAAGGTGTACAGCATGTTGGCCAAAGGCCAGAGGCACATTGTTCCTATTCTATTGTCTCTTCCTCCAAAATTCTGGAGCCTAAAGATAAGTCGGGAAAGTGGCTTTTTAGTGCTGCTGCCTAGTCTAAGTTCTGTCTGCCTTAGGCCTGGAAGTCCATCAGCAGGCCAGTAATCTTGCTCAGCTGTGTATATTGATCAGATTACCAAAATGACAGCTGAATTGCCAAGTCATTTCTGTCAACTTTGTTCCTTACTCAGGGCATACCACCTGGAAGGGGTCCAAATTGTCTTTCGTAACATTTATTGTGAAGGACAGCTGTCTCTGTAACTTCCAAGATCCCCTCTCACCAGCTGAGCTGGGATCCTGGGCCAAACTCCCACATGCACTTATACCAGCTAGTGTCAATTTGCTGACAGCTGACATTTCTTATTGCCAATCATTTATGATAGCATGGCCTATTTGGTTAAGAAATAATAGGACTTAGGAAAGGAGGAGAAATAAGACAGAGTGAGAGAGGAAAAAATTGTGATTCTAAAATTACAAAAAAAAAAGCAGTAATTAAAATGACTGAACACATAAGGGCCAGGCTTTTGGATTATATTTGCAGTATGTCTGTTTTGTTCATGTATTTATCTCTCTCCCACTCTGTCTCTCTCCGTCTCTGTCTCTTTCTGTCTCTGTCTCTCTCTCTCTCTCTCACACACACACACACACACACACACACACACACACACACACACAGCAAACATAAATAAAAAGTCTCGTCATAACACAAGGCCGCTAAACCCACCTTTATGGTTCACAAAGCAAATTCAATATTACCACAACATTCTTCCTTGCTTACCTGGCATTCATCATGATTCTTATTAGGCCTGTAGCCTTTTATGAGATTTACTAATATCGATGAGGACTAGATTGGTAGATGACAGTTTATAAGTTCTTCCTTCCACCTTTCCTCCCTCCCCCTCTCCCTTCCTTCCTTCCTTCCCTCCTTCCTCCCTCCCTTCCTTCCTCTGTCCCTTTCTTCTTTTAAAAAACTGTCATTGAATACCTATAATTCATATTGTACTACTAAGTTTTGTGAAGGATTCCAAAAAGCATAGATGAAGGTATCTTTGCCCTTAAGAATGTTGTACCTTGGAAAATGAAATAAAAGCACAGGAAATGTTAAACATTAAATGTCAAATGTTAATAACAACAACAACAATAATACAGTATATGCCACAAGTTAGAGTAAGGACCATTAAATTCCAAAAGGACAATACAGAGTAGATGCTATGTGCTCAGAGCAGGGAAAGAGTGTAAGCTCAGGAGATGTTTTGCAGAAGTGATAGGACTATGATAGAGCTTTTATGAAAATGTATGTTTGGGATAAATGGAATTAAGGTAAAGGAGAAATAGGTAAAAGGTAATAGGTAAAAGAAGAGTGTCTGTAAGCTTCTTCCTGTTGGAGAACATTCGTCTGCTACCTCTTTAGAGCTGAGAATAAATATGCCTTTTGCCACTGAATGTTCAACAGAGGGCCTGGGACCACATGGTATCTGCCGAACAAATGCTGAATGCAAAGATAGGATTCCAAACAAAGCCACAAGAGCATACACACTTACTTCGTGTGTGTGTGTGGTGTGTGTGTGTGTGTGTGTGTGTGTGTGTGTGTGCGTGTGTATCTGTATACTTTAATATGGAAGAGTTAGGGAGCAAAGTGATTTGTTTTCTGCCTTGCTTTGACTACATCTATAATGGCTACTGAAGAGAGAGCTGTAAGCCACTGTCAGGGAAGAGAAATACTTTAGGGGAAGATGAGCGATAAGGACAGGGAGGTTTATTGCTCACAACTTACATAATTATAGACCCCAAACAAGAAGCCACCTTATGGCCCCAAGCTTTCTAATTGTTTTTTCAAGTAAAGTGGAATGAATAAGTTCCTAACATTCCCTTTTTAAGAGCTGTTCTTGAATTGGGAATATTTCTTTTATTACAATCAAGGGAATATATATCAGGATAAGGTAAGTCGTCCAGTTCTAGCCCAATACCACAGCCAGGAGTAGTCTATGAGGGAAAGTAGTCCCAAACCCACACCTGTCCAAGTTCCCAACTTGGAAAAAAAATTTTAAGAAACAGTCTGTCAAACTGTTCTACTTTACCTAAGATTATGGTAGCTACATAGGAAATAAAACAATGATATTCTCTACCCCTGAGACTTTTTTTTTCCTTGTGGTGAGCTTGGTTCAATTTAGATGGAAGAATTGTCTTTTATCTTTCCTGCTTGTAAATACTAATATGTAATCTGATTGGTTCAGCTGTCAATACTTTTACATTTCTTCCTGACAGCATAGTTGCGCATAGGCACCAAAGTTTGAGATCTTATTGCTAATTTGCCAGATTTATTGGGTTATTTTTTTATTACACTCTTCAGGGGTAAAAGTAGAAAAAAATCCAATTTCTGATGCAGCTTTAATCTAGTGAATACTGCTGGAAACTAATAGAAAAGCAGCCATAAATTCAGCATGCACAAAGAGTGCTGGATGGGTGATGGAGATAGAAAGGAGGTTTGTTCGTGTCAGATTTAGAAAGCAGGCATCTGTATTTCTCAATGATAAGGGATACAATGTAATAGGCAGCTACAGAAGTGCACAAATGGCAGGGGATTTTATGACTAATCCATTTATTTTCTTGAGTCTGCAACAATTATTACATGAGCTTGATGTTATGCTCTTTAATTATGAAGCTTCAGGTCCCAGGGTGCCCAAGGAGTGTGTACCTACTTCTCGTAAGACTCAGGTCAACAGGTTGCTATTGTCTTCTCAACCCACAACCTTGGGCAGCTCTCTTCAGTAATCCTGGCTATGAGGTGACTGTGAGGGGAAAAGGCAAGTCATCCTGCTCAGTGCCCTCAGAACATGCTTTTTTTCTTTCAGTATCTACAGTGCCTAGAACTGTGCCTGGACAAAGAAGACCTGAAGTACACAATTGTTGAACTGAGTCTCTTTTAATGTCTAGTAAGCCTGGTGCTATAACTTTATCCTTATGCAGTCAGCAAATATTCGAATATACACTGAGAGAATCCCCAGAAAAAATGAGTACTATAATGGTTAAGAGTACTATTATGGTTTGGACTATGATTGGTCAACTTGACTGGGTCTTCACCCAGATACCCAGATAGTTGGTAAAACATTATTTCTGAGTGTGTCTGTGAGGGTGTTTCTGGAATAGATTAGTATTCAAATCAGTAGACTGAGTAAATAAGATCCAACCTCACTCCCCAGTGTGGGCAGGCATCATCTAATCTATTGATGGCCGAATTAGAACAAAAAGGTGGAGAAAGGGTGAATTTTATCTATCTTTCCTTAACCTGGAACATCCATCTTCTGCTACCCTCAGACATCCAGAGACACTTGTGGCCCCTCCTGGTTCTTGGTCCTTTGGCCTCAGACTGTGAGTTAGAGCATCAGCTTCCCTGGTTCAGAACTTTGGAGTCAGGCTGAATTATAACACTGGCTTTTCTGGTTCTCCAGCTTGCAGATGGTATGTTGTGGGACTTCCTTGCCCCCATAATTGTGTGAGTCAATTCCCATAATAAATATATATATGTATTATATTATATATAAATATAAATATATAATATATAAATATTTTATATAAATATATTATATAATACATTATATATGTTAAATATATATTATATTATATTATATTATATTATATTATATTATATTATATTATATTACATATATACATTTAGTTCTCTATTTCTCTGTTTGGCTCTGTTTCCCTGGAGAACCCTGACTACTGTAAGTACCATTTAATGCCCCATTTTCTCTAACTGGGCTGGAAGAAGTAGAAAAACAGAGACATTCTCTCTTTGTCTTCTCTATCAGAGCTCTACATGAGTCCTGGTGAATTGCAGAATCCTCAAAAACTCTATTGCTTTTATAGAGTGTTTTTTAAATGGCCTTTTCCAGTCCTGATCCTTTATCTACTCACTGAAATCATGACTCTGGCCATGTCTAAAAGTCCTAAATCTACACCAAAGAAGCCAAATTTCTAATATTCACGTCCAGAACACCAAGATGTAAATGGTAGGGTGAGAATATGCCATTCTGAGGCAGTTCCTAGAATGGTTTCTGCTGTTGTACCCCTGTGCCTTAGCACAAGCTCTGTCTAGAACTGCAGACTCTGCTGGTTACTGCCTATTAGTTCTACAACACTCAGCCCAGGCTCATGTCTTCTGGGAACCTTTCGGTGCACTCCACTCCGGGATAGGAACCATTCCTTTTTACTCCTATAAATTTCCATGTGTTCAGAAACTTTATTACTTGCTTCTCTGATTAAGCTGTTGACTTTAGTTATTCTTACACACAAATATATACACAGAATTATAAACACCTTTAAAGCCAGGTCATGCATTTTATTCATCTCTATTGTCTCTTTAATGACCACAATGTTTGGCAGATCCTGGGGATGCAATACATATTTTTGAATAAAAAAGTGAAGCTGTTCCAAAGATACGAGGATTAGGCAAATGAAAATATGGTAGAAGGAGATAAAGAGTGGAAAGGCTGCTTTGGGTACTTCTTGGATTGATCTAATTTGTAAAATCATTAAAGTCCTAGGTTAAGGATGGTGGGCCTGGGCTCTCTAGTCACTGGGATGATGACTTCTCTTCTTCGAAAAACTGTTCCATTCCTGTGAGAAGAATGGAACAGTTCTGGTCACTTTCCTGAGCATAGAGACAAACACTACCCCAGATTATTCTGTACACAAGAGGCTTAAGGACCAGGATATGCAAGGCCAGACTCACAATAAAGGGAAGGACAGCATCCTTTAGCCCCCTGTCCCACTTTACCATCTTGAGTGCATAGTCCAATGGACTGGACAGTCCACTGGATCTGTCCAGATGGGCTGACTACCACTAATGGGAAAAATAGTGAATTTCATAGAACAAAACAACTTTACAACCCTGAGGGAAAAGATAATACTGTTCCCACAAGCATATTAATACTTATTGAGCCTCTCTTGTTCAGAACCTGTTTCTATAGGTTATGTGAGGTTGCATAGACATGCAATGGTAAAAGATATATGACCCAGTTCCTTCTCTCCTGGGGCCCTGAGCTTACAATGTGGCCAATGACAGGGAACAGTACAAAGCCACATATGTTGACATATTTATTAAAAGGTGAATAAAATCAAGTGTCATAAATGTATGTTCAGTAAATTACCATGAGTAGATCTGATGAAAAAAGTAAGTAATGACTGAAGTTATCAGGAGCTGAGAGGTGAGGTTTTTATACTCTTCAGGTTCCAAGGACATTGCAGCCCTTCAGGCTTTGTTTGATTCGTACCAGTAGTCTTTCTCATATATGCCTCCAATCTTGTCTCCAGAGTTATCAAATATCTAGCCTCTGGCTCATAGCTGCTGTCTCTACCCCACTGCCTGCCATGTTTTGAGTGTGATTTCAAGGTCTGCGTGGGCAACTTTTCCCAAACCTTGTATACTTTGTCTCTTGATCTACTCAATTTTAGTGATGTTCATATCTACTCATCTTCAGAAATTCTTACTTAGCTCTATCTAGGTTCCGATGTCCCTGTAACTATTCCTACTCTAAGATTTTAAATCCGAGCTCTACGATCACTTAGAGAGTGAGAGGGGTATGGCTAGACAAGAGGGCAAAGGCAGAACACTGGGGTACCACAGCATTCAGACCTTGAGTAGAGGAGAAGGAGTCAGCAAAGGTCAGTGAGTCGGAAGAAAACCAGGAGGGCATGGCATCACAGCAGAACAAAGCAAGTTTTTTTGAGACACTGTGGGGTCAATTGTGTCAATGCTATTGAGAGATTGATTAAGATAATGAGAGAAAAATGGCTGTTGGGTTTATTAATATGTTTGAGGTCAAAAGACAAAGTTACAACAAATTTAAAGATTCAAATTGGCTTTTATTTGTTATTCCAGAATAAGGCAAAACTTCATTCTTGAAAATAGAATGAGTTTTCTGATGAGCTGACCAGAGGAGGTTGGTTTTACAGACCAAAAAGAGCAGAGAAAAGCAGAAAGAGGGAACAAATAGCTGATTGGTCATTTCAAAGTTACTTTTCTTATAAAGGTTGAAGCCAAGACTTCCTTATGACACCCACTAAAATTGGCCTGTTTAGGGATTTGGTTATTATTTCTCTCTCTCCTGATTTCTTGGAAGGTCAGTTAAACAGTTTGGTTTCAGCTTGGTGGCATGGAACTTCAGCATGAATGATTCCATTTTGGGTTGGTCTATCGGGAGCTCAGTACAAACCAATGGCCTCCTATAAATTTTATTTAACATTGGTAATCTTGTAAAGTGCAACTTAAAGCTTTCAGAATGATACCCTGAATCAAGCAAACCTCTAAGTAAATACTCCTAGGAAGGTGCTACTGACTGGAGGCAGAGGGAACAGCAGGAAATGAACCAGCTTGTACACAATGGAGAGTATGATTTTTGACAAATTGAAATGACTAATCAATTAAGGAACAGACCTGGGAGATTCTACTGAATCTTTAGACAATACTCTAAAAATGTTGGAGGGAAATTAAGTGTCAGGCCTCTGAGCCCAAGCCTGCACATCCAGATGGCCTGAAGCAAGTGAAGAATCACAAAATAAGTGAAAATGGCCGGTTCCTGCTTTAACTGATGACATTACCTTGTGAAATTCCTTCTCCTGGCTCAGAAGCTCCCCAACTGAGCATCTTGTGACCCCTGCCCCTGCCTGCCAAAGAACAACCCCCTTTGACTGCAATTTTCCACTACCTACCCAAATCCTATAAAACAGCCCCACCCCTATCTCCCTTTGCTGACTCTCTTTTCAGACTCAGCCCGCCTGCACCCAGGTTAAATAAACAGCCTTGTTGCTCACACGAAGCCTGTTAGGTGGTCTCTTCACTTGGACACGTGTGACATTAAGTAGCCTAAGAAGGTCAGGAGGACTAAAACAAGCATCAGTTGGGTAGAGACAGGTGGATAGTAGAACCAAAGTGGAGTTCAAATAAGGACTAAAGCTGAAACTAAATATTTCCTGAACATATGCTGGTCATTGCTCATTACATAAAGAGGAGCTGAAATTTGGATTTGATAAACAACTTCAGGGAGAGAAAGGGATATATAGAAAGGAAGAAAAAGACTTGAGGCTACAGAGGAATTCAATGGTTAATACTATACTCTGAAAGGGTTTTGTCACATGGAAGAACAAATACATGGAATGTATATAATCTCCTTAGCTGACCACAACCCTGTGTTCAGACTTTCAGTGTTATGTAGAGAGATTAAAGCATTCTGCCTAAAAAGACCAGGAGAGTCACAATGTCTTCTGAAGTATAATTAGACCCACAAGTACAGTGTTGCTTTGGGCCAACTATTTAATTCTCTGAGCTTCAATACATTTATATGTAAATTGAGGAGCAATGTACTCAGTAAGTCATAGGAAGCCAGTTACTTTCTCATCTTTTCACTGACCTGCCTAAAGGAAGATAATTATCAAACTGGCCAAACCCAGAACAACCTGTTCCAATGAGGCATATATACATTGCAATGGAGCTGTGGGCCCAGCAGAAGGGAGCTTGAAATAGCAATATCCAGAAAAGAGGTGCTGCTGAGACTCCATCTTTAGCCTCATGCATTATGCCTTTGTTTTAAAAGAGGCAAAAATCTAAGGAAGGAACTGGAACAATTTGCTCTGGGCTGGTGACAAATCCTGTGGGCTGGTTCATGGCAAAAGGAGTTGCTATGTCGTTGTCAGTTCCCTCCTCTCTCTTTTCTGATGTGTCAAGACAATTCAAAGACTTTTTTTTTAACTTACTTATGTGATCCTGTATTAAACATGAATTGGAAACATACTGTGTGGTGGGAATAGAAAAATAAACTTGGATGTCATGGTCTCTGCCCTTGAGGAACTCCCAGTCCAGTGAGGAGGATAAATATACATAACAGAGTTAAAATAACTGTAGGTGCTGTAACACCTGTATAGTACACAATGTGGGTATATCTCCAAACTCCAGTTCACCTGGCCTGTATGGACAGTATAGATAATTGACCCTTGGGAGTTCTGTTTGTTAATTCTGCCCACATCTATGTCTTCATTAGACTCTTTAATTTAACATTGTGAGTTTGCCATCTGTAATTCTGGAAGAACTTTCAGAGTGCTATAAGTAGCAAATATTTTAAAGTACCTACTTTAAGTCATGAGTAATCCACAAGGCAAGTTTATTAGTGCCATTTCACAAATAAGTAAACTGAGGTTCTGAGAGTTCATGTATTTGAACTGAGAGGTCCAATAAACTATCTGATTCAGTATATTTCAGAATCATTTTGAAGGTTTTTTAAAGTTAAGAGTGCTAGTCTTTCCCCCCTGATTCATTAGGTCTGGGTTAAGGCCTTAGAATTTGCATTTCTAACGAGTTTACAGATGATGCTAACTCTAGTGGTCTAGGGACCACACTTTGGGAACCACGGCTCTAGTATTGAAAGTGTCTTTACAAAAATTATAACAATGAGAAAAGTATGACAGTAAAAGAGATATAACATAACAAACTCTATCTTGCCTTTACCTCCAAATTGTCCTGGGTCATTCCTGAACATGGGCCAAGCTGACTTTGGAAGAAACTTAGTTTATAGTTTAAATAATAGCCCTTTCCAAAACTAAACTACCTTTGTAAAACTAGTGAAATACCACCAGGTTAGGAGAATGAGAGGGGTCTCAATTCTGTAAGTGTAGCTAAACAATTACCAGCCATGATTCTGGAGGTCACAAGATTTGCAACTTCCCCAGTTACTCCGTAAATAACATCATTATTGTAGAGCCTAAGATTGACCTTTTAAGATGTCTTTTCAGACTTTTGCATTTCTGACTGTGACTCCACTCAGACCAACATCTCCTCTGAAGCCCCTACCCAAAGGTGGACTCTGTGCATGAAGACCATTTTCCACACCTCCGTGATTTCATCCCCAACCAGTCAGCAGCACCCATTCCCTAGCCTCCTGCCTATCAAGCTATCCTTGAAAAATCCTAGCCTCTTAATTTTTGGGGAGGCTCATTTGCATAATAATAAAACTCCACTTTCATGTTTCACCAGTTCTATGTGTATTAAACTCTTCCTCTATTGCAAATCCCTCGCCTTGATAAATCAGGTCTATCTGGGCAGTGGGCAAGAAGAACCCATTGGGTCTTTACAATATTTGTTAGTATCTGGCAGAGCAGGTTTTTGAGACCAAGTCTGTCTGCCTGTGATAACTATGTCCTTTCTACTACACCATACTTTCTCTTCTTGCATAAGCATTGTTCTTAATGTTTCTTTTATGGAAGCTTAGCTTAACAACAAGAAGTTACATGGAATTAATTTTAGCAAATAGCAACACTCTACTGCCTTTTCAAAGGAATTGCCATACATTCCAGGACGCCTAGGATAGTTCTGTTTTTTGTCTATTAATCTCGCATATGCATATTAGTTTTCCATTTTCCTCCAATAAGTGTTCAAGGTTGGATAATACATTATAGGGCTATTCTGCTTTTAGAGATTCACAGCTCAACAACTCACATTCACATTTTAAAAACTCCAGAAAGTACTTGAAAAGGTTTTTGAACTTCATTTAACCCAGTGTTCTCAAATTTATATAAGCATGGGACTCCTTTATTCTATGCAGGTAACACCTTTCAATACTTTGGTGAATGCTGACCTACATTCATTTTTTTGTATTATCTTTTTAAGTATGTGTACCACTAGAAAGTGGACTCCTAAGCATTATATCTGACACTCTATGTCCTTCTATGGCACCTTGTTGGGTGCATGCCAGGCTCCCAGTCAATGTTTGTTAATTAAAATTGATTTAGGCAAAAATAAATCCCATATTTTTTTAGTAGAAATGTTATGGGACAGGGAAAAATTTCAGTGTTTACTCACACTCTACAGAGATGTGATCTGTGAACAGGGCATTGCATCTGGTGGAAAGCAAACCTAAGGCGCCCTATCATCTTTCAACGCAGCTCTAATCTTCTGAGGTGAAATAGACAAATAACAGCTTCCCCACACCAATAGGCTTATGATTATGAAACGCGTCATCCTGGAAACGTCCTCTTTTAGTAAACCAGTGAGAGAGGAAGGAGTCTCAGCCTTGGACATATCCATATCCATGCTGGTTCTTGGGTGACTTTCTTATGTATCACCTTGCTGTTTACTGAT